>NC_000015.10:38428389-38731419 GCF_000001405.40 Homo sapiens | reverse complement strand
TGATCATCGCCTGCAACTTTCCATTTTGTTACCATATTCCTGAGAGGGGGACAACCATCCTCTGAACACCAACAAGAACAGGGAGTTCTCTCTCAAGAGAGCAGCCCACCTCATTCAACAGCTCTAATAACTAAAATGCCTGCAGTTATATAGGGGTATGACTTGGTCATTTGTCTTCCAGACACGGAAGAAGTACATGGCCATGCTCCCATTATCTAAATTCAGCCACTAAAGAGTAAGTTTCTTCTCCAGTCTAACATGCATCAAAGTCTTCATTGTGCTTATATGAATTCTTATTTATCTATGTTCTTTTTAAAAAGTAAAGCCCAAACTGGAATAAGTTAGATGTGGTATGACCGAGAAAAGTAGAAGTAACCTGGATGCCACACCAGTGTTAGAAGAGCCTAAAATGTTATTATGTTATTTTTAGCAACCTCATCACACTGGGAGTTTATTTATGGTTTGTGGTAAATAAACACCAAAGTCTTCCCTTAAGCTATATTTTTCTATCTTGTTCACAGCCAAGTTTTTTTTCTAAATATAGGATTTCATATATATCCCTATTCTATTTTATTCTACAGTTTCAGTCCATCACCATAGCTTGTTGGAATCTTTAAAAACTTTTAACTCCATTATACAACATAAACAGGGTTAGGTAGCATATCTGTAACTTATGAATAAGAAAGTTAACTGATGGTGCTTTGCTTCAACTAGCATCCAGATCATGAAGTTACCAATCACTGCCATATTGTACCCATGCAACAGGTTAGTTCATGTATTGGAAAATCAGCAATATCCTCAATTTATTATTGAAGAGGAATGAATAAACAAACCTGCAATTTATACAGGAACATATTACATCCAAACATAACATCCAAATCAGGTGTCCCTTAAAGAGATAAAAGGTTAGGAACCTTTAGCCAGTGAGCTCAAATGGCCATGGAGAATGGGCAAAGACATGAGCAAAATGTGTTATTTCCAGGCCCTGGGAGCATCATAGCAGCAGATCAAACAGCAGAGAATACTGCCCTGATCCTCTGTGATCCATTGAGACTGGGAAAAAAGAAAAAACAAGACGACTGCATCAAACCTAAGGAACTAGCCCTGGGTGGGTACAGGGAGAAGCAGAGAGACTTGCCTTCAGGTAAAATGAAATGGTTTGCATAAGATGAAGATTTCCATTGATAATAACCAGAAAAATTTGATTTATTACAAAAAAGTCATATATTACAAGGCACCTGTGATGGTTAATTTTATGTGCAATTTGACCGTGCTAAAGGATACCCAGATAGCTACCAAAACGTTATTTCTGGGTGTGCCTATGAGAGTGTTTCTAGAAGAGATTAACATTTGAATCAGTAGATTGAGTGGAAAGGATTCCCCCTCACCAATGTGGGTAGAAGTTATCCAATCTGTTGAGGGACCTAATAGAACAAAAAGGTAGAGGAAGAGAGAATTCACTCTTTCTTCTTGATCTAAGGCATCCATTTTCTCCTGCTCTCACACCTGGTTCTCAGGTCTTCAGACTCACTTTGGGACCTACACCAGTGGTCACCACCCTGCTCTCTCCTCTCCCCTCTGATCTCAGACCTTCAGACTCAGACTGGGAATTACACAGTCAGCTCCTCTGCTTTTCCAGGTTGAAGTTGGCACATTGTAGGACTTCTTGGCTTCCATAATTGGGTGAGTCCATTTCCATAATAAACCTCTTTTTAGGTATCTATATTTTTCTCTAGAGACAGAATATAAACATATATCTTATATACATACATTAAAAATATATATATAATATATATAATACATATGGTATATGAAATATTTTTATATAATACATCTGTAAAATATATGTATATATGTATATAAAATATATATATGTGTGAAGATACATATATACCCACACACCTCCTATTGGTTCTGTTTCTTTGGAATACTCTAATACAGCACCAAAGAGCTGTAGAACAATGAGGACCACAAGGCTTAAATGAAAAAAAAAAAAAAAGAGGAAACTCTCTAGGTTCTGGTATTTAAGTTTTGAAATATCAATTAGATACAGAGCCACATTTACTTTCTGACCTTATTGTAGACACTAAAGATACATCAGCAAACAGAACAAAGGCCCATTTTTATAGTGCTTACATTCCAGGGCAGCGGGGGACAGACAAATATATGATATGGCAGGCAGCATAAGATATTTGTAGAAAAGAGGTAGCAGGGTAAGTGGGGGAGGGAATGATTGAGGTATGGGTTGGAAAGCGGGTAACGCAATTTTTTATGGCCAGGAAGACCCCTTTAATAAGGTGATTTTTGAGTTCCTGAAGGAAATGATAACTTCTAATGCCCTGGTAGCCCTACATTTTGGGCTTAAAGAAAGAAAAATAGGCAGATACAAATTAGACTATGTATATGAGAGATAAAAGAGGAAGAGCGGGATATGGGAAGCTTGATTAGATGTGCATCTCCAGGTGTTTTCCCTCCTTAAATGCGTTTCCTTATACATATATGACTAAAAGGACTTTATAGGGATGGTGGGGAGGAAAGACAGAGATACACAGTATCTGTGCCTCTGCAACTTAAATTAGTTCATCAGTAAATTGACTCTAACCTAAGTTCCTTTATCCTTTGATCTGACTTAAAGTAAAAAGACCTCAAAACTGGCTATGAAAATTTGCAGAATTCCAGACTTACAGGCGAAGAAAATTACATGAAAGCAACCTCCTCCACTCCCACCCTGGCTCTGGCCCAGTTCTAAGACCCACCTTGTGCAAGGCTGGCCCCATCTCCTCACCAGTCAATCCCTCAGAAACTTAGCCTCAGCCAACTGTGGCTTCAGCCACTCCATGTTTGTTTTTTCTAAGAGAGGTGTTGGGGAAAGGCAAATCACCCACTTCCAAAGCCAGAATACAGTGCTGTAGGCCACCCTCTTCTAATAACCATTTGATGACGTTCACCTAATGGCAAGAGTTTTTGCAAAGCCTTCTCTACTTATGTTTCTTCCTAGAAATAAAACAAGTGTGTAAATGCTATTGCTGTGCTCTTACAAAGCTACGATTTGTCGCCTTCCTTCTCAATTGTTGTCAATTCAATCTGTCAAGAACCTGTGCCTAAAAGGTTTGCTACCTGGTCAAGGAAATAACCCAATAGGAATAAAACCATTTTAGGGGAGTGAGTGTAAGGCCGTAGGATCCCAGTGCGAAGGCCATCCACGTGGGCTGAAATAACCAGTGGGTGCTTCATAATGGGGATAATATGGGATTTGGAGCATGAAAGGTGAAATGTGGCTGAGAGTATTTTCATCAGAAAAAAATTACATATACAGGTAGGGAAGTATTTGTGGTTTGTGCGGGGGTAAGGAGACTGACCTCCCTGGATGCCCGAGTTTTGCTTTGAAGGAAACCCAGGTAGTATGTCTGGAAACCCCACCCAAGGATCTGTATGCCTCACAGAGACCTTTCCTTGTGGAGAAAATAACTCATGTGGCCCTCTGCTCATCACTGCCAACATCATAAAGCAATCAAAGACAGAAACTAGGAGAAAACAGCTCATTTCCTTATCCTTTGCAGAAAGCACGAGTTTTCCAAGGGCAATTTTGTAAATTAAGAATTTTCCTGTGTTAAGGGGTAGGCAAGTTTCTTTAATAAACAAAAGGCCTCCAAGTTGAAGGAAATAATCACATAGTCATGCACTTAAAGAGGTCATATCCAATTCCACAGTGTTCCGTGGCATCCTTCATGGATCAGAATGGAAAAGCAGACTTCTTCTAACGGCCACAGCCGCATGTTACCTGTCTCCAATGAAAACGGCCCTAAACTGCCAAGAACTTAAGCCAAGACAGACCATAAATGGTACATTTCTCTTTCAAGGTGATGCAGTATGTACAAAGCTGTTCTGTCTGAGATTTGTGAAGCTGCTTGTGCACGAGGTGGATTGTGAATTTGACTGGCAGCCAATTGTAAGCCAGCAGTGCTGAAAACCCATTCTGTATGTCCATGCCAACATGTATGCATGGCATCATTGTGGACAAAGCTGGTAATCAAGAGCACGCTGTGTGAGGACAACTGCATATGGGATACCCAGCTCCAATACCACCTCCGTCCAAGACTTTTCCAAAGAAAGTTCTCAACATACATTATCACGAGCATGAGAGAGTGCTCTATTTGTGCAGCCTGAAGTTTTCTCTTCCCCATAGGTACAGGGAAGTCTTCTATGGTTAAATATAGTGAATTCCAAGGTTCTCGAAGCCTTAGATTCATTTTTCCTTCATGCAGTAAGAAAGAAGAGCAAACAAAAGGGACAAATCTCCAGGGGCTCTTCCGATCTAGCCCCACCCTACAAAAGAAGGGACAGTATATGCCTGTCACTGTTCCTGTGTCTCAAAAATAAAAAAATTCCCTTTTATCTCCTTCTAAACCTCTATCTCACTACTTCCCAAAGCACATCCTCCTCGGCAAACTAGTCAAATCACACTTCCCAAGATGTGCTAGAGCATTCTGGCCTCTGCACCTTTATGCCTAGCATTCTTTCTGCCCTGGAGTTTCCTTTCCTATTCTCTTTGGTAATCTAAATCAAATTTATCTCAAATGGCTCTTCCATAGAAACTTCCCCAATCACTGCAGTGTAATTGAAAGGTTCCTGTCCCTTAGCTGCCATAGCTTCATTGAGCAGCATTAAGTAGTACCTTTCAGCACCGTGTGTGACATGCCACCTTCTGCGGTCATGAATCTGAGTCAACTCCCTAACTAACCCAAAGCTTATAGAGAGCATGGATCATTTCTAGTTCATTTTTTAAACCCTAAAATCCAAATGTGTGTTTAATCTTTAGATACATACCTATTGGGTCTCCCAGTCAATGTAGATACAATTTAAGGGGCAAGTTATTTGCTGTTTGGAGGATTCATTAATGAAATAAAGTATAATGACAATAAGACTGCCCCAGACAGCAAGAAAACTAAACTTTATGCATGCAATATTTTTCTATTTCTTACAAGGTATGTTTAGTTTGTGACTCAGAGGCAGTGCACTGAACACCTGAAGCCTCAAAGGATTCTGCCAACGGCTGACATGACAGTAGATGCACACTGGGAAAGAGCAGAAGGAAACATATTCCCAGCTGGGGTGAGGGATGAGGACATCACAGGCTAATGTGGGAGTGGCTGGCCTGGACATTGATCCAGCTTCTGTCCAGTTCCAGCCTCACACCACTGAGATGTCTTTGGTCATCATGAGGAAGAGAGGAGCTACCATCTGCTTCAATCTAAACTTCTTTTCTTGCAGCCTTTGCTAATCCTCCTCTAGGTAACTCTTGCTGTTCAGTCATGCCATCTACACTGAATCTGATCCCTTCCTCATTTGGGTTTTTTTTGTTTGTTTGTTTGTTTGTTTGTTTTGAGACAGAGTCTCGCTCTGTCGCCCAGGCTGGAGTGCAGTGGCACGATCTTGACTCACTGCAAGCTCCACCTCCCAGGTTCACGCCATTCTCCTGCCTCAGCCTCCCGAGTAGCTGGGACTACAGGCACCTGCCACCACGCCCAGCTAATTTTTTGTATTTTTAGTAGAGACGGGGTTTCACCGTGTTAGCCAGGATGGTCTCAATCTCCTGACCTCGTGATCCACTCGCCTCGGCCTCCCAAAGTGCTGGGATTACAGGCGTGAGCCACTGTGCCTGGCCTGTTTGGAGGTCTTACATGGTAGCAACTTAAAATTACTTTTTATATTGAGATATAATTCACATGGCATGAAATTCTTCCTTTTCAAAAGGTAGGAGTTGGTAGCTTTTAGTATGTCCATGAAGTTGTGGGACCATTACCATTATTTCCAGAATATTTTCATCACCCCAAAAAGAAATGCCAGATCCCTAAGTAGTCATACCCTATCATCCCCTTCCCCCAATTCCTGAAAATCACTAATCTACTTTGGCTGTACTGATTTGCCTGATCTGGAAATTTCATTTAAATGAAATCATACAATATGTGGCCTTTTGTGTCATCTGCTTCTTTCACCTAGCATCATGTTCTAAGGTATGTCTACCTAGTGACATTTCCTTTTATGGATGAATGATATTCCATTGTATGAATAGACCACCTTTTGTTTATCCATTTGCCAGTTGATGGACATTCAGGTTGTGTCACTTTTTGGCTATTATGAATAATGGTGCTATGAAAATTCAGGTATAAGTTTTAGGGTACATATGTTCTAAATTCTCTTGGGTATACACTAGAAGTGGAATTGCTGGGTCATATAGAAACCAGGCAGCAAAGCCAGGAAGATTACACCCCTGCCCACCACTCTGGAGGGAGAATCTGAGCTTCTCATTTCACACAGAACCTCAAGCAAGGATATTTCACTAGCACAGAATCATCTGTGAAAACAGGTCACCAGCAGAGGGCCTCTCAGGTCATTACAAAGACTGATCATTAATAAATACGTTAACCATTCATGCATGCGTATGTTCATTGCAGCACTATTCACAATAGCAAAGACATGGAATGAACCTAAATGCCCATCAGCGGTAGACTGGATAAAGGAAATGTACGTATATACCATGGAATACTATGGAGCCATAAAAAAGCACGAGATCATGTCCTTTGCAGGAACATGGATGGAGCTGGAGGCTGTTATCTTTAGGACACTAACACAGGAACAGAAAACCAAGCACTATGTTCTCATTTATAAGTAGGAGCAAATGATGAGAACACATGGACACATAAAGGGGAACAAGACACACTGGGGCCTGCTGGAGAATCGAGGGTGGGAGGAGGGAGAGGATCAGAGAAAATAACTAGGGTTACCAGGCTTAACACCTAGGAAATGAAATATTCTGTACAACAAACCCCCGTGACGCAAGTTTACCTATATAACAAACCTGCACATGTACCTCTGAACTTAAATACATAACCAAAGAGAATAAAGCAGTTTAAAACACTAAGAGAACACCTTACATATCCATATCATAAGCTGCCTTTTGTCAGAGTGACTCATGACTCAAACCGCACCAAAGCAGCTCCTGTTCTGAACATACTAGTACACAAGGCATCAAACCATTCCTCTGCTATATTATTAAAAGCCAATTATGTATCAGGCACTGTGCTATGCAGTGGTAAAAAGTGTTACAATGTCAGTAACATTTCAGTGGGGGAAGACAATGAAGAAACAAAGATAAATTTCACAGGTAACTCTGGGTGTCTGTCTCAAACATCACAGGTGTTATGTCAAGAATTAGTCAAGATGGTGAAGACTGGCACCCAAAGTTATGTCTTTGTTGAAGAAAAAATAAACACATGTAAATCTGTCAAGGGCCATAGAGCCTTTAATCACGGGAGTAGAAACACTGAGAAGTAAATTAATTGAGGAAAAATTAAATGGCAGGTGGAGCAGCCTGCAGGTGGAGCTGAATTCAACCAGGCCCTTGTGCACCTTTCTGCCCCTCACAATCCCAGTTTCCACCCATTCTCATCTTGCTCCTGACCATACCTCGGTTCAAATAGCTGCCAGTCCCCAGAGTGAAACCATGGAGGCTTCTTAGCTCCCATACTCTTCCCAGCCAACCACCCATCCAGGAGCCCAGATAGCTTAGCTCTACTCATTCCTCTTTTGACCGGTCCTGGGTGTGGCCTCTGACAGTACAGGGGTGATTTCATGGACAATGGGCCACCTGGGACTAACCCTGTTGGATAGCTCACTTTTTGCCCCATGGAGACCCAAAGCTTTCTACCAGGTAGGCTATACTAATTGGGACCTATAGGAGCAGAACTGGGCTTTCAGCCATCAGCAGGAGTTGCCTTGACCTTGAACTTTAGACATGCCCACCCAAATAACCAGAGCTAAGAGCTGGTTATGCACACACTCACTAGCAAGCACAAAACTGAGCTTGAGGCTTTCTTTCACTATTCAGCACACTTCTCTTTATCTCTTACTTCACTTCCACATGTTGCTGTATTGTCTACCCTTATTCAGACCCCATTGGCTTACTTCTTGTTTCGGGGCCTTTGAAATTGACATCAGGTTTTGGCATCCTGGAGATTAACTTTGTCTCTTTCTCTTCCTCCTTCAGACTCAACACAACACAGCTCCAGCCCTTGGGAGCTCATTCTAGGATGGTCTAGCCCCCAGCCATGATCCAGGATGGGCTTCCCAGGTTATCACAAGAGAGTGGGGATGGGAGGCAGGAAGCTGAGAGATTCTATTCCAGTTGTCTTCCTCTGACACTTGAGTCAAGGGCCAGGCCTACCTAGGTCATGACTTCAAAGTGTGGGCCTTAAAGCCAGGCTTCCCAGAAACAGCATCTCCAGCTGCATCCTCAAGCTCCTCATCAGTAATTAGATCTAGGAGCTTTTTTGCCCCATTAGTCCAGGTGAGGTCACCCATGGGGAGATCAAATAGCTTAGGTCAACTCCAAACTCCACACAGCAGCTCTGCTGCCTCTTGCTCTTCATCACCACATCGCAGACCACCCAGGCCCCAGCCCACTCCCCACAACCCCATTCTGCATGCCAAGTCCTGAGTTGTTAACAAGCTCCTCAGGTGGTCATCATCTACTACACCCTATAGAGAACTACTGTGATTGAAGGAAGATAGATCTGAAAACAACCCCGAAGAATTACATGGTTTTCTGTTGCAATGAGAAGCTGTCCATCAGTTACATAGGCTTACATATCCTATTTCAGCTTATATTTTTTAAATGATTCCTCTTGATAATCAATTTTGAGGATACAAGAAGTTCCTGGGAATCCACACTGCTATTCTTGTACCTTAAATGATTTTGGTCAAGTTATAAGACCTTGATTTCGGGCCTAGCTTTTCAAATTGAAAAGCTGCTCAAAACAAGATAGTGAATGTTTCCCTAAACTAGGCCTGTGACAGGGGTCTTTGACTCCACTATAATAAGGAAAGGAGTGGAGGGCTCTGTTTTTCTTCACAATTCCTCAAGCTGAAGGAATCATCAACACATAGCACTTCGTGGGGTCTCATGTAGGACTTTCCAAAACAGAGCAATTTCCAGAGTGAGAAACAAGTGAGTTGTTTTGGAAAATGAGAATCTCTGGTCATCATCAGTTTGTAATTGTTAAAATTTTACAAGTGAGGTTTAAAGGAAGGTTTTTGGTAACAAATTTCTCAAATCAAAACAATGACAAAATTATTCCAAATTTGTTACTCTGTATGACATAAATAGGAAATGTTTGTTCTTTGACAGAAATTCTTTTTCATGCTCTTCTTCCAAAGAAAAGTCTGGATGCTCTTTGATACATTTTGTTTTTTAAAGAAAAGAATATGGTCTGGAAGGCTAACTCCAAAGCAGATGCCTGGTGGTTGGAATGTTACCTGTTTATCCCAACAGGCATCTCACAGTGCCAGCAAGACATGCACCTCATCCCAGCCAACCCCCTGGGATATCAGAATGCGCCGTGCAAGCATTAGGTGCAGAGAAAGATGGAGCAGGCCCCGTAATGAGGTCACTTCACACCTATGAGTAAGCCTCCTGTAAGGACCACCCATCTTCCATGCCCACTCCCTCCCTGCCCGCCCACCCACCTAAACTGTCAGAATGCAGCAACCATTTTACAGCACTTTTCTATTCTTAATGCACTTCAAAATTTTTCTGCCCAATGAATATCTGGTTTGTGGATTATTTTGCCCCAGACATATCCATTTGCATTTTTCCATGATGATTCGCATTTTGTCCCTGCCTTTCCCATTTTTCTAATTCCTTTAGGTTACTCTTTTGCTTCTGCTGGTGTTTGCCACATTTCTCCATTCAGAATCATCTGTGAATTTCATCTTCAAGCCCTTTCTCCTTCTCTAAGGTCTTTAATGAAGACAGGTCTGAGTGAGTTGCTACGACAGGCCAGCTTCCCTACCCACCCTGAGACCACCCTCCTGAACCAGCCCAGTGCCCTGAAGTCTGTTTACTTTCACCCAGAAGATTTTTCCATCCACATGATGAAACGGGCAGCCAAGATGATCTGCCTTCATTTATGCCACGCTTCAGGACACTTTGTTAACTGCCAAACTTCTGAATTCATGGATGGAACATTTGTTCCTGTCTGTTTTTACGCTGGCATTACAAACAAAAGGGTTTGCTTTTGTCACAAGGTCTGTACAGGACATTTTTGTCAATTTAATATGTGCAACATGGACATACAATCCTCCCTCTCCCCATCCTGTGGGCTACTGCATTCCCTTCTATGCCCCCAAATTGTTCAGAAGGCTCTCTCTGCTCTTTCCATTGTGGTACAGGACAAGCAATCTTCCCTTCAAGATACTCCCCAGGGAACCAAAGCCAAATCCTTCCAAAATTATTTGGAAACGGATCTGCAATGAGAATTCAGGGTCTCAGTGGCAAACAGATTTTTAAATACTATTTGAGTCTAAGAGCAATACTAGAAGGGTTCCTTTGGCTCCTGACACTATCTCTGTGGGCTTGGCCAATTGTTTAACCCACTGAGCCAATTTTCTCAGTCATGAGAAAGATTTGAACTAGACAGTATCTAAGGCCACTTCCAGCTATAGATGTATGATTCTATCTGAAGAATGGCACAGAGTACAGAAAAGAGTGTTTCCCTCCCAACAGATGTTCTCACTGCAGAGGAAATGACCATAGGGCTGAGACCTGGGGCCCTTTCAGAATTGAAGAGCTCTCTTTAACATCTCCAAGAGCTGTTTGATTCATTTTACTATAGCTTTTTTTTTAAATAGCGTTGTGAAGATAGGCTCAAAAATCAGCCCCGCCAAAAACTGTGAAGTCTACCGTCTGTCTCTGTTCTTTGTACATCAGCTTTTAAAAGGGCTTGCTCACCTTGTTCCAACACTTCTCCTCCTTGGGGTTCTATCCTATCACCTATTTTAAGCACTTCATTCAGGTGCTCGTAAGTGACACAAAATGTCATTCCCAAAGGTACTTTCATTAATCCGATGACTCAGAGAAGGACTCCTTTAAGGTAAAAGGTTATCCATTCATTCTTAAAATATTGAGCACCTACTAAATGCACATTGATAAAAACTGGGTACACAAAGTCAAAGGGACATAGTCCCCACCCTCAAAGAGTTTGCAGTTTCACAGGGGAGTCAGACAAGTGAACAGACAACTCAACATATTTACAAGAGTGGCTTGTACAAGTTCAAAATGGGATGACCACATGATTTATAGTACAAAGCAGGACATTTTTAGAGTAAACAAGTACAATATTAACCAACATGCCCAAAGAAAATGCATAAGCCAAGTCCGTCATAGGAAACCAACATATATGGTCATCCTCGCTGAAGAGAAAATCTAACTATTAGGCCTCCTTATGTCCCCACTGAGACTAGGCCACACATTACTCAGGTAAGACCTAACCCCAGAGAATTAAGATGCCTGACACAAAAGTAGCAGCAGTTTGCATTCCTTTTTCAAATGACTGGTGCTGATTTTTTGATAAACCATGTTACTTATCTGTTTCTTTCTTGCTTTCTTTACAAATAGCTCCCCAGTAGAGGTAGTCATTAGTAGAATCCTAATATAACAAAACACCAGCATTCTAGGTGTCTATGAGGGAATAACTTGCTTGGTCCCTTATGAGTCTTCTGCTCCCGGGAATCTGTTGGTTTGGTCTCACTTCTGGTATCTTCAGTGCCCTTCACTGTGAAGCACTGCCCATGGAGTTAATCCCAGGAGCCTGGATTATGGGTGTTAATTGTCCCTTTTTCTAGGTCTTCCATGGTAGCTGCAACATTACGCTGAATTCAATACCTTCTCTCATAATTGTATAAGTTTTCAGTGCAAAAAAAATTGCTTTTCTGCACCATTAGCCCCAGTCCAAGGTTTTTCTACCAGGAAGTCAGGTTCAGGAATTTAAGAAAAAAAAGAAAACCTATAGGCTAAATATATTTATTTGTAATCAGGATGCTCCCCACACTCTATTGCTAAAGATGCTGAATCTCTCACAAGAGTTTATTCCTTTGCCTTATCACTCAACATTGTATTATAAAAATTAGCATACTCTAGCACTCCCTGAACATTTCTCCCCAAAGTAACTGCAGCCTAGAGACTCGGGTGGGCCCAAGGAGGCCAAGTCATCTACCAGGCAGAGCTCTCCACACAAGGGTCAGATTCATCTTCCATCTAGAGGAATAGCCAGACCTGCAGAACAAAACAGAGCACTGTGGCCCATGACCTACGTTCCTCCGCAGTTACATCACCCAGGAAATTCACAGTGGGGGCCTCATCTTGGCTATTCGGTATCGCAAAATCACAAACATAAGACCCACATCAACATAGCGCTTAGCTGGCAGATAACGCCACAACTTAATCAAATATGTGCCTGATTAGAACTCATCCTCCACCATGAATAACTGGTAAGAAAGACTCAAACTTTAAAAAAGCCAACAAATACATGAAAACATCAAGAACATATTTCATACACATCAAATTGGAGAAAAATTAAAAGTCTTCCAACATACAAGCTGGCAAGAATGTAGGAAAACAAGATGTCATATAGTAATGATGACAGTATAAATACCTACCAG
Source organism: Homo sapiens (assembly GCF_000001405.40). NCBI lineage: Eukaryota > Metazoa > Chordata > Mammalia > Primates > Hominidae > Homo > Homo sapiens. The sequence goes on along the minus strand of NC_000015.10, from coordinate 38,718,921 downwards.
CAGTTTGGAAAGCAGTTTCACATTTTCTGGAAAAGTTGAAAATAAGTATATTCTTCTACTGAATAATTTTGCTTCCAGGTAAATTACCCTAGAGAAACACTCACACACGTGCCCAAGTAGACTTCTGCACAGTTGGTTGTTGCAATGTTATTTACAATAGCAAAATCTTGTAAGTTATCTAAATGCCATCAATAGAGAATGGATAAACTGGCATAAGTTCATGTAATGGAATACTAGGTCACTGTTAAAGTGAATAAATGAAGAATTACATAGGTGGTAATGTGGATGAATCTGAAAAATATAAAGTTGAGCAAAATAAGAAAACTTCTAGTATGTTCATTTTTATAACTCAATACTGGCCGGGCACAATGGCTCACGCCTGTAATCCCAGCACTTTTGGAGGCCGAGGCAGGCAGATCACTTGAGGTTGGGAGTCTGAGACCAGCCTGGCCAACCTGGCGAAACCCCATCTCTACTAAAAATACAAAAATTAGCTGGGAGTGGTGATGCACACCTGTAATCCCAGCTACTCGGAGGCTGAGGCAGGAGAACTGCTTGAACCTGGGAGGCGGAGGTTGCAGTGAGCAGAGATCACACCACTGCACTCTAGCCTGGGCGACAGAGGAAGACTGTCTAAAAATAAAAAATAAAAAAATAAGAAAAACTCAGTGCTATAGAGAAAACACATCCATGTCTAAGTATAAAAATTTATGTAAAAAGAATACTAAAGATAGTGGTTATTGCTAGGGAGGGAGAAAATGAATTATCTATCACATTTTTTAAGATAAAGGTCAAATATAATGAAATATTAATATCTGTTAAACCTGGATGGTAGATACATACTTATTTTTGTTTTTGTGAGCAATTAACATTTTCATAACTTAAGCAAAACTTATTTCTTAAAAAAACTATCAAATATTAACTAAACAGATAATTCTATAGGTGAATAAGTCACTAAATGATTGAGCACCCTGAATACTGAGGCCTATTGTACAAACAATAGAACACATTACAGCTTCAAGCACCATTAGCAAGTATCAAAATCTTATGCTACATTTGACATGTGGAAACTAAGACACCAAGATATTAAGTGACTTCACATAAATAGCCACAACCAGAACCCAGACCTCCTAACTTGCAGTCAGGACTCTTCTACCATGCCTCGGGTATATATCATTGCCACCTTCATTAGAAATAGATACAAAGGATTGTATACATTAGAAGTGGTATGGAGAACCAAGAGTTAGGACTGTCCCAATAAATTGAGATTCATTCCCAGAAGGTTCTCTCAATGTAAAAATAATATGCATAAACTGTCTGAGAAAACTATATAGCAGCTTATACCATAGCTTCACCCCAAACCCAGAATAACTTCTTCCAGTTGTCAATTATGGGCAAACACCATGAAAGAAAAATAGATATCCCAAGGAATCATTGACTAGAGCCCTGCTTATGACCTGGTTGGCAGAAGATTCCCCTACTCATCCTTCTGCAGTTGAGGTTTCCTCAGGACCCTAGTAGGTCAATACCACCCAATACCTCTTAAATTCTCATGCATCCTGATCCCTTGGGCAACCTCCAGATGCCCTGATGCAGATAATTCACTGGCAGAATCTGAAGAGAGTGAGCTTTCCCATTTATTTCTGTCATCTTCTCCCTATCCATCTTAGCCGTGGTTTATAAAGTATGTATTATCTGAACTGAATACATGGTTATATTCAGTTCATGGTTATAAAGTATGTATTATCTGAACTGAAGACTGGGTTTTCCAAGTCCTTTCCAGCCCCTAGGCTTTAGTGTAATTAACAATAGCTAATTTTATTGAACGCTCGATAGACATTATTCTATATACTTTTTGATTATTAACTCATTTAATCCCCACAAAACCCCTGTGAGGTAGAGAATATAATCATCATCACTTTAAAGACAAGAAATGACAAGCAGAGACAGACTTAAAAATATTTCCCAGGGTCATGCTGCTAATAAAGTGGTGAAAGAGGATTGAAACCTAGGTTATTTGGTTCCCAACCCTCAACCATCACACACTACAGCAAACTCTATTCTTTGAGTACTTACTCATTTTTGGAAAACAATTAGAAAAATGGAGACATGTTATTAGTTCATTACCTTTGATTCAGCCACTGCAGAAGTCACAATGATGGGGAGAGAGAGAGGCAAGAAAAGCAACATGGCCCCGGCTCCAGAGCCTATGCCCACAGATGCAGCATCAAAGGGACCGCCTGTCCTTCTTTATGGTGACTTTATAATTGTGAGGGGCAGGGACCTGGGTCTGTCTTGCTCACCATATTTCCTCACTACTTAATAAAGGATCAGGCACATGTTTAGTAAATATTTGTCAAGTGAATCAAAAATGACAAAATAATGTTCTATACAAGAAAGGAACATGCTAATGTGTCCGGAGTTCGTTCCTTCCAGTGGGTTCGTGGTCTTGCTGACCTCAAGAATGAAGCCTCACCTTCACAGTGTTACAGCTCTTAAAGGTGGCATGGACCCTAAGAATGAGCAGCAGCAAGATTTATTGCTAAGAGCCAGAGCCAAAGAACAACGCTTCCACAGCATGGAAGGAAACCCGAGCGGGTTGCTGCTGCTAGCTGCAGGGGCTTGCTTTTATTCCCTTATTTGTCCCCTCCCATATTCCATTTCCGTCCTGTCAGAGGGCCCTTTTTTCAATCTTCCTTGCGATTGGCTACTTTTAGACTCGTGCTGACTGGTGCGTTTTACAATCCTCTTACTAGCTACAGAGTGCTGATTGGTGCATTTTACAATCCTCTTGTAAGACAGAAAAGTTTTTCAAGTCCCCACTCAACCCAGGAAATCCAGCTGGCTTTACCTCTCACTGATACTACAGAAAATTAAGGAATGGGGTAGCCCCCCGAAGTATTTCCAGGGTCTCAAGGGTGTACTTGAGATGAGGCTGAAAGTGACCCGTTTCATCCCAAAAAAAGATCCCATGTGTCCATTCCTGAGAGTTCCTCTGATGGAACTTAAACCTAACATCGCTAGGAAAGGTCAGTTAAGTCGCTATTCAGAAAATCTACTGTTTAACCATTGTTCTGTGCCATAAGATCTTGAGGATCCTCATGAATCCCATCAGGTCTTTGCCTTTCAACATCAAAGAGAACTAAAGGCCGTGCTTGGTAGCTCATGCCTGTAATCCCAGCACTTTGGGAGGCCAAGAGGGGATGATCACCTGAGGTCAGGAGTTCGAGACCAGCCTGGCCAACATGGAGAAACCCCATCTTTACTAAAACTACAAAGTTAGTGGGGCATGGAGGTGCATGCCTGTAATCCCAGCTACTCCGGAGGCTGAGGCAGGACAATCACTTGAACGTGGGAGGCAGAGGTTGCGGTGAGCTGAGATTGCATCATTGCACTCTAGCCTGGGCAACAAGAACGAAACTGTCAAAAAACAAAAAACAAAACAAAAACACACACACACACACACACACACACACACACACACACACAAAACCAATAACCAGGAGTGGTGGTGCATGCCTGTGGTCCCAGCTACTCAGGAGACTGAGGCAGGAGAATCTGAGTCCAGGAACTTAAGGCTGCAGTGAGCCAAGATCATGCCACCACACTCCAGCCTGGGTGAGAGATTTGTTTAAAAAAAAAAAAAAAAAAGAGAGAGAACTAAAAATGGCAGTCGATGTCTATCCCATTAGTTGTGTGAGCCTGTATCAATAAATATATATTACAAAGCTGGCCTTTAGCAGAGACAAGGACAGCTGCATACATCTCTCTGCCTTGATTGAGATTTAGGTCTTCTCTGCCACATTCTAGAACTTTTATAGTTGGTGTGTTTGTGTTTTATAAAGGAATCTGTGGCTGAATAACTTCCAAAAATTTCCTATGACCCACTTCTACACAACTGTCTTTGTCTCTCACAGAAGGCATAGGTCCCTGATGCTGGTTAGTGATCTCGGCAGCCAGGTCTCTAAGGAAATTCCAGGTTACCCACAAGCATTTCAAGAGTCTTGGAAATTCTCTAATGAACTAACCCAAACATGCAGGGGCACAGTTTTAACAGGGCCAGATAGGCCCCCAGGGCATGGAGGTATTTATTTCACTGGGCCCCTGTGTTTGCAGGGGGTCTGCAACAGTAACCTCATGAAGCTTGGGGGCCCTTCTTTGGTGTCCAGCAGCTTTCTCTGAAGGAGAACTGTGTTTGCTTGGTGCCCTCCCATCCTTCCAGGCCTCCAGAAAGCCTTTTTGATTGCTGTTTCAGAGCACACTTCAGGCAGCAAAAGCCAGCAAAAAATCTCTTGGATCTTCTGGCCACAAGTCCTGTACTCCCAGTCCCCAGCCTGAATGCAGAGCTGAGAGAAGGGGGTCTGCAGGGGAGGAGAGCAGAGCTAGGAACGAGCTTCCTTTGCTGTTGGCTTCATCTCCAACCACAAGAAAATTTTCCACTGTTTCCATTATTGCTGGCAGGCACCCACACTGTAGGAAGACAGACTCTCTGTTGAGAGAGGAGCGATGGAATATGGTGAGTAAGTCAGTGAAGCACGCAGGCAGGAAAGGAGAGCAAGCAGGAAAGCAAGGAGAGAGAAGCAAAGATGGCAGAGAGAGAAGGCACTGCCCATTCGTGGGCAGGGCCAAAATGGCTGGGCAGGTCTCTGTGTTGGATGGAGTTAGATCCATATATTTAATCATGAATCATGTTGAGCCAATACACGTTGCCTTAACTAAACTATAAAAGAAATTTCCTTTTAATTTTATGTCATTCAAAGTAAGCTCAATATTCATGAGGGAGAAGGGCTGGGGGACCTCTTGGCTTCTGGATTTATTATTCCAAAAAAAACTGAGTTTTTTCCATATTTTCCATGATGCAGTTGCTACCTCCCACCGTGAAAAATAATAAAGACATGTAAATACACTGCCTCGTAGGTACCCAGATTGACTGTGGGTCATGTCCATTTTGATTTAATGATGCAACGTCACAGCTTTCTCTTCTACTTCAGAAAGCATTGGAATATTAAGGAATGAGTATTATTGGTGATGGGAATAACTTGCAATCCTCTGATTTTTCAAGAATTAACATTCACATGCATTGGTACTAAGATAACGTTAATCATAGGAAATTATTTGCAGTGCACCTCAGGAAAGATCGGGACACGCTGCCACCACTTAACGATCTGCTGAACCTGGAGATGACCTTATCAGACGTTCCTGGCAGAAATATCGTTGTCTAGACGTGGAGGACATACAGACAATTTCCCCTATTCCAACATGAACGTCCATAAAGTAATGCCATCTGGAGAGTTAAGCTTTAAAATATAATCATAACGGATCACGGCAGATATAAAAATTCCGGGACCCTTTGTGTTCCTGGAAAGAAAAATGAGAGGCAGGATAGACAAATGTCCAGGTAATAAAGGGAGGAGGAAATGCCAGGGAACCAAGCATAGCCACAGACAAGGGAAAGATAGCACACACATCCAATCACATGGGAAGGAGAAGAATGGGAAGTTGGCAGAGCAAATCAGGGCATCGCAAATAGCTCCTTCCCTCCCTGAAGGAGTGTTAAAATTTCTCCAGAGGTAGAGTCAGTCTTTCGAAGGGTGAACATCTGTGGGTCTTCTCAATGCAATCCCACCCTGGAAGACATTTCTGGAAAAGACTTTAGAACTTTGGTCATTAAGACAATTTCTCTTTGCTTTGGTATAGATTCACTTTTGGTAATTTATCTCATACCTATTAAGATCTACCTTGTGATCGTTTGCGAGTTTTCTAAAATGTTTTAACAAAATAAATCATTATCATATAATAAAGTGCTTAACAAGCCTTGAAAATGTAAATCAATGCTAATTTTAGCATTATTGCCATTTAGTAAGATTTTTCCTTAACCTGGACAACTATTTGTGCTATTTCATCAGGAGAATAGGCCGGGAGTGGTGGCATACTTTGGGAGACCGAGGTGGGAGAATCACTTGAGCCCAGGAGTTCAAGACCAACCTGAGCAAAATAGCGGGACCTGTCACTACAAAAAAACTAAAAAATTAGCAGGGCATGGTGGTGCATGCCAATAGTCCCAGCTACTAGGGAGGCAGAGGTAGGAGGATCACTGGAACCCAGGAGGTCAAAGCTGTAGTAAAACGTGATTATGCCACTGCATATCGACAAAGTGAGACCCAGTCTCTAAATAAATAATCATCCTCAGGAGACTTTGTCTTATGTCTTTTAGGCATCTCATTCATCAAAATTTCCTAATCTCCCTAAAGCCCAGTCCAAGTTTGGGTTAAAGCTCAGGTGAATAAAAGAGAGGGAGAAAGGGTTTAGCACTTAATATCACCTAGTAGAGCTAGGGAATAGCTTGAAGAATCCTGGTAAATTAAACAAAAAGTGCCAGTGCCCCTTCAGTGGGCCAGGAGAATTTTTAAAGTATCATTAGAGGCTGTCATCTTTTATCTTGGGTTGGTGGACATATTTGCACCATTGACAGCCTGTTTAATCATCTACTCTATTCACTTGTCAGAATTCTGTGGCAGGGATGAGCTCAAACAATGGATTTAAATATAAAGAAATGGAAGGATGGTTTAAAAATTCTTAGGACAGTTTGTCTAAAACACATAACCTGTTCATAAATGATAGCATCTTTCTGCAATGACTGGGGGTCCACGGCTCTTCCTTCAGCCCTCTGCAGGGCACTGTCTACTTGCTGTCTGTGAGAGGTCACTGCCAAGCATGGCACAGCCATTGCTCCAGGTGTGCCTCTCATGGAAGGCCTTATTTCCCCATCAGGACACACCAGAATGAAAGCTCTAGGAGGTTATGGTCCAAGCACATCTGGCTTGTTTACCAGTATATCCCCAGCACCTCGCACAATAGTTTATAGTTTGCATTCGATAAATATCCGCTGAATAAATGAATGGCTATTTCCAGTTGTCTATCACCAAGTCAGTTTTCAAACATTTTGATTCAAGCTTAGAATTTCACCTCCTTCCCTGCCCACCCCCCTACAATAATATTCTGCAAGAACGCAAAATTCGAAACTTGCAATGAACTATTTTCCTCTTCTCTGGGCTCTATATTGGGTCCTATCAACTTCTTCCTCAATGTATCTTCAATGATGATCTCCTTTGTCTCCCTGCCAATAGCCAAGGCCACAGTATGTACCCCATTTTGTATGTATGTATCCTTTTAATAATAGTTTCTCTATTTTCTCCTTATTCAATACGTCCAGCAAACTGGTACCGTACCTATTATACTGAGTTCTAGCAGAGCTTCTTTACTTCCTACTACAACGATTTCATGTTTGTGCTCAGATAAGCACAGAGACTGCACGGTACAAAGGAGCAAGTGATGACTGACCCTCCTGCCATTGATAGTGAGAAAGTTTCCTCCCCATCCTGAATCTCTGCTGTCTCATCTGTACAATGTGAGGCTTGGAACACTTGGTTTCCAAAGATACATCCATACTAAGATACTGCTCTTAGTGTCCTGCCAACTCCACAACATCCTCTATTAATTCACATTCCTCATCCATCCAAATTATGCACTCACTTCCATGCCATACAGGCAAGTTACCTTCTACTCAAGTCAGGCCTCTTATTCTATATCCAATAGGCTCACTTTTGCAATTAATCTTGGCTCATCCTACTTTTTTCTCCACATAATTCACCCAGCTCTGCACATTTATCCATCCAAATTCTGTGTTTCCTTCAAGATCAGGATCTAACTCAAATCTGGCTTCTATGACTCTTTCCCTAACTCACTTGTCTATAATGGGATCTACTTTATCCAAGTCATTGTAGCAAAGTGTTACATGGTCTCTCTCAAAAGAGACACTTTTAGCAAGGAAGGTCTCTGCAGGGAAAAAACAATCAACCTCCAAAGGAAGGGAGTAGTACTAGGTTCTCAATCTTTAAAATCATGTGCCTGGGCCGGGCATGGTGGCTCATGCCTCCCAGCACTTCGGTAGGCCAAGGCAGGCAGATCACTTGAGCTCAGCAGTTCAAGATGAGCCTGGGCAACATGGTGAAACCCCCTCTCTAACAAAGATATAAAAAATTAGCCGGATGTGGTAGTGTGCGCCTGTGGTCCCAGCTACTCAGGAGGCTAAGGCGGGAGGATCATTTGAGCCCAGAAGACAGAAGTTGCAGTGAGCCATGATCATACCATTGCATTCCAGCCTGGGCAACAGAGCCAGACGCCGTTTCAAAAAAAAAAAAGAAAAAAAATCAAAAAATAATTTGCCTGCCCAAGTTAAACATTAATAAAACCAATTTTTACTTATCTAATTTTAAGTTTACATATACAAGTGATATGAAGAAAAATTTATCTTCTTGGTAATTAACATGGAAGAAGTTTCCTTTGCAAGAATAGTGTGTTGCTACAGAAAATAAAGAGGATACTTTGAATGGATGAAACCCCAGAGAATATGCTCAACAGTAGATAGATCCATAAATGCCCTTTAAGGAGGGTACTTCCTATTAACCATAGAACTTTCATTTGAGCACTCAGATGAATGAAGTATTCTACTGTAATAGGATGTTGAATGAGACTTTGCTGCCTGGAATTTTTGACACTGTCCCAGGCTGAGAGCAATGAAGGAAAGGTAGCCTTACATTCCAAGGAGATGTTAAATATACATGCACATGACTTACTAAAAAACTACACTAGCCCCATGATTCTTAGCCCCCCTTGTATCTGCAGCCTATTGAAGAGCTTAGGGGCATATTTGAACACAGAAATTTGGATCTACTTCCCACTTACAGAATCACACATATGTAATCCTGTTTGGAAAAAAAAAAAGAATTAGATTGAAATTAGGTTGTCTCCAAAAAGCTACAGGCTGAATAGAATAGCACACTATTTAAGAACACATTCTTGGAACTGGATTTAAGTCATGCCTCTGCCATGTACCAGCCAGGGAATCTCACCAAAGTTACTCCATCTTTGTGAGTCTGTTTCCTCATCCTTAAAAATGCAGATAATGACCAGGTGCAGTGGCTCATGCCTGTAATCCCAACATTTTGGGAGGCTGAGAAGGGTGGGTCACCTGAGGTTGAGAGTTCGAGACCAGCCTGGCCAACATGGTGAAACTCTCTCTAATAAAAATACAAAAATTAGCGAGGCGTCATGGCATATACCTGTAGTCCCAGCTACTTGGGAGGCTGAGGCAGGAGAATTGCTTGAACCCGGGAGGTGCAGTTTGCAGTGAGCCGAGATTGTGCCACTGGACTCTAGCCTGGGTGTGACAGAATGAGACTGTCGGAAAAAAACAAAAAAAAAAAAAGAAAAGAAACCCCAACAAAAAGCAAAGCAGATAATAACAGTACCTATTTCACAAGGTTTCATGAAAATCAAAAGTGATACTTGCACCATGCTTAGCACAGAGCCTGTCCCTTAGTCAATGAATGTGAACTATTATTGTGTACCAGACATTCAGCCAGCCAGCCCCAGAAACTGGGCTCAGAAAAGCATTTGCTTCTCCATCTAGAACACAAATATTTATTCTTTATATGAAAGATCCTTTTCCTGTTTCATGGGAGATTTTGCTTCCCAAGTAAACAACAATAAATCTCAAGTACACATCTGGATTGCAGCGGCTAACAGGGAATACCAATAGAAAGCATGCATGGATGGTGAAAAACCTGTTTTCCACAGTTCCTAAAATTTTGCAGCTGGTAGAGGCTCCCCAGTGGGAGAATCACCACTGAATTTTACACCTTTCCCTGATTACGTCAATAAACAAAGGTATCTTTCCATTTCTTCATAATTGTCATGAAAAAAAAAAAGCAAAACAAAAGAGAAAAATCTTAAAAGACACAAGTCATAAAGAGTCACATAAATAAAACTGAGCCAGGAACCATGAGTTCACACAACTTTATTCTTAGGAAGGTCTCTATAAACATAAATGGCTCTGCCGTTGAGGATGACATCATTAAGTGCCTTCTCTGTTAAACACTGAGGGATACTGCTGAGCCACGCAATTTTTCCACGTTACCAATAACTTTCCATGTTACCAGTAACATACTTTGCCTGTGTTACGGCACATTCCTCTTGGTGCCTGGAGTACATAGGCTTTCTCTCTTCTAACTTTACTGATCTTGCCACAGATGGTTACTGTGACCTTGGATGTCTTAGGCCCATAATCAAACCAACTGGGTTAATTGACTTAGACACTCTTAGGAATGATGCAGGGGCCCCCACCTCTGGGATAACACCACTGTATTTCTAAAACTGCTTGTGGGAAATTTACAGGGTCATGGTGGTGTTATTTACATGCAAATAGGAAAGAAAATCCATTCCAGCAGGCCACATTCTAACTACAAACACAAGAGGTTATAAATACACAAGAGGAAAACCCAACAGTCTGTTAGCATTATCTCCGAATGCCTAGGAAAGGGAGCCAACTGCTTAGCCATCACAAAAGACTTGGGCAAAATCCTGTGACCCTCGGCATCAGATATTCTCCTTATGCTAATTTTGTAGATAGCAACTTTTGCCTAACATTTTCATGATTAAGCCAAGGACGGTATAAAATATATGCATTTCTTAGAATTCCATTTATATTGTAATCACTTCTCTGTGCTGCTCTTAGGGTGGCAGGAAGCCTCAGACTGCTCTCCAATCTTCCTCAAGGGCTTTCTCTGACCTCTTTACTAAGAGCAGAAAGTTGCCAGTAAATATTCAACAAACTACACCTCCTCCAAGGTCAAGCTCTGTGTCAAGTTCAGATCTGATGGCTTTAGAGCAATGTGCAAAGTCAGTTCATCAACCTTTATCCCTAAAGTTAAATTTTTTATTTCAAATATTTTACTTAGTTTGCAAATGTGAGTTTATTAGCCTGTATCTCATCATCTTGGGTTCTCTGAAAACCACCTGCACGGCTCAATGTGGGAGAAAAGTTGATCCACAACACCATCTCCTGGTCATTCTTGGGTGTTACACTGAGCGTCAAAAGCTGAGCACTTGCTGAGAGTGACTTTCAGGCCATTAAAGTACACCAAGCCATCGCTGGTGTCAATCAACTATACCTAAAAGTGTGCATGTGGCCTTCCTAGCAACCCCCAGGATGTTGATTTGTACCAAGTATTAGATTCCACCAGTGCGGCGTAAACCCAGGTACACTAAAAGCTAGCAAGAACATGCAGATTTCAAAGGGAAATTGAAAAAATCCTTTGTAAAAATGCAAAAATACTTCTTGAATACTAAAATAAAAGTATAAATTATGGTTATAGACTATAAAAAAAAGATGGACATAAACATTAGAACAATAAAGACTGTGGATTACCAGAGAGGGAGGGAGAGACGTGGGCTGAAAAACTACCTACTAGGGACTCTAGTCACAACCTGGGTGCAATATACTCATGCAACAAATCTGCACATGTGACTCCTGTATCTAAAAAGTTGAAAAAATATTTTAAAAAACAAAAAGGGAACGTGGAAAAGTGAAATGAGGGAGGTAGAAAAATGGCAACCAAGAAGGTTTTTTTCTAATATCACTTAATATTACGTATTTTGGGTAACAATAAATGGGGACAGCTAGGCAATCAATAAGTTGTTGCTTGCAGGAAGTTGTACTAGATATGCAAAAAGGATTTATGCCAATTCCCCAAATCTCACCTTAACAATAATGTGTCATAAGCACAGAAAATTTTCTCCCATGTAGAACCAACCAAGTGTTCCCAATCGACTTTGGGATCACTACTCGGTTCTGCCCATCAAGCTATCCTTTTTCTCCCTACATGAGCAGTGAGTAACTTGAGTGAGCACAGCCTTGAAACTGAGGTCATGTAAGAGCTTAATCCAGTATCACTAATGACGAGATCTTTACCTGTCAATCATATAGTCCCTGCAACAATTGTTTCCAAAGTTGGTTCATGCAGAATCCCTTGGGGAGCTTTTTGAAAATAGATTTCCAGGCTCTTCTAGTTCTGCCACAGAATCTCTACGGCTGGAAACCAAAAAACTTCAGGGTCGGAATTCTCCCCCAGGTGATTCTAATTGCAATCAGTCTGTGGGCTCAATTGGAAGCCACTGGAAGATCACAGCTGTACCTTATTGAAAGAGGAAAACAATCAAATCCTTGCCAGTCTCTCACTGCTTACAAGAGGTGTGGCTTCAGTTCCAGGTCATCAAAGGTAAGCATTTTTTACTACAAAAGTTTGTTTACAGTTAAAATGTTCTCTTTTGGGTACATCATTGCCAAATGAAGAAATAGCCCAATTTACATAGTCAGTCCTCCATATCCATGGGTTTCACATCTGAGGATTCAGCCAACAGCAGATCAAAAATATTCCAAAAAAAATGATTAGGAACAACAATACAATATTAAAATTAAAAAATCAATATAGTGTTAACTGTTCACATAGTATTTACATTGTATTAGGTATTATAAGTAATCTAGAGATAATTTAAAATATATGGGAGGATTGTGTAGCTAGATGAAAATATGTCATTTTCTATTAGGGACTTGTACATCCTCAAATTTTTGTAACCTTGGGGCAGGCGGTATGCTGAAACCCACCCTCTAGAATACAAAGATTGCCGTATAATCCATGATTGCTTTCTTTCCAAAACCTTTCTATATGAACTATGAAAGTCAGGATCATTTTAATGTTAACTAAACTCTGAACCCAGGAAGAAATTTGTCTTGGATAATGGGGAATGGGGTGCATACCGTTACACAAAGGAGGAACCCCTTGCAGGCTCAAGAACTCTCTGGATGACTTGGGAATGTAAATTGTGGCAGTGGGCTAGCAAGTTTCTAGTGGAGAAAGACTGGAGGCTGGAAGCTTAATTAGATGCATTTGCAGCAAATCTGGATGTGAATTAATAATGCCAAAGCTAAGACGGGACTTGAAAGCATGTTTTCTTCAGGGTGACTCATTAATCTCATTTCCAGGAAAAGGATCCCTGTATAGTCCCTTAGTCGAAATTAGTCTGTCCCCACCCTTTGTCTTTTTCTCGCTCTCACATCCCTCATCAGAGTCCACATATGACATGTTAAAGCTGACTGATGCTATCCCAACTCCCAGTGCCCCCCATGCACTGGGGAACAAGTCTGCACCCTCAACCTCCCAAGCCCTGAAACACCTAGAATTGGATTTTGTCCACAATGGAAGCTCATAAACGTTAGCTGAATTCTTGAAAGAAGTTGCCGACCTGTTTGGTTAAGGAGCAAGAATGTGTTGCTACTTGGATTAAAACAAGCACTTTGTTTTAAATAACAAAAACTACGGTCCCTAATGACAGATTATACAGAGCTAGAGAGCAGCTGTTGTCACCAGTGCCTTCAAGAATCCTTTCAGCTGTGATTCCTCAGCCGTGACTGAGGGAGGACTGTGAGCCGGGTCGGTCTTCCCAGAAATACCTTCTCACCTGGTCAGGGATTACAGGATGCACGATAGCCTCTAGATTTCCCACCATCTGCCTGAAATCTTCACCACTTCACCTTCTGACTACAACAAAAGGCAGGGATGTGCATCGGTGGCAGTTCTGTGAGGGTCCCAGAAGGAAAGAAACCGATTCTAAGATAGAAAATGGAAACCATGGCCTCCTGAAAGCTAAAATGCCCTGACAGTCCAAGCAGCTCATCTGATAGGTGATCTATTCAAACTTTGTGACTTTTACTCATGCTGGTAGGAAGGACGAGAGCAGGAGGACCACCACTACACTGACGGAATACAGAAGGGGGCATAACAGATAAAGAATTTTCATTACGAGAATTTTTAGAACCAAATATACAATGTTTTGTTTGCCTGTCAATAAGAATGTTTTCATTGTAATTTACATATGTACTGCCAGTCAATTTAACAAATCATTTTCACTGTATTCCTTTTACTCCAGAATCTCTGCTAAACTGGAAGCATTTTACTTCAGTCCCGTTAATCAATCATTAAGCACCTACTCTGAGCACCTACTAATTATCATTCATGCTGGGTACCACAGCTTAAAAAAAAAAAAAAAAAAAAAAAAAAAAAAAAAAAGCAGGTAAGCTGATTCGATTCCAAAGGGCCTTTACCTGTAACTGAGACACGGACTTATGAAATTAACAGTGAGTCAAACACACCACACAAACTTCCTGTGTGATGCAGTCAAAACAGGACAGTATAAATAGACGTTTCAGGTACTTACATTAAAAGATAATTTTAAGTCATTCATTTCAAAATAATCTCATTATAAGTTCATACTTAGGAATGCCCTATCCGACAACAAGCCTGATGGATCTAAAAATTTGATTTATGTCAGCTATAAATTAGGGAGAGGTAGCTCTGCTTGTAAAATAATTTTTTCCTTCTAAAAGAGGATTTCTCACAGCTCCTTTGGAATTGACAACTCGTGGTATGAATTGAGAGCAAGTTTTGGTGATAAGAGCACACACCCCGAGCCGGACAGCCAGGCTCAATACGAGCTCTGCTAGGTTCTCGCTGTGCGACTTTAGGCAAGTGATTCAACATCTCTGCACTTCAGGGTCCTCATTTGTAAAAAGAGGATGACAGTGCCTCCCCATAGAGGGGTTACAAAGATTAGATGAGTTCCTGTAATTAAAGACCTTGGCACCATTCCTGGCCCTCATCTGCTGTGGAAAGTGGGGCATGGCACTGCCAGGCCCAGGTGCATAGGAAACACCTGGGCAGGGAACAAATCTGGTACTAGATAGAACTCTTTTTTTCCCCCAGAGAACTCGTACAGGTTTGCCTGTCTTTCTGAAAAGCAACTAGAAGTTATTCTTTTGGGATATGGAGGAAGACATCACAAATGCCATTATTTAGCTATGTATTTTCCCCTTTTTATCTCAATTCTTAAAACAGAACGACTTTCTCTTTGACATCAAATTGATAACAGGCTCTTCCCACCCACTTCAGAGTCAATTCTAGCCAGCTAGAAAAAGGAATCCACAGCAAGGAAATCACAGTTCTGATTAGATGCCAGCTTCTTCCCATCAGGTATGAGATAATGATTGAATCAGACTGGATGGATGGATAAAGTTGCTCCTGGATTGATGCTGAATGATAGTTATATCTAATCTCTGTGCATAGAAAAGCCAAGCCAGCCAGGCAAAGTGGCTCACGCCTGTAATTCTAGCACTTTGGGAGGCCAAGGCGGGTGGATCACCTGAGGTCAGGAGTTCAAAACCAGCCTGGCCAACATGGTGAAATCCTGTCTCTACTAAAAATACAAAAATTAGCCAGGCGTGGTGGTGGCGCCTGTAATCCCAGCTACTCGGGAGGCTGAGGCAGGAGAATGGCTTGAACCTGGGAGGCAGAGGTTGCAGTAAGCTGAGATCTTGCCATTGCACTCCAGCCTGGGCGACAGAGGGAGACTCCATTAAAAAAAAAGAAAAGAAAAGCCTACTGACATTAGCAGTATTATATGGTCGAAAAATAGCCATCATAATAATTTACATTGGTCTCATTTTTATTGAAATGAGGCCATGCAAAGCCACATGTAAAGATGAATTCAGCAAAAACCCAAACCGAATGAAATACTGGTTCAGAGAATATTCTTATGTTGTGATTGTGTCATGCCTAACAGAATTTAAAAATAATGGTCTAAGTAATTCTAAGTGGTTTCACATAAATAATTGTGGATAGAGTCCAAAATAGGTATTTTCATAGATTTTTCTGAATATTAGTTCAAGTTCAATTTATTCTGGATTTTGATTTCAGTCTCTGGTGCTTGTAACTTTTATTTTATACATCTTATCCCAGTAAGTTGTCCTTGAAAAAAATAGTAAGAGCCTTGTCACCTACCCTTTAAAATGTTTTCAAATATAAAAATATAGAAAGTTGTACAGGTCATAAACATACAAGTCAATTTTCACAAACTGAATACAACTGTGTAATTAGCACCCAGGTTAAGAAACAGAACTCAGCAGCACCTCAGAACCCACTTCATGCCTCATCTCCCAAAAGCAACCTCTATCCTGACCCTTAACTACATAGTTCAGTGCATCGGTTGGCTCTTGCTGCAGAACAAACAATCACAAAACTTCAATATTTTATCATTCACTCACGGGGGTGGTTGTGTAGGCAAGTTGGTTCATCTTGGCTGGGCTCTTGCCAGGTCTGTCCCACAGGCCTTGGCCAATGGATGAAATGAGTACTCAGACACAGGTATGCAGTATAAAAGCAGCTAGGTGACTGGCTGGCTCTAACGGCCAGACAGCAGCCTGGAGAAGCTGGAGCTGCTTGCTTTTATTCAGCTCAGGCACAATGCCAAAAACCTGGAGCCAACACAACCTGTAGGTAATTAACATTTATTGTTCTCCTTCCAGAGAAAGTCAGGTGTGTGGATGATCAAAGGTCAGTTCCTGGTCAACATAAGTAAACAAGCCTGTTTAAGATAAATTCCCCTACACTCCTTTGTACTTACTCCTTGCCCTCTGCCTCAGGGTTATAGAACAGCTGCTTTCAGCTATTCTCTCCTGGGGCTCTGCAGGAGCTTCCAACCTTTCAGAAGGTTTGCATCCTTTCCCTATAATTTTTCCCACCACTGTGACTGATCCCCCACAGACTTTCTCTTGCACCTTGGGGGTTGGGGGACAGCTCGCCTCCAGCAGGCTAGCCAGGCATGGCCATGGTGATAGCAGAGAATAAGAGAACAAACAGAAATATGCAGGCATCCTCTTTATTCAAGATAGGATCTGACAGAGCCAGGATTAGAGTGAGGCTAGTAGAGTGAGGCTAGTAAATTGAGTTATGCAAGTGCAGGGTCAGCTCCTGTCTTTATCGAAATTTTGTTCACAATGGATTTTCTTGCATTAATTTTGATTTTTCAAAAACATTGCATTCAATATTATTTTTCTTGATTACTGAGGATTTTGGTGCCTCCTTAATTTTAAGGCTGGGGCAGTTGCCTTCATTGCCTCACCATAGTCCTGACCCTGCTGGGGAAATACACTCCACATCTTCAGTGAAAGGAGCTGCAGTCATATGGCAAAGGGCATGGATTTTAAGAGATGAAGAGTTAGAGCTGCTAGTACAATCAATCTACCACAATTAATTTTGGCCATTTTTTACACTGGGCGCAGTGACTGATGCCTGTAATCCCAGCACTTTGGGAGGCTGAGGCAGGAGGATCACTTGAGTGCAGGAGTTTGAGACCAGCCTGGGCTATACAGGGAGATCCCATCTGTACAAAAAGTTTTTTTTTAAATATTAGGTGGGTGTGATAGCATGCTCCTATAGTCCCAGCTACTCAGAAGGCTGAGGTAGGAAGATCCTTCAGCCTGGGAATTTGAGGCTGCAGTGAGCTGTGATTATGCCACTGTACTCCACCCTGGGTGACAGAGCAAGACCTTGTTTGGGGCCCTTTTTTTGTTTTATATAAGTGGAATTGGACAATGTGTATTCTCTTGAGTCTGGCATCTTTTTCTTAATGTAATATTTGTGAAATACATCCAGAGTGTTGTGTGTAATTGTAAATCATTCATTTTCATTGCTATACAGAATCCTGTTGTACAAAGACACCACCGGGTTGAAAGGCATTCGGATAGTCACCATTTACGGCTATGAATACCATTGTGTTGAACAATCTAGTATAAATCTCTATTAAATATATATGCATTTTTGTTGGACATGTACATAGGAATGGAATTGCTGGGTCCGAGGGTGTGTGTACATTCAGTTTTAATTGTTGCCAGTTTCCCAACAATTCGTTTAGCTTTATTAAAGTTCTTGGTATGTAGTAGTATCAGTCTTCCAGTTTTGTTCTTTTTTAAGATAGTCTGGCTATTTTTGGCTCCACATTTCTAAATAAATTTTAGAAATAGCTTCTCAATTTCCACAAAAGAAAAAACCTGCTGGGATCTTTACTGTGCTAGTTTTGAATTTGTAGACTAATTTGGGAAGAACTGACATCTTTTCAATATACCTCCATGTCATCTTAAATTTTTCTCCATGTCTCATACCTTTGTATATCTACTTTGAATAAGACAGGTAGCCAATAAATATATAAAATAGGTGGTTAATTAATGCATTACAAGGCTTTAGACTTAATGATATTTTTTCAGCCACACTACTCACCTGCTATGGTTCAAATGTCCTCACCAAAACTGTTGTTGAAATTTAATTGCCGTTGTTACAGTTTTGGGAGATGGGGCCTGTAAGAGGTGATGAGGTCCTGAGGGCTCTGCCTTTGTGAATAGACTCATGCTGTCATCACAGAAGTGAGTGAGCGATCTTGGGAGTCTGGCCCCCTTTTCCTCCCTCCCTCCCTCTCTGTCTCTGTCTCTCTTTCTCACACTCCCTCTCTTGCCCTTCTGCCTCCCTGCCATGGAATGACCCTTCCTGGAGGACAGCACCATGCTCTTGGACTTCCCAGCCTCCAAAACCATACACTAAATAAATTTCTCTTCATTATAAATTACCCACTCTGTAGTATTCTGTTACAGCAACAGGAAACCTACTAAGACAACCTCTTCCAGACACCTGAACTCATTCTTCTCTTCCATTCCCCTAGGCCTTGCACATGCTCTTCCTTAGTCAGGTAGAATTCCCTCCCTGCCCTCTCTCCCTCCTGCCTGACTAAATCTAGTCTTCCTTGACAAGTCTATTCAAATGTCACTGCTCTGCAGAGTTACCAATTCCTCTTTGTTTTCTCCCACTGCATTTCTTCACCTGATTTTAAGTTGCCATGTTGTATTAGAATGAGCTGCTCGGGTATCCACTAAACACTTGGTTGCCTACCAGAACCAGCCCAGCACTAAGTAGATTTGTGTTGGATAAATGAAAATGACCATTCCGCTTTTTGCTGGGCTGTTTGGTTTAGGTGTTTTTGTTGGGCTGTTTGTTAGTTGATTTGTTTTGTCTTTGTAGGACTTCATTTGAATTGAAATTTAGTCAAAGAAAGAAAAATTGTGTTCCAGTTTGGCAAAGGAGTACATGTCTATCTGATTTTTGCTTCATTATTTATTTTGATTTGAAAATATGTCTTTATATTAAACCTCTTTACAATATGGATTTGAAGCAGATAAATTGTTTGGTCTGATTCACATCACAGCTTCTGAGTTAGCTTAGAAGAAAACCATCAACTGATGTTTCCGGTAACCAGCAGCAAGAGAGCTCATGAAAAGGCAGGCACACCTCCAGTGACCACTAGGTGGCAGTTTCACTCTCAATATGACCAGATTGACAATGTCCATCCAAGAAGTCTGGGGCAGGTAAGTTGGAGCACAAGACCAAGCTTAACTAGGCCTGTGGGTGGAAAAATGAAGACCCAAACTCAGCCCTGAAGAAAATGGAGTTATGGAAAAAACAGCACATGGAAAATGTAAAGGAATGCCACTAGACATTATTTCACTGAAAGGTTAGCTAAGTTAACCACAGCCACAAAATCAGTAGAGAAAAGACGTGCCGGACCCGAGACAGGCCAGACAGTGTTGAAAGGCAAAGGAGTCTCCAGTCCACCCTCCATGGCTGGAGCCCAGACCCCTGGGGAAAGGCAGGATGGTTGCAGGCTGGTCATTGCTGAGCCCCTGGTAATGTGCCGAGTGACCAACTTCAGGTGTCTCTCCGCCAAGACTGCTTGGTTCTCCTCTTCTGAGTGACCCCAGAAGGAACCCCTGAGAGACACTGCTTAGTCTTTCTAGTTCCCATTCCAAAGTTGGATAAGGGACTTTTCAAGCTTAAAGTGGGAACGAGGGGCAGGGCTTATCTCCACAGGAAGCCAAGGTGGCTCCTATCATAGCAAATCAAGATACTTCATGGGTACACCCACAACAGGCCAGCCAGGGCCCCTGAGGAAATTATGTGGACTATTAACCTTAAGGAGGCTGCAGGCCAAAAGCATCAACCGACTTCTATCAGGAGTGTATTTTTTTTTTTATGATGCAGAATAGGGAATAGGGAAACTATCCTGGAATAGGGAAACTGAGGCCCAGAGCAAGCCAGGGATGAAACAATTCCATCCCCCGTGACTGAGAAGAGAGCCTTCAGGTAGGCTTGAGGAAACAAAAGCCCTGAGGAAGCTGTCTTGGCAATGTCCAGGTTATTACACTATAACATCCACTCATACGTTTGTGGTAGGGCTTCAACTTTTACACACGAATAACCTGAGTGATCGAATTACCTGTTCTCTTCTCTTTCTCTGCTACCAACCCCAGAAAGACTGCAAAGAATAGACACTTGAGTCTAAACCAAACTGCTAGGCTCAAAGAACACTGCACCAGCTATGAGGTAATAACCACCATGGGTTACAGGATCTGTGAACGGGATAAGCTCCTTTACTTCCCCCCGGCTGGAGTGTGAGTTATAAAACAGACTAACAAGGAGAGGGAGAGACAAGTTTTCAGGAAGAGCTGGTAAGAAGGCACCTGCAGCTTCTCCCCAACATCTTACACACCACACCGACATCAACCTCCTAGTTTGACATCCCTGTAACTAGGCCTTGACATCAAGGCCTAGTTTGGGTGGGGAAAGTAACCCCCAGAGGATCTGAGAGGAGAGATTGGCATGCTCTCCTCCTGGTGGACTTTCCCAAGTAGCAGCCCCCACAGACACATCTGTCACTGGGTCGCAGGAAGACAGGAAGTGGTGAACGGCGGGGCACAGTTAGGTAGGAGGGGCTGGAAGCCACTTCTGGGCTTCTCTTGGAGTCAAACTTTGTAATGCAGGAGATCCATGCATTTCCTTGGACCCAGCATTGTCTGAAGACATGAGCTGGAGCTTGTATCAACTTGCCAGCCCCAAAAGGACTCTTGGAGAAGAGAAGGGAAGCATCTTCTCCCAGATTCCAATCCCTGAGCTCTTGTTGGTGGCCCTGGGTTAGATGTTCACTTGCTCTGAGCCTCAGCTTTCCTCCCTGTAAAATGGGGATAACATTACCTAATTCATATAGTTGTTAGAATTAAATGAAATAAAATTCATCAAGTTTCTTGTACAGAATAGATGACTAATGAATGGGATGGGTCTGGAGCACCTGCCTGGGATGGAGCCACTGACTGACTATGAAGGAGCAGAGAGTTCTACGTGCTTCCTAAAAACGCCAGCTTCTAGCAACACCTATGCCAGGGGACATCAGCAAAAAAGTAAACCCAGGGGTGCCAAGAAGCACTTGAGACCAGAGTAAGGATGCCCTCCCCGTCACTGGCACACAGCTAACCATGGAAAAGGACTTCTCTATGACTGCCAGCCACCAAGGAAATTAGGGACACCAGAGGCAAGAAAATTATGTTCAGTTACAAAATACATTCCATTTTATAGCCATTTCTATTATCGGTTGCTACTATAATAAATTACCAAAACT
Organism: Homo sapiens; assembly: GCF_000001405.40. Classification (NCBI taxonomy): domain Eukaryota; kingdom Metazoa; phylum Chordata; class Mammalia; order Primates; family Hominidae; genus Homo; species Homo sapiens. Next base: position 38,697,693 of record NC_000015.10, on the reverse strand, counting down.
TTAGCAGCTTAAAACACACACTATCATTTAGTTCTATGGGCCAGAAGTCCTATGGGTCTCATAGGACTAAAATCAACGTCTCGGCAGGACAGCGTTCCTTGGTGGCAGCTCTGGGGGTGCATCACTATCTTTGCTCATTCTGGTCTTGACAGTTCCGTGGGACTGTAAGACTGAGGTCCTTGCTGGTTGCTAACTGGGGCCACCCTGAACTCCTAGAAGACATTTGCTCTGTCCTTACATAGAGTCCCTACCTCTCAGAACCAGCCACAGGGCATGGAATCCTTCTCTCATGGCCCTCTCTTTGACTCCAATTCCCCTAGCTGCATTTCTGTCTCTGACTGCACCCAGGGAAGCCTGTCTGCTTTTTAGGATTAGATTAGGCCCATTCGGATAATCCAGGATAATCTCTTTATCTCAAGATCCTTAATGTTAACCACACTTGCAAAATCCTGTTTGCTATTAAGATAACATATTTACAGTTTCTAGGAATGAGAATGTAAACATCTTTGGGTTGGGGGAGTGGGCATCTTTCTGTCTATCAAACTATTCACCAGGCATTTATTTACTATCTTAATGGCCAAGTACAGTGCTATGTGCTGAATTGATGTTGGTATAAGGGGCATGGGGCAGGGGAGAAAGTCTAGGATGGGTGATGCCCCCCACTGGGATATCTGACTTAGAGCTTTGCAGTACTCCAGGGGATGCTGTTGACATAAAATACAATGTAGATTGTAACTCTCACCTCTCACTCCCTTAACCCTCTTGACTCCCCAGTCCTTGCCCCTGACTTATACAGGCTGGAGGTGTCTGAATAAGGTCATTCCAGTTCTCTGGGAGGCAGGAGCTAAGCTCACCAGGGGACTGAGATCCAGGTTCAGCCATAGCAGAAACTGAGAACCCTGCTAGATCCAGGTTCAGCCATAGCAGAAAAAAACAGAGCAAGGTGGGACTTACAGCCATCCAAACAGACGCCTGGAGACAGATGCTGCTCCTGCCCTTAGCCTTGCTTCCTGGCCTGGTTTCATGGTTCCTCCGGGGACTAGAGAGGGAAATGCCCAGGTCCTCTTGGGCCCCTTGTAGCTCCATATCAGAACAGAAAACCTGTCACTAACTGAAGTCCCTTCCGGCTGAGGTACCCCGGCCTATATTTTGCAGCTCCAGGGCTCATCAGAGCCACCAATTTGCTGATGGGTTCTCAACCACAAGGATGGTGAGTCAGCACAGTGGTTGACTCTCAGCAGAGAGGATGCAGCCTTCAGCAGAGCTCCTGGTGGGGCAGCCTCCTGATCAGCCTGTGCTGTGGTCCTGCCCCTGCATTTCTTCCAGTCCTGGACGTCCCTGGCCTGGCTGGCACCCTAGTCGCACACCCAAGAAGCAGTTCAGCTTGCTGAGCACAGTGTTTCCCAAAACTGTGGCATAAGAGGTGAAGGATAGACCAGGGAGGAAGTCTTCAGCCCAGTCTGACAAACACAGGCCAACGTTTGGCCAACAGCAACTCAGGCTCTTTGCTCTAGGCCAAACTTGAAACATTAGTGTGCTGGTAGGTGTTCTGCCTTCCCTCCCTCTGCTCTAGAATTCAGATCTGGAAGCCAGGTCCTGACAGCTGGGATCCAGATGCAGTCCCCATCACAGCATCACATTCTGGCCAACCAGGCTTCCAGTGGCAGGAGCTGCCACCAGGAATGGGCACCAGTCCTCTCTCAGTTAAAAAGCCTTTGCTTCACACCACAAAACCCAAAGTGCCAGCTGTGGTGACAACCACTGCTCCTACCACTTAAAATTTGCTGGCAAGGGAGACTTTTAGAGAATGATTCCCCCACAAATATAGCATTCCTTTTTTTAATCTTTCCTGTACCCCTCTTAGGGCTAAGTTACTGATGATAGCCCTGCGTGATACAGAGCAAGCTGGCAGCAAGGAGGAAAATTGTCAGCAGTGACAAGCTCCAGATGACAGTTATGTGGCTTGGAAGGCAAGTCTTACTCTAAAGAGATCCTGCCCCCATCCCAGCTCTGGATTACTTGGTCTGATAGGTTTTACAGGGTATGACCCCAGTTTTCTGTTTAAGGACATTGGCCTCCAGATATGACTAGGAGGGAGTTTTCCTCTAATATCTTTCCGCAAAGATCACCATGACAATGACCAGAATAATAAATATCTATAATCACATGCAATCTTTAGCTTTAGTAATAGAGTGTGACAGAGAACTCTGCTGCTGCTGCTGCTGCTGCTGCTGCTGCTGCTGATAGTGATGGCGATGATAAGGAAGACACAAGATAATCTGACCTTCCTCAGCCTCTGATGGCTGATTACAGGTAGATGTGGCTTCTGAAGCAAAGTTACATAATTCACCTCTTGTTCCTGATCCACTTTTAGCAAAACTTCCGTGGAAAGGACCTTGTACCTTCTTGAAGTATCCAACATGCTGTCATCTTTATGTTTTCCTACCAAGTTCCCACATTTCTGCCTCAGTGGGTTCTACAGTCTGAACCCCAGAAACAATTTCATAGTTCAAACATCTGGCATGCTATTACATCAAAGGGATTGCAGATTCCCAACCTGGAATGGAAGAATCCTTGACTCCCCGCACCCGCCCCCCAATTCTGCTCTACCTCAAAACTGCCTACATCATCTCAACCACCCAAGTTTTGGGAAACGGGTGAATTCCCTCTTCCTTTTCATTGAGACTAGCCCAGGTCATAGACCCAATCTCTTTACTGGGGACTTAGGCTAATAATTTCGAGTACACAAAATCAATAGCAAAAATAAAGTCCCACGTTGCAGAACATCCTCAACTGAGGAGAGAGCTCATTGGTTGAGAGTGTTTGTAGTATCATGCACTGCCCAGGAATGCAGAGAACACGTAGTTCTGTTAGCTCTTATTGATTGAGAGTGGAAGACAGCTCTTGGAATGTAGGGAAAAACTTCTACGGATGTCATGGAAATAAAGATTCATGTTTTTTAAATAATGGAATCACAATGAATCAGACCAGAGTGACATTAAACTGGATGTCCCTGTCCTTAAAGTTGAAGGTGAGATCCTTTCAGGCAAGCAGGCAATGCTGTCACTGGGAGACTCTCATGAGTTCTGGGAAGACAAGGCTCCCAGTATAGAACATCTGGTAACTTCCCAACTGTTACACTATCTTTTAGGAACCATTAACATAAGTGTCCAGTCATGTCCTGGAATTGGCCTAAGTTCCATGTGTGCTCTTAAAATGAACTTGGACCCTACTCTACTCCAGCCCACCAGCCTTCTCACTGTTCTTCCAACACCCCAAGTTTGTTTCTACCTTGGAGGCCTTACCCACTGTTGCCTCTGTCTGAAACATTCCTCCTTCAGCTTCTTTGTGGCTGAGCCCCTCTCACTGTTCAGGCCTCAGTTCAAATGTCTCCCCTCAGAGGTGCTGATGCCTGATGCCCCCTCTGAGGTAGCCCACCCACCCCAAGGGTTCACTATCCCACTTTCCCCTCTTATTTTCTTATCATTGTCTGACATGATCTTAGGTCTGGTTTGCTTATTGTCTACTGTCTTCTGTCACCCTACACAAGTGTGAGCTCCGTGGGAGCAGGGCCCTTGCCAGTCTTGTTCACTGCTGTGTTCTCAAGGTTCAGATGGTATCTGGCACATGGTGGGCAGCCAATGGAGTATGGAAACACATATTCAGTCATACATGTTTGATGGGCTGGGAATCCCCAGAGGAGGTCAAATTGGAGAGAGAAAGAGAGAAAACTGGACTCTAGGGGAAAATCCCAAGGGGACAAGGGCTCTGATGGAGAGGGCCGGACCAGGCAGCCAGGCTCGAGTCTCCGACGTACATGGCTGTGTTATGTCATTCCCTCCCCACCCAGGAAAAAAGAACACTGATGTGTAAAATAACTAGGGCCGTGCAAGCCTGTGATAGAAACTCCTTGAAGAAATCTTATTTTCAGAGAGCCTCCATGAAAACCTCTGGGAACCAAGACACTGGGTGCCAGCCCCAAGAGTAACTATTAGGGAGTCCAGGACAAGAGGCCCACAAAAGCTGCCTGGTTTTCCTCCCATTGCTGGATAGTGAGATATAAAGCCAGCTGGAGATGAAGGGGATCAAACTTTATTATATATTTACTTACTTATTTGGACATGTCAGTGTTTGTTTGTTTATTGTATATATTTAATAATGCACAACGTGATGTTTTGATATACATAGTGAAATAATTACTAGAGTCAAGCCAATTAACATATCATCATCTCACAGAGTTACCTTTTTTAGGGTGTGTGGTAAGAACACCTAAAATCTGCTCTCTAAGCGAATTTCCAGTACAGATGGTCCTTGACTTAATGATGGTTTGACTTAAGATGTTTCAGCATTATGACAATGTGGAAGAGATACACATTCAGCATGCTTCTTGACTTACAATAAGGTTATGTTAGAGAAGCATCTGTATATAATATAATATTATATCGTCCTTGTGCTGTGCATTAGATTTCAAGGCTTATTCATCCTATGTAACTGCAGTTTTGTACCCTTTGACCTACATCTCCCCCTGGTCCCTTTGGTAACTGCCAGTCTACTCTCTGTTTTGATTATTTTTAGATTCCTCATATAAAAGAGATCATATGATATTTGTTGTTCTGTGTCTGGTACATTTCACTTAACGTAATGTCCTCCAGGTTAATCCATGTTGTCACAACTGGCAGGATTTCTTCCTTTTTAAGGCTAAATAATATTCCATTGTGTGTGTCACACACACACACACACACGCACACCACATTTTCTTTATCCAGTCATCTGTCAATGGACACATTGTTTTCATATCTCAACTACTGTGAATAATGCTGCTTTAGAAGCACAGTAAGAAGTCACCCGGAACCTTCTCCCTGCCACCACCCAACCCCAAGGCCTTGTCCTAAGTCAGGAAGAGGGAAGCCTGAGAAGAGAAAAAAAAAAAAAAAAAAGGGAAAGACAAAATGGTATCTCTGTGAGCTTTGGCGATTGAGAAACAGCTAAGACTGGAATTCTCCCTGACCCATTCCTGAGTTTTCTGAGCTTGCAACCCCTGCAGGCATGCCTTGCAAGTCACATATTATAATTCCTATTTTCCAGGCAAAAGATTAAAGACTCAAAGTACAGTTGACTGGTTATAGAAATGTGCTTGTCTGACTGCTGGATTACCATCCCTCTGGACCTCCTGCCAGTATTAGAACCCTAATTTTTAAAGGCACCAGGTGGGCCATGCTCAGGGGAGGCTGAGCTGCTTGCTGCCAATGTAAGGGAATCATGATTAAACTATGCCAGTGATCTGAGCACTGGCTGCCCATTAGAACCATCCCAGTCTAGTTAAACCAGCTTATCTGGAGTAAGTCTAGGCCTCAGTAGTTTTATAAAGCTCCCCAGTGATTCAAAAGTGCAGCCAGGACGGGGATGGGCCAACCTAAACTACTCATGATAATTTCCATTCTCATTAGCATGGAGGGAGAGTGTTCTGCAGGGTTCTGGGAAAGCAAAATTCCTTTCTTTGAAACACAAACATATTGTGTTGATGAAACAGGCTGTGCTGCACCCTGAGGTGATGCCTAGAACTGTGGACACCATCTGGAGAACAAAAGCCAGCACACTAAAGTCGGCAGGGGAAAAAGAAGGGGAAAGCCCGGCTACTTAAGATATTATTGGACCGAGCTCACGCCGGTAATCCCAGCACTTTTGGAGGCTGAGGCAGGCAGATTGCCTGAGGTCAGGAACTCAAGATCAGCCTAGCCAACATGGTGAAACCCCATCTCTACTAAAAAAAAAAAAATACAAAAATTAGCCATGCATGGTAGCAGGCACCTGTAATCCCAGCTAGCCAGGAGGCTGAGGCAGGAGAATCGCTTGAACCTGGGAGGCAGAGGTTGCAGTGAGCTGAGCTGAGATCACGCCACTGCACTCCAGCCTGGGCGACAGAGCAAGACTCCATCTCAAAAAAAAAAAAGAAGAGAACAGATGAATTACCCAACCCTGAAACTGCTCTCACCCGGACTTTCTGTGTTAAGTGAGTTAATAGTTTGATGTGGCCAGTTTTTGTTGGATTTTTTATTACTTGAAGCTGAGAACATTCTATGTGATATAATCACACAGAAAGCAGCAGAGCTGAAAGTCAAGCCAAGTTCAACTCTGAGGCAGCCAATAGAAGCTAAGAGTGAGGAGAGACCAACAGATAAGTGGAGTTATTTGAATCAGATCAGCGGGTTTCTAGATGGTTTTTAACTAGTAAAGGTAGTTTGTTAAGGTTATGAAATTTTTTCTCTTCTTTTTTTCCTATTCATCAGAATCCCTACATGAAAATGAAGAACATCATCTAGTAATTAATTGCCAGGTTTAAAAATATAAAATTGGAGAAGAAGGCCAGGTTTGAAATTTGGAAGGTGGTTGAAATTAACAGCTAAATTTAAGAATCAGGATTGTCTTGGGTTTCAGTAAAACATCTAGTAAATTTATTCATTTAGTCAATAACCTCAGTGACTAATGAGTCAAACCAGTTTTTCAGTCCAGTAATTTTTCATTTAGGGCCCCCAAATTAAATGTTAGAAAGGCCTCTTTCTAACATTTAGTCATTATAAAATAATCAAATCAGTGAAAAATCAGCCACCAGAAATAAAACTGCCTCTTGGAAGGTTCTTATACTTATCTGTATCACCATATTCCAACAGGCAGCTTAAGGAAAGGGGTCTGTCTGTGCCTTTCAGTTCACAAGCAACCTTGAGAAGGCTAGAAATTTCCACAACAGTACCAAAGAACTGCCTGAAGGTGGCGCTCAAGGGCGATAGTAACAGAGTGTGTGATCTGGCAATTTCAGCATTTGCAAGAAGTCAAGCCAGTTTTTCTTTTCTTCCTGATAAAGCTAATTGCCTTGCATTAACACACAGCATAAGACTTCGCAGCACAAAAAGAATAACGGAATTATAAAAGGTATAATTTAGAGGCTTTGTCAAGAGCTGTGATGAGCATATCCTAATAGGTATAAATGTTCTGAAGTACTAATGCTCTATTAAGAGGGGTTTCTGAAGGAGGAACAATGCCTGCATTAGTGTTCGGGCTCTGGAGAGGAAAAGCTTTTTGGTCTGCAATTACTGGTCTCCTATTCTTTACTTTAGAACACATCTACTTGATGCTTGCTATTTTTTTCAGGCACACTTCCCCCCTCTTGTTTCACGTGTACATTCACATGAGTAAAATATTGCTTTTTACGCTTTGCTGGGTATTGAAGTTGCTGTCTGATGGAGAGGCTTAGAGCCTCACCTTGAAGCGGCTTCCCCTAACACTGGGTCTGTGAAGCTTCAAAGTGCAAAACATGCTCATCTAGACAATACCATAAGGCCACCGACTTTGGATTTTCTGCCCTACTTCCTGAGCCTGCATCTCCGACTATTCTTTCCTTTGAAGCTCTATAAAAGTATGCACTCTTGCCTCCCTGTAGAGTAAGCTGCTCCTAGAATAGGAACTGCTAACACTTTCTCTTTTATTGCCTTGACAGTAGCAGACCTCCTACCTCCCAATTCCATATCGCCACCGCCCCCCGAGCTCCAGTACTTTCCCACCTTGGGCTAGGACCAGCATGAACACATCTCCCAGGCACATCCCCTTGCATTTAGGAGGCCTCAGCCCCTGACCTAAGGTTGCCCTGGCTCTTGGCTTTCTCCCTTGAAGATCAGGTTAATCCTACTGAGAAGAGAGAAAGAAATTAAAGTTTATCTTACCTAAGGAGGAAATTCTTTCTGATCCCTATACCTTCAAAGACCCTCCTCTGCACTGGACTGTGAATGCTGAAAGGCAGCCAGGATTGGAGCTGATAGAAATGGATTGCCAGGTAGCATTGGTTAGTCTTATGTCTTTCGTGGCTTCTAAAGCCTCATCTCCTATTAGCAGGAAGACTTGGCCTCCATATTCTCTCCCTTCCCCAGTCTAATAGCCTGGCCTGACTTCCTACCACCTGCCCCTTGAGGTTTCTTTCACCCAGAGTTGCCTCCAGAAGGAAGTAGGCCAAAAAGGGGAAAATCCAAAGTCAGACTTGTGGGGAGGGTGTGAGCCACCAATGGGGACTGAGAATACAAAATTACTTTGGTAGAGGAGTACGTTGTCCCTCCCCAGGACAGAGCTTGTCCCCTTCATCCACATGCATGTTTTGAATTAGACAGATGAAAACACAAATCTCCAATATCTCTTTCTTTCTGAGCAGTACATGTTACCCAGACTAATCACAGGTCATTGAAGGGGTTCAGTTGAATGCAATGATCACATCTTTATTCTTCTTTGGAATAGCTCACAGTGTCCCATCCACAGGCAACTTCACAGCAAGAGGGAGGGCTGGCACAGCCTCATACCTGCTGCCAGAACACAGGGACATGTAATAGTTTTCCTTACCTTTACATTTGAAATCCTCCTGTTGGGGGTTCATTTTGCCCACTGCCCAGACAGGCTGATTTATCAAGACAGAGGAACTGCAAGAGAGAAACAGTTAACTAATTCATGCAGAGCTGGCTCAATGGGATACCAGAGTTTTATTATTACTCAAAACAGTCACCCCCAAAATTTAGAGGCTGGGGTTTTTTAAGGATAATTTGGTGGGTAGGGGGCCAAGTAGTAGGGAGAGCTGACTGGTTGGGTCTGAGATGAAATCACAGGGAGTCAAAGCTGTCCTCTTGTGCTGAGTCATTTCCTGGGTGGGGGCCACAAGACCAGGTGAGCCAGTGTGTTGATCTGAGTAGTGCCAGCTGATCCATCAAGTGCAGGGTCTGAAAACTATCTTGAGCACCAATCTGAGGTTTTACAATAGTGATGTTATCTGTAGGAGCAATTGAGAAGGTTTAGAATCTTGTGGCCTCTAGCTAGCTGCATGACTCCTACACCATAATTTCTAATCTTGTGGCTAATTTGTTAGTCCTACAAAGACATTCTGGTCCCCCCGGCAAGAAGAGGGTTCATTTCAGCAAAGGGCTGTTATCATCTTTGTTTCAAAGTTAAACTATAAACTAGGTTCCTCCCAATGTCAGCTCAGCCTATGCCCAGGAATGAACAAGGACAGCTTGGAGGTTACGTGCAAGATGGAGGCAGGCAAGTCAGATCTCTTTCACTGTCTTAATTTTCTTACTGTTATAATTTTTTGCAAAGGTGGTTTCAGTGTTTTCTCTAAAAGTCTTCCAGTCAAACCCAGGAGGTAAGTAAGGCACAGAAGACCTACAGCTTAGGGCACCCATACAACTGTGCCCACCTCCCCACAGTGGACACCCCACAGCACTAGCTGCAGTTCTCCTGATCCTCACTAGAGTAGGTCTTGACATATTTGTCCTTCCCAAATGTACTTGGAATTACCTAACATGCATTAGGCCCAGCTGTGCTTATGGTGTTGCTCAGCTCCCTCCCACCAAGCAACTGTAATGGCTGATGCCTTCTGGGTGCTTCCTGTTGAGAGGGCTTTATGCATCATCTCAAGTCATCTTCACGATACCCCCAGACAGCAGTGCTGCTAGCATTCCCATCTCACAGATGAGGACACTGCAGTGCAAAGAGGCTACACAACTTCCCAAGCAACTAAGTGCCGTGGTAAGTTATGCATAAAGCACATGGGAACACTGGTAAAAGAGTAAGTTAATAAAAAAAAAAATAGTCATAACTAACGCTTACTGAGCTCTGTGTATCAAGACCTGGGCCAAGTGCTGCGTGAACTCCCTTTCCTTAAATCCTCGTATCAGCTGGTGTGGCAATTACATCAGAAGCATTGGCAGGCTCTGCTATCAAGGAGAGTGACCACATTAAAAAAGGCACTGTCTTTTGACCTTTTGCTCTATTATCTCTCGCTCTGACTGCTAATGTTTCAAACGGAGGTTGAACAGAACCAGCTTTCCCACTGCTTCCTTGAATGTCCTCTCATTCTTCACAACCATCATGTCTGGGATAACAGGTGGGCTCCCGGTTCTTCCCCTCCCAGAACTCCAGCTGTGCCACTAGGAATTATTATTATTCCCAACTTAGAAATGAGGGAAGAGAAGCTCAGATAAGCTAAGTAACTTGAGTGAGTTCATTCAGCTTTCAAGGGAACAAGTCATGGTGGGGAAAGGGAGGTATAAACCCAATGTCTGGCTCCAGAGCAAACAAAGAAGATTAGGGCATCTCAGGCAAAGGAAACAGCTCAGACAGAAGTATGAACACATGTGTTTGATTAAGAGCTCTAGATGAATGTGTACGGTGGAGTATAGGGCACTTGGTGAGCAGCAGTTGGGTAGTAAAGGAATTTGTATGTTGTAGGGGAGGAAAAAACTTTTCCTCTCCTCTCTCACGTTCAGCCTGTGGGGTCTGCAAATTGAACTGACAAAAGACAGATGAGCAAGACAAAAAAAAAAAAAGAGTTTATTTACACCTGCAACGGAGAGATTCAGTGAGGAGTAACTCATCCCAATAGACAGAGATAAAGGGTTTATATACCAAACTTAGCTAGGGGACTGGGGAGGAGTGTCAGGGCTTCAGTGAGAAGGTATAGAAGGTTCTATCAGGCTTTTTGATGTGAATAGAATGGGCAGTCTATCTCCCTGGCAGCTGAATTCACAGGGAAGACCTCAAGGGAGGGCTACTGACAGCTGTATTTTCTGAGAGGTTCTGCTTTACAGCTTTTAGAGAAGTTCAGATAGTAATTTCTTTCTGCATCTTCTTTAGCTTAAATGTTTTGTCTTCAAAATATTATGTTGGTACAAAAGTCATTGTGGTTTTTGACATTAAAAGTAATGGCAAAAGTAATCTTGATACCAATTACAGGGGTTTTGAGTGGTTTCCCACCATGCCTGGTAAAACATGGCTCTTTATCCTTCAGCCAGAGCTTTTTAAAGCAGTGTTTTGATATGATTTGTTCTACTTATCACTAAAACCTTTGGCCAGGGTATATCAAAATAATTTAATTGATTTAGTTAATTAGCAAAACCCATAAGGAAGGATAACAGCACTATTATCCCACTTATGTGAAGAAGGAAACCAAGGCAGAGAAGTTAAATGATGTGCAAAGGATTGTGGATTATTAGTCACAAAGCAAAAACCTTGTGACCCGGTCTTCCAAATCCTGGTCCTGAACTCTGTCCAAGAAAGCTGCCAATCGGCGTACACTTGCTCCCGTACTAAAACACAGGAAGAGCTCCAAGCCCTAGTTACTCCCACCCTTGCCACATTCAGGGCCTACTTGAGCTGCATTACTTATGTGCCGTCTCTTCCACAATTTAGCCGACAAATGCCCGCCACTCTCAGTGTCTTTTGTGTTTGTAGGTGGAAATATTTATTTACAAAGCAAGAAAGAAAATTCAGAGCCCAGCTGACTTTGCCATCCTATGAGCCTCTGAACTGCCTGTTGTACTTTCCCTCTCTAGGTCAGAGCAAAAAAATAATTAAACTTCAGCAAACTGAGTGACTGCGTTTCAACAAGTTTAAAGCATCTCATTGAAGAAAATACACCTCAATCTGGTTTGAGATCCTCGGCAGACTTTGTCACCCTATCATGTTGGGTAAATCCTTTGAAGAATTCTTAGAACCTCATCACAGGAAAGGGTGGCTTAGGGGCCTCTAGCTGTTCTCTGGGCTCCTTTGAGCTCAGAGTTTTGATGTTAGGTGGGGCCAAGAAAAATTGTTTGCAGGGAGGGAGGAGGATGGAAGGAGTGGCAACCATGGGCCAGAAGAACCAGTCACATAAAACCTCGGCTAGCCAAGTATATGACTTCTGAGGACAGAGGGCCCCTTCTTCATACACTGCTATGTCCCCAGCCTCCAGCACGGCACAATAAATATATTTTAATATAGTTCAAATATATTGCTGACTAAGCAATGAAGAAAATAGGAAGAGGGGACTCAACCAGGACCCTGGAGACAGTGGCCTGGGGAGGAGTCCTGGTCCCAGGCCCCCAGCTACATGACCTTGGGCAAGCTGTAGAACTTCCCTAAGCCCATTTCTCCTCTAAAATGGTGGTCATAGGAACATCTACCTAACAGATATTGGGGCCAAGGGAAGACTTCCCCATCACCTTCTGATGTTTCGCTGGAAATTGCTGACAAAAGCTGATTAATAGGAGACAAGGCAGACACATGTATTTGATCATAGTTTTACATGACACCGGAACTTTCAGCATGAAGGCCCAAAGATACAGGGGGAACTGTCTATTTTATGCTTATGTTCAACAAAGTATGGACAGAAAGGGTCTGATCTAACACTTACTGACTGGGGAATCCCAGCACTGTCCATTTCAATTCTTCTGGGTGTCTTGTGCAGTGTTTCTTCCTACTGGGTGTGGGGCAGGACCCTCTCTAGGATGGGGGTCTGATGACCTACAGTCAAACAAGGCAGGTCAGATAATTTCTTCATGGCCAGTTTTTACACAGAAAGACAGTAGGAAAGTTAAAGTAATATTTTTAGGTTATGGCTGGCTTGGAGGAAAAGGGTTCTGGCTTCTATTACCCACTTTGAGGAAAAGGGATTCTAGTTTCTATGGTTAGCCTTGGGAGAGAATGAGAGGTCAGAGACAGGAGGGAAGGACAAAGTCAGAGAGAAACTGTTGCTTTTGAGGCCTTCATTTCGGGGTATTGTTTTCTAAGACCATACACATAGTACCCATGAGAATTGAAGGAGAAGCCTCATAAAAACACTTAGCCTGGTGTCTGTCACCTACCAAGTGCCCAATACATGTTAGTTATTATTAATTAAAAATTCAAGATTGTCCTCCCTGATCCCAAAAAGTCTGTCATTTCAGTGAACTTCCAAATTTTTTTTCTTTCTTATTCCTAGAAATGGTATTTGCAAGATGGGTGTATTTCTACATCTTTGTTCACCACCAAACAAACCAAAACCATTTCCTCAACCAGTTCATCAGTTCCTCATAAACAAAGCACAACTTCTCAGCCAAAAGTTTGTCATCAAAAGCTTGCTTTCTTCATTGTTTAACTCAGTTGTGTTTTGTTTCTTATTTTCTGGGAAATGTTGTTTTCCTTAGGTTCTCTTGCCCAGAGCCAGCAGTCAGGCACCACTGTTTCCATCTCACTAAGCACATCATAGGCATCCTGGGGAGATAATGGATTCCAGAGAGCAAGGGGCCACTTACATGGAAGAGCCCAGAGTCCCTGGGTAAAGGGTGACAGTGCAGAAACCTCACTAATGCACTCTTTCCATTACCATTCTGCAATTTTTCCTGTCTTCCACTATTACCTTCGATTAAGCTTTACTCTTTAAAACCCTTCATCTGCCCCGGGGTCATTATCTTTCATCTGACACAGCAGTCGGCAGCCAGAGATGGCCCTGGCACTTCTCGGAAATCTCAAGGTTTGGGGCCGGATAATTTTTTAGAAGCCTCCTTAACATGGTTCTTTACCTTGAATGTTTTCAGCTTTAACAAAAGCCATTTGAACACGGGTCTGGAAAAAGTGATATACTTGAAGAAAAAAAAAAAAAAGTCACTGGCTTTATTTGTGTTCTGTTCCCTGGAGGTGGGCAGGCCAGAGTGGAGGTAGACCACTGAATTGATTTGTTTTGCAACTGATTTAGCAGCTATGGGTAGATTCTTGAATTTTCTTTGGTGTGTCATTTTAACTCATTTTGTGTCCTGACAACTCTGGAAACCCGGGCTACTCCAGTAGCTCTTTCACCAGCCAAACCTGAGAAGAGAGAAACTGAGGTGGGCCAGAACTGATAGGAAAGCTGTGCTATGACCCCAAGAGAATCTCACTCTGGAGCACTTGTCTACCAAAATGTTGGAAAATCTTTTATTTTCTAACACTCTGTTTCACTTCCCCACACTCCCACTTGCATCTTCCAGAAATAATTGAAATCCTGGTCCTTAGTCTCTACATCATTTAAAAGTGTCTGCTCCTGTAATATGTGTGTGCTGCCACTGGATGGCACCAGAAGTCACAACTCTGTTGGTATACTATGTGCCAGACACCTTGCTAGGCATTAAGAATCCAGTAGTGAACAAAAAAGACAGGGTCCCAACCTCTCTCTCTGAGTCAAGCAGGAAGGCAGACCTTAAACAAAATATTATAAATATTTGAATGACAATGCTGAGAGGAAGTGTCCAGAGGCTAATCCTGGGAGCGGGCAGAGACAGCAAGGTTCACACATGTTCTATGGCCCTCCCTGCATTCTCCAGCCACCTTGCAGTTAGGCAAGGCCTTGTGACCATTGAGGCCAATGAGATGTGAGTGAAAATCATATGTGACCCCTTAGAGCCAAGGTAGAGAAAAGTGAGTATAATTTCTCTATGCTTGTCTCTTCCTTTGCTGTGGTAGCTGGTAACATGATGGGTGGCAGAGCCTCTGCTAGACTGAATCCCTGGGTAAGTATGTGGAGGACAGCCATCATAGAATCATCACTAACCCCATGCTTCTTGACCCCAATCCTCCACAGCTCATGTTGGATAGGTAGCACAAATTTTTATTGAATTAAGCCATAAAGAGTTGGGGGGTTGTTTCTGCAGGTATGTCAGTCTGCCTAAGGACTAACTTTCTAGCTGCAGAGATGGAACTAAGAGTGGAGTCTTTCTCCTCTAAGTGAGTAGGCCTTTGCATAAGCAGCACAGACAGATGAGGGATGGAGGAAACAGAAGCAAGCTGCATTGCCACCCCCTATCCTCCTGGGACCAGTGAGAAGGAGGGGACTTCCTAACCAAAGAGGCTAGGAAGGCCTACAGGGTCTTAAGCGTTTCAAGCAGCATACTGAGCACATGATAGCAGACCAAAAGGGTATGATTATTTCAGCAGACCCAGGTTCTGGCCAGGGGAGAGCAGAGCTTGATGTAGCTGATCTCAGTAGGGGTAGCTTGTAGACTTTTCCCAGGCTGCCCACAGACATGGCCGTGGGGTCTCTCTATTACAACAGCCACGAACATAATGGAAAAAAAAAATAGGTAGGTAGCTGTGTGGTTAGTGGGGGCACCAATTACCCCATAAATCAATTTGCTGTGTGTGTGGAGTGGGGGGTTGTTGGAGCTTCTTATTTTGATATAATTTCAAACAAGAGAAAAAAATGGAAGAATCATAGAAAGAACTTCCACATACCCTTCACCAAGGTTCACTAGTCCCCTTAAAAGTAATCTCTTTCATACCCAACCTAGCTATAATGCCTAACTCAAACTTCAATATTAAAGTTTCATGAGTCAGCTTTATATGTAAGATTTGCAAAACGTGATAGAATACTGATATGGTTTGGGTGTGTCCCCACCCAAATCTCAACTTGAATTGTATCTCCCAGAATTTCCACATGTTGTGGGAGGGACCTAGGGGGAGGTAATCGAATCATGGGGGCTCATCTTTCCCATGATATTCTCATGACAGTGAATAAGTCTCTCGAGATCTGATGGACTTATCAGGGTTTTCTGCTTTTGCTTCTTCCTCATTTTTCTCTTGCCGCCACCATGTAAGAAGTATAAGAAGTACCTTTCACCTCCTGCCATGACTCTGAGGCCTCCCCAGCCACATGGAACTGTAAGTCCAATTAAACCTCTTTTCCTTTCCAGTATCGGGTATGTCTTTATTAGCAGTGTGAAAACGGACTAATACAAGTACGCTTAATGTATAGTTATTTTATATTAAAAAAAAGTAACACTCATTGGAAAAATAGGCAGAGGCCATAAGTAGCCATTTGAAAAAAGAAACAGAATGGACAAAATTATGAAAAGTTCAACCCCTCTAGTAATAAATGTAAATTAAAACCTCATTTTCCACTTAGCAGACTAACAAGTGTTTATACGTATGATTATACTTGTGTTGGCGATAGTATGAGAAAATACTATCGCGCTGTTTCTGGAAATTGGTTCAACGAATGATGTAATTGGCTTGTCTGGCAACAAATATCAAAAAAAAATTTTTTTTAATGCACTTGCCTTTTAGCACAGCAATCTTAATTCTAGGAAGGTATCTGAGGGAATAGGCAAACAAATGTCCCTGACCCACCCCAAGAAGAAGTGTATCTATTGGCCGGGCGCGCTGGCTCACACCTGTAATCCCAGCACTTTGGGAGGCCGAGGCAGGTGGATCACGAGGTCAGGAGACGAGACCATCCTGGCTAACACGGTGAAACCCCATCTCTACTAAAAATACAAAAAATTAGCCAGGCGTGGTGGCGGGCGCCCGCAGTCCCAGCTACTCAGGAGACTGAGGCAGGAGAATGGCATGAACCCAGGAGGCGGAGCTTGCAGTGAGCCGAGATGGCACCACTGCACTCCAGCCTGGGTGACAGAGTGAGACTCTGTCTCAAAAAAAAAGAAGAAGAGGAAGAGGAAGAGGAAGAAGGAAGAAGGAAGAAGAAGAAAAAGAAGAAGAAGAAGAAGAAGAAGAGAATCCATCAAAACAAGAGGAAGAAGAGGAAGAAGAAGAAGAGGAAGAGGAAGAATAAGAAGAAGAAGAAGAAGAAGAAGAAGAAGAAGAAGAAGAAGAAGAAGAAGAAGAAGAAGAAGAAGAAGAAAGAAGAAGAGAATCCATCACAACATTATCCAAAAAAAAAAAACAAAAAAAAAATCAGAATGAAGGGACTTTGGTCAATTAAATGATGGTGTTTTATAGAAAGCACTAACACCACCTACATAGCACTTATAGAACGCCTGGCTCTGTTCTTAACTCCTTGCATATATTAACTCATCTAAGCCTCCCAACAGATAGGTACTACAATTACTGTCAGCATTTCACAGATGATGGAACTGAGGAACAGAGAGGTTCGCTAACCAGGTCATAAAGCTAGTCAATGCAGAGCTAATATCTGCATCTAGGCGGTCTGGTCTGAGTCAGCTCTCTTAAATTTACATTACACAACCTTTCATAGGATGTGTAAGCCTCTCTCTGCAGCTACTAAAATGACAAAATAGATTGTATTCGCTGTCATGAAAAATGTTCATAATATATGCATGAGAAAAGTCGATTATGAAACATTAAGTACAGTTTGAAACCATTATTTTAAAAGGAATTATATATACATGCATATAAGAATGTATAAAAAATGGCCAGGCACGGTGGCTCACACCTGTAATCCCACCACTTTGTGAGGCTGAGGCGGGCGGATCATGAGGTCAAGAGTTTGAGACCAGCCTGATCAACATGGTGAATCCCCATCTCTACTAAATATACAAAGATTAGCCAGGCATGGTGGTGCATGCCTGTAATCCCAGCTACTTAGGAGGCTGGAGCAGGAGAATCGCTTGAACCCAGGAGGCGGAGGTTGCAGTGAGCCAAGATCATGCCACTGCACTCCAGCCTGGGTGACAGAGTGAGACTGTGCCTCAAAAAGAAAAAAGAATGCATAAAAAAATTTCCTCAAAAGATTAACAGTGTTGGGATTGTGGGAGAAATTTACTTCCTTTACATCTCTTTATTTGCTAAGTTTTCTGCAATGATCGTATAATTCTTGTAATATAAAATTTTAAATGAATAATTCTACTACTCAATCCTGCTTTCTCCTTTGTCCTTCCACAAATGGTCTCAGGGACACTCCCTAATAAATATCCTGCAGACTGACCTTTATCTCAGAGTCTGCTTCCCAGAGAATTCAGCCTCTGAAGCATCCCAACAGTGCCAAGAGTGGTCCAAGAAAGCAGGCAATGAAATGATGCTTAGGAGCAGGCTCACTCATCACCTGGCTAGCAATGAAGACCCCATCACTGGAGGCAGAGGAGCACAGACAGCCCCTGTTCCAATGACTAAAACTTCCTCTGTGGTGAATTAGAATGGTGCATAGGGAAAAGGGAGTACAATAGCTGGTGCTATGTACTCAGTGTTAGAATAATATAGGGGAAAGAGTAATCTTAGGGAAGTGAGATAGGACGGTGTTGCTATACTCCATTGAAGCTTTACAGAAAGAATTTAGCTCAACAAAAGGCTGAGAGCAATTAATAGGCTATTGAAAGCCAGCGTTAAAGTCAGAGGGTCTTTAGGAAGGTAAAGAGGCTTTCCTCACCTGAAGAGAGAGGGCAGGAAAAGTTGAGGCCCAGGTACAGACCCATGTCTTAGTGGTGATTTTTGCCAGAACTCCAGGGAGGGCTAAAACTCTTAATCAAGGCAGGTCTGTTATGTCAAAGTTAGGAATGTGGTTGGGGAAAAATGAATCCTGACCTGTGAGGTGAAATGGAATATATGGGTTGATTTTCCCTACACTCTTGAGTTCCCAGATTCCTCTAAATCTTTTCCATCTGAAGAAGAAAGTGAACCACCTCTCTCTGTTAAGAGCTAGGACCACTCCTACTTGAAGACAATGCACAGGCCTCTATCTCCCCTCCAGGCCACTGGGCCTCTAACTGTGTCTTCTAATTAGGAATAAGTTGCAGCTTAACCCAGCTGCAGATGTGCTGGGCCCAGCAAAAGAGAAAAGGGACTACACACCAAGGAGATCCACCTAGCATGTCCACACATGGGACTGGATTCTGAGTTACTTGATCAAAGAGGCTAGAACATAATACTGAATAAGAAAAATGTCGACAAAATAAGTCAAACTCTGTAAAATATTTGAAGGGATTCATTCTGAGCCAAATACAAGTGATGAAGGTTCAAGGCATAGTCTCACGAGGTCCTGAGAACATATGCCCAAGGTGGTTGGGTTACAGCTTGATTTTATACATTTTAGGGGGACAGAGTTACAGGCAGACATTAATCGATACATGTAAGGTGTACATTGGCTCAGTCTGGAAAGATGAGACAACTCAAAGTTGGGGGTGAGGGGCTTCCAGGTCATAGGTGGATTCAAAGATTTTCTGACTGGCAGTTGGTTGCAAGAGTTATTAATCTAAAGACTTGGAATCAATAGAAAGCAGTGTCTGGGTTAAGATAAAGTGTTGTGGAGACCAAGGTTCTTATTATGTAGATGAAGCCTCTAGGAAGCAGGCTTCAGAGAGAATAGAGGGTAAATGTCTCTTGTCAGACCTAAAAAGGCACTAGATTGGTAATCTCTCCTGTATCAGGAAAAGACCTGGAAAGGGAAAGGGATTCTCTACAAAATGTAGATTTTCCCCTTAAGAGACAGCTTTGCATGGCCATTTCAAAATATGTCAAAGAAATATATTTTGGAGTAAAATATTCTGACTGCTTTCAAGGCCTGCTATCTGTCATGTGATGTTATCCTAGAGTCAAGTTGGAATTTAGTATCTTATTGCTACAAACAGTCTGTTTTGTCAGTCTTAAGATCTCTGTTTCAATCTTAATGCTGGTCAGTTGTGCCTGAACTCCAAAGGGAGAGGAGTGTCTAATGAGGCATGCCCAACTCCCCCTTTCCATCATGGCTTGAACTAGTTTTTCAGGTTTACTTGGGAATTCACTTGGCAGAGAGAAGGGATCGATTCAATCAATTGAGCGACTTATAATTTTATTTTTGGCTTATAAAAAGTTTATTGGTTTAGGAGTATGTTTCTGAAATGCAGATTTGAACATTCTGGCAAGGACCCTAAGCAATGGTATATTCTAGTCTCTAGGCTACTTCTTAGATGCATGGGAAAAGCAATGGCTCCCACTAAGGGAGGGTGAAATGCCAGAATTACTCTAGCAGCTGCTGGAAGAAGGGATTGAAAGATTCACAGAAGTGGGCATGCTGGAGTAGATCTACCACGTGAGGCCAGGATACTCACCAAATGATTACAGTGCACAGGAAAGCCATAAGCAGTACAGATGCAGGCACACCAGCATCACTAAAAAGCACAGTGATGCCTCTTCTTCGTAGGTCATCGGTAACGGTAGAAAAGGTGATCACAGAACACAGAACTAAGCTAACTGATAGCAATAGAGATGATCACAATCACCCTGCTACCCAGTGGGGGTAGGGGGAATAGAGGACAGATGATGATGTGTAGCTGTCAAAAATCAGATAGATCCAATGATCACAATGAACAGCAAAGTTGGAGCAGTCCAGAGGGCCAGGCCAAGACAGCCATGGAGAAGGTTAAGAAAACACAGCATGCCTAGGGGCAAAATAGATGGACAGTTAACAAAGAACTCTTCAATTCACCATCAAAACAAACCAAAAATGAATGATCAAGACACTGAAGGGGCTGGGCACAGTGACCCATGCCAGTAATCCCAACATTTTGGGAGGCTGAGGTGGGTGGATCACTTGAGGCCAGGAGTTAAAGATGAGCATGGGCAACACAGTAAGACCCTGTCTCTACAAAAAAAAAAAAAAAAAAAAAAAAAAAATACAAACATTAACTGGGCATGGAGGTGCACGCCTGTAGCCCCAGCTACTCGGGTGGCTGAGGCAGGAGGATTGCTTGAGCTCAGTAGGTTGAGGCTGCAGTGATCTGTGTGAGCAGCCTGGGTGAGAGAATGAGACCCTGTGAAAAGAGAGAGAGAGAGACAGAGAGAAGGAAGGAAGAAAGAAAAAAAAGAAGGAAGGAAGGAAGGGAGGGAGGAAGGAAAAAAAAAAAAAACAGAGGGCAGTTGCCCCAATAAAAAATCCATGATTTCTTGCCCAGTTATTGGAACTAACCCAGGTTTTAGACTTGGAACCCAATGATGGAAGGTGAAGCCAAGTTCCCAGAAGGAAGGACTTTGCAAAAGAGAATCTACAAATGGCCAATAAAAATATAAAAAGCTGTTAACATCAGTTGTCATCAGGAAAATACAAATTAAAACCAAGATGAGACACCATTCCCACTAAAGTTACTCATATCAAAAAGACTAGCATTACCAAATGTTGGCCAAAATATGGAACACTTGATTTAGGATCAAAACTCAAACTCATATTCATCAGGTGTGAGTCCTTGCAGAGTCAAAGTATACATCAGAAACTAATACTGCCCTCCCCAATTCCCGAAGAAGTATGCAAAGGGTTCAGGGTAGAAGCACCTGCTGCTGTGGCCTTTTTTTCGTATATTAAAAAAAAAGACTTTCATCTCTTTCTGGAAATACGTAAACTCTGAAAAAATTTTGGTGGGTAACCTTCTGGACTTTTTTTAATACTATGCAAACTGTTTAGTAGCCTATTTTTTAGACCTAATTTTAGACTACAAAAATTGAGAAGGTGGCACAGAAGGTTCTCATGCCCGTCTCACCCAGTTTCCCCTATTATTAACATCTTACATTAGAATATTAAATATATTTGTTATAATTAATGAAGTAATATTAATACATTATTATTCATGAAAGATCATGGGTTTTTTTTTTCCTTCCAATTGCCTCAGTTTTTCCCTAATGTCCTTTTTGTGTTTCAGAATTCCACCCAGGGTACATAGGACATTTAGTCCTTATGTCTGCTTAGGCTCCTCTTAACTGTGGCAGTTTCTTAGACTTACCTTGTTTTTGATGACCTTGACAGTTCTGAGGAGTACCGGTCAGGTGTATCAAAGGATGCGCCTATAATGGAATTGGTCTGTTGTTTTATTGTGGTAAGACTGGGGTTATGGGGCTCCACTGGCTTTTTTCTTTAATCAAGGATTTGGATCACTTGGGGGCTAAACTTTGAAAATGGTCCCAATTACTGACTGAAGAGAGAGTTCTTTCTGATCTCTGGAAAATGTGTCTCTTGCCGCTTTAGTGGGCTGAGCTAACGTTCAAATTCTCAGTCAAAAATAATAGAAAAGAAAGTCTTTGAAAATTTGCTTTTTAAAAAGACCTCCTCTTTGTACTGCAGAACCTATAAAGAAACCTCTATCACCATGTGCTTTTATTTAATTAACATTTGTTTAAAAAGTACTGCTTCCCTGTATTCCATGGGCATATAGGTCATCTTTCAGTTCAGCAAAGAGATTTTTCTAATCACTTTATAATCGTTGTGTTTTAATGAAATTCCGAGGAGCAATTAGTTTTTATGAAGGTAGTTGGCATTCAAATATTACTTGTGATTGAGATTTTGTTTTACTTTTCTTTCAGCACAAAAGTGGAAGTGCATGATATAGAAGAAAAATCAGTGCACGCTTAATTGGCTTTCAATAGAAAAGCAGGCAGCTGCTCTTCTTGATATATACATTTGTGGCACTTTTTTATCTTGTAAATATCTCAAGCTAAATAAATGAAAAGAAATTTTGAGGAAACAACAGTTTGCCGTATGAAAAATATGAGCTTTCTTTAAAGTACAACTTACATACAGTAAAATATACAAATTAGACATCAAATTGATGAATTTTGAGAACTGTAAACCCATGAGTCTTCTATCCCAAACTAAATAAGGAACATTTCTATCATTGCAGAAAATTCCCTTGTGCGCCTTTCCAATGAATTTACCCTTATTTCTCCCCAGAGAAATAACTTTCTGATTTTCATCACCAAGGGTTTGTTTGGCTTATTCCTGATTTCATATAAATGGAATCAGACTGTAAGCTTTTGTGTCTAGTTCTTTCAGTTACTATAAGATATTGAGACTAACCAGCCACAATAGCATCAATGCCCAGCTCAAAAGACATAGCTCCACTGGCCTCTATGCCCAGCAGGCCCATCTGTAATATTTTGTTTTTACTTTACTTTTTTTTTATTTGTGAGACAGAGTCTCTCTCTGTCAGCCAGGCTGGAGTGCAGAGGCACAATCATGGTTCACTGAAGCCCCCACCTCCCAGGCTCAAGCAATCCTCCCACCTCAGCCTCCCAAATAGCTGGTACTATAGGCACATAGCACCACACCTGGCTAATTTTTGTTGTTGTGGTTGTTTTGTAGAGACAAGTCTCACTGTTTTGCCAGGGCTGGTCTTGAATTCCTGGGCTCAAGTAATCCTCCTGCCTCGGCCTCCCAAAATGCTGGGATTACAGGCATGAGCCACCAGACCCAATCCATCTGTAATCTTCTGTTCATCCCCGATAACTTTCTTTAGCTGGGATACTGAAATGTAGGGCATCTCTAGAAGAAGGATCTGGGAGACATTTAAGACTGAGAAGCAATTGAGAGAATTCAGGCCTAGAAACAGACTTAGGAGAAGGAAGAGAGAAGAAAAAGCGGGACAAATAATGGTCATACAATATTAGGTCTGTCATCTGAAAGGGGAAATAGACTTTCCATGTACAGTTCCAGAATTAGAACTCGTGGGTGGAAATTACTGGGAGGCAGTTTTCAGCTCTATATAAAGAGGAACATCTTTCAACAACAGGTCACTGGGGTACCTTGAATGGTAGTTAAGCTTCTCATCACAGGAATTGTTCACAAAAAGGCTAATATCCATTTGTCATAGATGCTGTTAAAGGAAATCCCCCATTAGGTAGGCGAGAACATCTTCCTATGTCTTGTGGCTTTCAGTTTAGACAAAGGTAGGCTTTACCTCCACTTTATACTAGCGGGTCAGTGCTGGGTTTTTTATTTTGTATATTTTATATTGGCAAGAAGGTCATATGATTTTCACCCCATGTACCTTAGAAACAGCTGCTGCCATGAAAACTTATTAAGCCTAAGTATTCAGAACTCAGAGTGAATTCTGCATTTTCATTTTCTCTCTCTCTCTTTTTTTTTTTTTGTTTTTTTTTGAGACAGAGTCTTGCTCTGTTGCCCAGGCTGCAGTGCAATGGTGCAATCTCGGCTCACTGCAACCTCCGCCTCCCGGGTTCAAGTGATTCTCCTGTTTCAGCCTCCTGAGTAGCTGGGATTACAGGCATGCACCACCACGCCTGGCTAATTTTTGTATTTTTAGTAGAGACGGGGTTTCAAACCATGTTGGTCAGTCTGGCCTCGAACTCCTGACCTCGTGATCTGCCTGCCTTGGCCTCACAAAGTGGTGGGATTACAGCAGATCCCAAGTTGACCTCTTTGACCTACAAATCTCAATT
Source organism: Homo sapiens (assembly GCF_000001405.40). Classification (NCBI taxonomy): domain Eukaryota; kingdom Metazoa; phylum Chordata; class Mammalia; order Primates; family Hominidae; genus Homo; species Homo sapiens. The sequence goes on along the minus strand of NC_000015.10, from coordinate 38,674,002 downwards.
TATTTAAAATTATTATTATTATTTTTTTGAAACAGGGTCTCACTCTGTCACTCAGGCTGGAGTGCAGTGGCATAATCTCAGCTCACCACAACCTTTGCCTCCCAGGTTCAGGCAATTCTCCTGCCTCAGCCTCCCCAATAGCTGAGATTACAGGCACCTGCCACCACATCCAGCTAACTTTTGTATTTTTAGTAGAGACGGGGTTTTGCCATGTTGGTCAGGCTGGTCTCGAACTCCTGACCTAGGTGATCCGCCCATCTTGGCCTCTTAACGTGCTGGGATAATAGGCATGAGCCACCGTGCCAAGCCCAAATCCCAGTTTTAACAAGTATCTTCATTGTCTTCATAGTTTGTCCTTTGCATTTTTCCTCCTCCACCGGCTTTTTAGCTTTAATCTATCATAAAAATGTTTCAAACAGCTATGTGATGCCTAGAACTTTCCTTCCCTTTCTCAAAGCCACCATCCCTGAGAAGCCGGTCCATGAACCTCACCCGCTTGCTTCACTCTCTGACTCCACCTCTCACAGTCTGTAAACAGCCAGGGCATGCCAGTGTGACCTCATTTACACATTGCCTTACACAAATAGCAAAATTGTTTTTAGGAATACATGTTATGTTTCATAATACCTCAAAGCAAAGAAATCTCATTTATTTTTTAATCTACATGCATTCAGCAACGTGATTTTTACGGTGAAAGCAGAAAGGGCTCCCACATTGCAGCCCCAGGTGATTCATGGAGAGAAACCACTCCCAGTGGCTGCCCCCTGGGAGGCCTGGTCAAGGCGGCTCTCCCGGTCAAGAAACATCTCATGAGGCTCTCCTTCCACCCAAATATTTACATGAGGCTCTGCCCAGCCACACCCCTTCAGGAGACCAGATGGGCATGACTGAGCTAAAAGAGCACACGGATGAGGATGCAAAAGAGCTAACGCAACCTTGACTTTTCAGAGCTGATTCTGCTTTCAGAGACCATCTAGTCAGCCCATTCACCCAGAGAGAGGAAATGGCATTCACCCAGCGCCTACCTGTTAGTAAGGGGGCAGAGCTAGGGCAGGAACTCACGTTTCCCTATTTGTGATTAACTCATCTTATACGATGAGCTAAACATGGATGAACAAACGTTATTGTATCAATGGGAACTGGTGTAACACACAAACTGCGATTGACTTGGTCAATCACTACTGTCTGACATTGACTCCCTAAACCCCAGTTTCCTCTTCTGTGAAATGGGATATTCACACCTACCTTATGGTGTTTGTAAAGACAAAGAGGGCAGAAGGCATGGAGATGGCCTGCTGCCTATTGACATTCACTATTAAAAGATTCCCTGCTCTTTTGTTGCAACTCAGCCAGCCTCTAGCATTCATTTCAGGTCTGGTGTCTCCCTAAAACATACCAAAAATTGTCTCAAACATTTGAAATATGATTAACTTTATGGGCAACATTAAAATCCTCCTCTTTAAGGTGAATATTTTTCACATTATCTTTCTGCATCGTCTGGGCTAGTCAGAGGACATTTTTGAAAGTGTTTTGTGACTCAGCTGCTGTTTGAAACATCTGGGGCTTATTTTTCACCTTTGAAGAACACAGTACCTCTCACTTCTACCTCTTGTAGAGCATCAAATACACTGGCACATTGGCTAAGGTAACACACATGCAAAAAAAAATTGAGTGAATGATGCCTGGATGGAAACTTCTCCCCAAGAATCTCTTACTTTAGTTTCCAAACATACTCACAGAGGATAAAGGCCCTGCCGGCACTGGGAGGGAACAATAGAGAGGGAGGGAGAGAGTACTCTTCCTTTGTAGGAGGTGGGGAACAATGAGACTCAGAGAGATACAGAGTAATCATGCTTTGGGTTGGGTAAATGGGCCCAGAGCATAGCCTGAGCTTCATGACATTGCCATATGTTCCCTGGCTGAGAGGTGACTCAGAGGCAGGAGTTGTGGAGGAGGTGAGGCCATCCACTATTGACCTAATCTGCCATCAGGCAAGGCCAAGTAAGTGGGCCTGCTGTTCTCCACACCCCCAGTCCCCAACAAGCATACAACACATACTCACACCCCGAAGCTGCAGCCTGTTCTCTCAGGACTTCCCCTTCAAAGCTGCCTTAGTGCTCTTCGTAACCTGATTTCACTTCTAAAAAACATGCTGTAGGGGAGGAAACACCCAGAGAAATCTGTCCCAGCTCTGTATCACCACCCCTCTCACTCCAGATGGTTCTAGTTGCGAAAGTTTGCATTCTGAGCTTTCAGATACGACTGTGCTCCACATCCCCTCCACCCATAGACCTTCGGAAATACCCCACTGTCTGATCAGGGGAACCTCCCATTTGTGTACTCATGTATTCTCAAATTAGGACTATTTACTTTGTCTTGGTATCCTGCACACATTATCACTTTTTAATTCTGACCCTAAGAAGCATGTACTGTTATCCTGGTTCAACGGAGGGAAGATGGAGACTTTAGGGAGATTACTCTCTCAGTAGGAAAACAGAATTCTAACCAGGTCTGTCTCCATAATGTTGCTCGTTCTACAATTAATTTCTCCCTAAACTGAACTCTCAAAAGGAATTTTTATTTTTTCTCTTAGGAAAATGAATCGATGCCCCAAAATTATTTTTAAAGCAATACAATGACATTCTTGGTTGCATATACAAAATCGATTGCCTTCTTTTTTTTTTTACCAATATAATCCCCACTTTGATTTTTGTTTCCTACAGCCCATGTCTCAAAGATGCTGATCCCACCCTCAGATCCAGAATGGGACAAACTAGCATATGAATATCACTTTCCTCTTGGCAGTGATTGGTTCAGAAATGGCCATGTGAGCCAATTCTGGTCAATAAGACTAGAGAATAGATTTGATAATGTCTTCTGGAAGCTTCTTTCTCAGTTTTAAGAAAGAACCACAAATAGTAGTCTCTCTCTCACTGAATGTGAATAAGAAAGAAAGCAGCCACAATGACTACTGATAGCCATCCCACCGTAAGAAGAGCCAGACTTAGGATGAAGCCAACCAGCCAACCCTGGGAATGTCACAGAAGAGAATGAGAGTAATGAGACATCACTTAATGACATCACTAAGACATTGGCTCAACCAACCCTGAGGAACACCCCCCACCTCTGGACTTCCTGCCTTGTAAGCAAAGAAATGTCATATGACGTTAACTGATTTGAATTAGGTTTTCTGTTTTTCACAGCTGAAAGCATCTTTAACTGATGCTGGGATTCACCACATTTCCTGCATCTGCAGAACTAGGCAATCATCATTCACATCTTAAATTATGGTCTGGAGGTACCACACACTCCTTAATCAACAAACAAAATGCAGATTTTGCAGGCGGTGAGTTCCGTGTGGTGCCATAAAGATGGCCACACATTCTTTGTCATTGGGAGGCCATTGAGAGTTGACATAAATTTCCCCTTCTCTTGAATCTGGGCTGGCCTTGTAGTTATTTTGACCAATAGAATGCAGTAGAAGTGACACTTAGTAATTTCCAAGGCTGACCCTTAAGAGATTTTTCAGCTTTTCTATGTGACTTGCAACACTTTCTTGAAACACAGCCACCATGCAAGACATCTACCTACCCTGTGGCCACCAGTCTGTGAAGAGCCCACACTAGCCATAATAAGAGAGACAGAAAGAGGGTCAGGGTGGAATAGCACTGAGGTACCAGATGTGGTAACACCTTTTGAAATGTAGCCAAGTGAAACCAGCAGAAGCAATATAGAACTGAATGACTGCCTAGTAGAGCCCTCTCCAAATTTATGACTCACAAATAAAATGGTGGTTGTTTTAAGCCACTAAATTGTGTGGTAGTTTGTTATATAACAATAGACAACTGGAACTGGAAGAAAACATAGAAACTTCTTTTTCAAAAGCTTCAATAGCAGTAGGAAAGCAAAAGCTTTCTGTGAACGCTTGTCTAAATACAAACTTCATTATCCAGCACACTCTCCTTCAAGTGCCTCAGTTAATCCCAGTTTTAAGGATGTGTGGCCGTGTTATAAGCTGCATATACACTGCACACGAGTGTCTATAAAGATGATGCTGCTTTATCCCATTCCTTTCTGCTTTTCCCTACCACAATTAGATCTCAGGTTCTTATCAAAGTTTTTAAAAGGCCAAACACAGTGGCTCATGCCTGTAATCCCAGCGCTTTGGGAGGCCAAGACAGGCATATCGCTTGAACTCAGGAGGTCAAGACCACCCTGGGCAATGTGGTGAAACCCATCTCTACAAAAAAATACAAAAATTAGACAGTGTGGTGCACACCTGTAGTCCCAGCTACTTAGGAGGCTGAGGTGGGAGGATGGCTTGAGCCCAGGAGGTAGAGGTTGCAGTGAGCCAAGATCACACCACTGCACTCCAATCTAGACAGCAGAATGAGACTCTGTCTCAAAAAAAAAAAAAAAAAAAAGGAAAAGAAAAGAAAAAAATGTATGTGAGAGGGTGATTGATGATCAAAGGGAGCCCACTTTCTTGGTCTCATGAACATTCTCCGTCAAAACACACACATATACAACCCCTAAGTGCCAGTTCTGATTAGACTTGGGTCTTACTATGCTTGGCTTGGCAGGATTGCACTATTGTTCAAACATTTGTCCCATAAAAAATCAGCAGAATTTGAATTAACCACTAGTTTCTTTTAAGCTGAGCTGACATTTTGAGCTACATTTATTTTAACTAGGGATTTATGACAGGAAAGGAATAGTTCTAATTAAATAAGTATTAGCCTCACTGTGAATAATGACCCCTTGGAAGTTTCCCAGTCCCCTAATAGCTAATTAACAGCTCATAACTGGGCTCTCTTTGTATCCCAAGGCAAGTGTGAAAAGGAAGACTTGACTGATTAATGAGATGGGCTCAAACCGGATTAAAAATGAAAATTGGCTTTACGGACTCCAGACCTGCAAATCTACTCTGCGTGAAAAGGAGAGATTATTTTTAAGGCATCCTGGGCGATCGCTGTGGGAAAAGGGAGCACACAGCCAAAGGCATTGATCTGTTAACGCTTTCCCTGTGACCCCTTTCACAGTGGCTGACAGAGGACCAGACAGCCAGCGGTGAGAGAGCTGGCCTCTCCATTGTCATGACGCCTATAGGCTTGGGGTGGAAAGCCAAATAGCCTTCATAAAGACTTGCTCTTCCTTTGTCATGTTTGTATTTCAGACAAATATTAAGGCAGACAGATGGCAAATTAGAAGTCAATAAATACCACTTTCCATCTCTGCCATTCCATTTTAGAATGTGTTAGAAGCCCTCCTCTTCTCCCTCAGTCAGAGGCTGGAGACTAGTTCTTCAATATTAAAGGAGATTGTGCTCAGCTTGCCTGAGGCAATCGCAAGCTGGTACCATGCCACCTCCCACATAACACTTTCTCTGGCACTTACCAGAAAGTGTTTTTGAATGGGCAGTTGTGGACTCTGGAAAAATGCTGCATGTATTTTCAGAGGCCCCTGTCTGCTGCAGATAGCTCCATCCCTTTCATGTAGCTTTTAGTTGCAGCCTCACTTGCTAAGCGCTCGGCAGGCCCCTACTTTTTTTCTCTGCTCGCGTACCCTGCCCCAAGAAACTTTAAAATACTACATAGAGCCAATATTTATTTGGCCAATAGAATTCCATTCAGTGCAAGGGAACTGCTTTCAGTCATCATGGGGAAGAGACAGGGGAGTACCCCAGATTACCATGAAATTTAAGTTCCTTCTCAGAGTAGCCAGCCCACTCCTACCCCTTTGGAACTGAGACTAGGTTCTAAGGTTGAGCCAGAGCAGGGCCACATTATAGGGGTGCTGATTTGGGGTCACCACAGAGCAGTTGTGGGTCTTTATCAAATAACTGGCCCCAAAACAGCAGATTAAATGGTGAGGGTGGAGGAAGAACAACTTCCTTTCTGAGCTTATAAGTAAGATTTATGATCTGCCATTGCCAGGAAATGGAATGTTACAACTAGATTGCCACTGAAGTTCAAAAACTTAAACCTATGTTGAATTTAACCTAATCTTTATTTGATGATTTTAAAAAGACATTTGAGACTCTAGGTGTTCTCAATTCTTCATAACAAATCTTTTGACAAAAGTGAGTAAGATCTAATTAACAGCTCAAAAGATCAGGAAGTCAAAAGATCAGAAACTTTACCAGCCTGTGTGCGCTATGCCTACCCTGCACCCTGGAAGGTTCCTAACCTTCCAATGGCTTTAGTTGCCTCTTTACCATCTGACTGAGCAAGGACAGGACCACAGCAAGGTAAAAGCATTTTCCCTCTCTCCCAAGAATATACCCTCCAATCTGTGCCCCTTGCTTTCTTCTACTGGTACCCCAAAATGGATCAGATATCAAGAACCATCAAACATTATACTACATAGCACAAAAACAAAATTAATACACTGCCCCCCACACAAATAAAAAAGTGTATAAAAAACACCTGGCCCTTATCTAATCTTTGCAAGGCTTAATGCCAAGAAAGGTGTTAACTCTCCAGGGAGGATGGAGACACACTAGATATCAGTTAATTAACACTCCCAGTAGGTGAACAGAAGTGCTCTCCTAGGCTGGAAAGAATCTCATTTTCTTCTAAAACTGTGACTTCGGACTGACACTTCAAAATTGTCAACAGTAACTTAAGGGATGAGAATGTCTCTTTAGTTATTTTAATCAGCAGCATGTACGGAGTGCACTTTGGTGCACATCTGTTTGTGGGAAGATAAAGAAATAACTACCATGTCTGTCCTGAAGAAGTTGATCAGGTTAAGTAGGACGTTAAGACTAACACAGATTACTCTGTAAAAGATACTGATAAACATGTAAAAATTAACATTACACTGTACACTGGTGTTGTGTGCATCTGGTATAAGAATGATCAAAAGTATGGACGTCTTTTAAATGTCAGCTGACATCTTCAAGGATGAGGACATTTTGAAACAGTGTATTGGAGGAAGTGGTAGAGTCAGACTAACAGCAGAGGGTGTGGAGCAAGGAAATCCTGTGCAGGGATGGCCAGAAAATCTGATGGAATCAGACAGTTAAGAGGTCTAAGGCTTCACAGAAGAAGAGATGGAGATAAAATTATAGCATTTGCAGTTACTAAAGTAATGAAGAGGAAAACAAAAATCAATAGCATTACTATCAAAAATTGGAAAGGGCATGGAGTAAAAGAAGACAGAATGATCTGAATTTTCACCTTTCACAGCAAGTAGACAATGAATGTTATTGAAAGTGAAGAAATCAAGAGACAAAACCATCAGCAAATTATTTACTGAGGTGACCACCGAAATGGCTAAAATTATAAATCATTAAAGAAAGGAAGTAGGGGAAGGGAGGACTCAAAATTGTCATTTTGAATTTTCCAGTACTGACTGATGTTTTACCACGTTTATGCATTACCTTGATAATTTTTAATGGACAGTGGCAGCCTCTGATCTTCCAAGTGCTTTCAAAATATCAGGGCATATTTTATCATATTTATGATAACCTCCAAAATATGCTAGGTATGGCTGGAAAAAACAAAACATAACTCCTCCAAAATCCAGTACTTCGTAAGAAAAAAGAAGCTTCAGGTGTTCTTTGTAAATTATTCATGCTAACCAAGTCTCAGTATAGGTTGCCTAATGACTGATAATATATTTTGATACCTTCACTCTTCTTATTTCATTTTCAAGGGCTACTGGTTGTAGCCAGATACTAAAACTGGGCACTTTCAGTTACAGAAAAATTATCAGCACTTACAGGGGACTTGGAAATACCGTTGTCCTAAAATCCTTTATTCTCATTGTTAAATCACTAAGTCTAAAGTGAATCAGAGTTTTTCATTTTCCCAAGGTCCACAAAAAGTTGATCTAATATTTGGTTTCTCATCATTGTCTTATCTTCCAATTGTATTACATTCCCAGATGACCAAATCCTAGGATGTAAGAGTCTATTTTAGGGCTCATCTGGTTCAGTTTCCTCATTGTAAAGTTGAGCAAACTAGGACTCTTAGGGCTTGGTGACTTGCCCATGGGCATGAACAAATTAATAAACCTACCAGCTGTCCTCTCTCTGGCCCTTCTTTTAAAATGTTATGATATATGGTTTAATAACAACCTTGGCCAGGACTTTTGATTCCTATAATTCTCTTCCACTGACTTTCCCCTACCCCAGTGAAATCTTAGGTAGAAACTTCTTAAGAACAGTAAAAAATTACCTTTACCACAATAAAGACGTGAGTCATGTACCAAAATTTCTCTCCCACCCATCACTTCTTAGGCGCTTAGTCTTAAAGCATCATTTTTATTCTTTGAAGGCAAAACAGCCTTTAAGGGTTGGATATTCTTAATTCAGTCAATGTGGGAAGGGGGAGGTGAAAAAGGAACTCTCTGAGGATAATCACAATGAGAACAAAAGCTTATCCAAATTATGCAATGCATTATAATTATGCTATAAAATTGCTCTTCAGCCGGGGTGTCAATGGAGAGCATTACAATTTTTAAATAGTTCTGTTCTTGATGGGAATTCTTGATCATTTGAGGTGTTCACGTGTGTGCATGCACATTTAGACAAACCATGGAGCTAAAAGCATCCAGAATTTTGCTATCCTTCCCCCACAATTAAAAAAAAATTAAGAAAAGGCAAAAGCAACAACAATAACTCTATATGTACATGTAGGCATTGTCTTTATGGTGGGATCCTTGAGAAGGAAGAACTGTGGCTCTAAAATCAGCACATCTGAAGATGTCCAGGGCTGCTGGGAGCTGTTGGTTTAGAGTGTATTTGCCCAAAGCTGTCAGTCCTCCTGCAGATGAAGCTCACTGTGCAGAACAAGCAGTTGAGTGTGTTCCAAAAGTGAATAGGAGAGAATGCTAGAAACGAAGGGATCAAAGTAGAAGAAGGTGTAAAGCATTGATGTTTTCTAAGTAGCTGTCTCTCTCAGAACAGCACTATGCTGGGCATTTTTGAAAGCACAAGAAAGCAAAGACTTTTCTTATTTATAGAATTGAGGAAACCAATGGTTTTAGCTACTGGCTCTTGGCATGCCTATAATAAGAGAGTCATGATTTACAAAGATACTATTTTTAAGAGTTGTTCTGAGTTTTAAATTCCTACTTTAAGATCTCTCATTTTTCTCTTCCTTACCTTAAACGTTAACTGAATTGGCTATTTTTTTTTTTGATGTTCATGTTTTTGTTCTTGTACATAAATGGTTCCCAACCTGGCTTCACATTAGAATCCCCTGGGAATCTGTAAAAAAGTAATGCCTTCCCCCAAGACCAATTATATAAGAATCTTTCAGTCTGAGCATCAGTATTTAGAAAAGCTCCCTAAATGTTTCCAAAGGGCACTCCTGAGTGAGAACTCCTGCTATCGACAGTATAACAAGATCATTCTGTAGAAACTTTAGTGAAAATCAGTTTTGCCTATTAATTTAGTCAAAAGTTCTGAGTATGTGAACAGGCCCCATGTGGGACATAAAACCAACTGTACCTATTTCAAGACCTGTAGATGCCAGTGGATGACTTCAGAGAGTCTGTAGAAAATTCCAGAATTTAGTCACTTCAAGTCTGGGACCCATTTTATTTATTTATTTATTTATAGAAACAGACAATGCATTCTGGATTGTCTGTGGTAAGCATTACATTTGTGCCTCACCATGTAGTTTTCCAAGAGTTTCTTTTGTCAAAATCTTTTCCCAGAGACTGACCAAAACTTCTACCCACTCACAATGGCCCTGGAACTCCTTTTGCAAAATAGGTATGTTCTAGCTGGGCCTATCTGGTAACAGATATAATGCATACTTGACCAGAGTCTAAAATTTAGAACTAGATTGGCAGTGTTTGCTATCAAGAAGAGGGACATAAGCTCATGTGCTATCAGTCACTGCCTTCAGTGACATTTCTTTCCCTACCTTGACTCTGAAAACTAAGTCCACACTGAGTGCAGGATGGCTAATGCTGAGATTAGATGAGGGCAGAGGGCCAGGAGGACAGCGTGGAGGACCAAGGTCAGCAGCATGAAATGGTAACTCATGGTGGCATTCTCTGTGTGAGTGACCATGAACACCTGAACTTTAAATGTGTGTATTAGAATCTTCCTTTGGAATTTAATTTCTTGACATATATTTTGTCTATATATACATATATATAATTTGTTGAGAATATATGCCAGGAAAAACACTCAATGGAAACTAATGCTGTCTAACTTGAAAAGTAAAGGCCGGGTGTGGTGGCTCACAGCTGTAATCCCAGCACTTTGGGAGGCTGATGTGGGTGGGTCACCTGAAGTCAGGAGTTCAAGACCAGCCTGGCCAACATGGTGAAACTCCGTCTCTACTAAAAACACAAAAAATTAGCCAAGCATAGTGGCAGGTGCCTGTAATCCCAGCTACTCCGGAGACTGAGGCAAGAGAATTGCTTGAATCCAGGAGGCAGAGGTTGCAGTGAGCCAAGATCACGCCATTGCACTCCAGTCCGGGCAACCAGAGTGAAACTCCATCTCAAAAAAAAAAAAAAAAAAAAAAAGAGAAAAAAAGAAGAGAGAGAGAGAAAGAAAAATAAACTTTTGGAAAGCCCATCAGTACGTTAGAGAATTGACAGAAAGCTAAAAGCCCTAGGCTCAGAAAACACAAGCAAGGCGTGTTATGTATGATGCCTTGCTGGCATCATCACTTCTAGACATTTGCTGTCACCATTTCTGGCCCCACTGCCACTGGACACTCACCATTACTATTTGCCCCTGGACTCTGAATTCCATCACAACTGTGAATAACCCCAACAGCGCCATCAAAAGTAGTGTGTTTGCTAAATGGAAGTTAGAATTGGGACCATCCGTGAAAACATAAACCATAGATTATAAGTTCCTTGAGCTCAAGGAACAGGCCATGTCCACCTCTCCACCATTAAAACACTGCCTTGCCTAAAATGGTGTTCTGTAAATATTTGTGAATAAACCAAAGAAAAAGAAATGAATTGACATGACATCATATGACATGGAGTGACAGCATGAAATGCAGACAACAAATGATGAGAAGCAAAACATTATCACAGAGTAATTTCTGTGCTGAAAATTTTAGACCTAACAACTTAGGAGTTTCAGACAATGGGTAATCATTTTCTTCATCCAGCCTTCAATTTCTCTATGGTAAAATAAGCATGAGAACTGCCCTGTCCCTGTCATGGGGTTGGTTGTTTCAAGACTAGAATAAGTACTTTGAAAACGGAAGTGCAATGTTTTATAGGATAGAGCTCTAAGGGTTTTAAATAAACTCCTAGTAAGAGATACCAATCAGAGACCCTAAAGCAACCCCACTCCCAACACTCGAATGTCAGAGTCCCAACTTGGAGAGAGATTGCCTGTCATAGGTAGTCTACAAGCTGGTTGCTTCCTATCTTTGTGTTGCAATGGGGATTTCTTAAGGAAGTTCTCAGCTAGACTGGTGTGAACACAATGAAAGGAGAAGAGTAAGAACTGGGCAATTTATATGCAAGAGGTTTTATTTCCCATGGTGTCTGAACAAAGTTAACTCCTTCATACATCCTACAACTCAGAGCTGAACTGAGATATTCAGCCCAAAACCTTGACTTTTACAGGCGGTCAGCAATTAGAGGTAAACAATTTGGTATATGTATTCAATATTAAAGGGCTACAAAAGTCATAAGCTTTTTGAGGACAGGGAATATTTTTCTTTTTTTTTCTTTCTTTTTTTTTTTTTTTTTTTTTTGAGCCAGCTTCTCGCTCTGTCACCCAAGCTGGAGTGCAGTGGTGCAATCTCAGTTCACTGCAACCTCGACCTCCAGGCTCAAGCAATCATCCCACATCAGGCTCCCAAGTAGCTGGGACTACAGGCATGTACCACCACACCCAGCTAATTTTTATATCTTTTTTGTAGAGACTGAGTTTCACCATGTTACCCCAGCCAAGCTGGTCTCTAACTCCTGGACTCAAGGGATTCACCCGCCTTGGCCTCCCAGAGTGCTGGGATTACAGGCATAAGCCACTGCACCCAGTCGGGAATATTTCTTATATGTGTGTATTTTTTTTCTTCCAGCACTTTAAATAAGTCCTAACATATAAGTTTTTAATAAGTGTTGCTGAATTAACATGAATAAATAAATATGTGGATATATATGGTCTGATATAGAATCATTTCCTTAACCAGAGCTGCCAATATGCAGCATGAGTGGGCACACATAAACTATTAAAAAGCGAGCTAAGAGATGGTGAATAAATAAGAAAACAAAGATTAAGAGAACTCCATCCTCAAACTATTGAAAATGCCCCTCTGGGTTACCACTGATATTCTTATGCATCGAATCACCCTCTGATCACTGGTTTAAAAAGAAATAATTTCCCTAGGCATCACACCTCGTCCTGGTGAAAAACTTAAGTACTACCTATTGCGAGGGTTATAGAGCGAAAGAATGAAAAAGATTTTCAGAAGACAGGTACTTCAGTATGACATCCTGCATTTGTATTTTACCTTTTACTTTTTCAAAGTGTGTTCACTGTACCATTTCCCAACAATCCTCAACACAAGCTGATGAAGTGGATAAGATTTTTATCTACATTGAAATACACAAACCAGCCGGGCGTGGTGGCTCATGCCTGTAATCCTAACACTTTGGGATGCTGAGGCAGGCAGATCACTTGAAGTCAGGAGTTCAAGACCAGCCTGGCTAACATGGTGAAACCCTGTCTCTACTAAAAATACAAAAATTAGCCAGGCATGGAGGCATGCACCTGTAATACCAGCTACTCGGGAGGCTGAGGCACAAGAATCACCCGAACCCAGGAGGTGGAGGTTGCAGTGAGCCGAGATCACTCCAGTCTGGGTGACAGAGCGAGACCTGTGAAAGAAAGAAAAGAAAAAAGAAGGAAGGAAGGAAGGAAGGGAGGGAGGGAGGGAGGGAGGGAGGGAGGGAAGGAGGGAGGGAAAAAGGAAGGGAGGGAGGGAGGGAGGGAGGGGAGGGGAGGGGAGGGAGGGAAGGGGAGGGGAAGGGTGAAGTGACTCATCCACAGTTACGCATCATTATGAATAGAAAGAACCAGGACAAGATGGGCCTTGTGTCACCACAGTGAAGACTCTGAACTCCTGTCAGTCATCCTGTGTGACTTTTCCTCTACCCCTAAAGGTTCAGGTGAGTTGCCCACAGTGGGCACAGCTGATCTGACAGCTCTTAGCTGGGGCTGATGCTGAGACTCTGGCTGAGAAATGTTACTTTCAAGCAGACTGAACAGAAAGTGCTATTTCTGAATTGCTATCTTAGGGAGGGGATGTCAAATGAAATGTAATTTCCGAGGTTCTGGGTTTTGTTTTGTTTTTGTCAACTCAGGCAGGAGAGATGTTCTGTACCACGGAAGGAGCAGGGAAGGAGGAAGGGAGGCTGGCAGCATGAGAATAGACCATTCCAATTAAATTCTACAAAGTGAGAACTGTGCAGAGCTGCTAGAGGTGAGTAAACTTTCTTGAAAAGAGATGCAAATTGGAAAATTTAGAGAGAAACAACAATAGATGTTGGTGTAGGGACTCTACTCAACCCATGTGGTTTGTTCACACTGACCACACGTAGGAATGCTGGCCACTCAAATAAACTTTGGACCCTAGATTCCCCTTTACTTGAACTTCATGGAAAAGGTGACATGAATAGAGGAGGGAAGAGCTAACATATATTACCAACTGATCAGCAGAGACAAACGTCACAGCCATCTCAACTGTCAAAAGGTTTATTAACAGATTTGGGAAAATAAAGAGAAGCACATACGAAACAGAACAATTCAAGCCAATGAGTAAGCAAGTGCTTTGGGCTATACACAGGACCAAAGTTCTCGATATACCGTAAAGGGAGGGGTGACGCTGGGATCTTCACCTAGATCATGTCACACAGTCATGTGTTCTGAGAGAAGAGTGGAATTTTCGCAGAGGAGAAGTTGTTAATGGCTGCACTAATTTCCCAGGAATCATGACAAACTGGTTTATTTTTCCCCAAACAGATTTTTCAATTAGTAAAAACTAAATAATACAGCTCCCCCAAAATGGACAAATGACATGAACATTTTTTTATAAATTATCCAGTGATTGAAAATAATATCAGCAACTTAAGTACAAATTAACAATAAGAAAATGGCAGGGGCTGGGCACAGTGGCTCACGCCTGTAATACCAGCACATTGGGAGGTCAAGGAAACAGGATCGCTTGAGCCCAGTTCAAGACCAGCCTGGGCAACACAATGAAACCCTGTCTCCACAAAAAATACAAAAATTAGTCAGGCATGGTTGCATGTGCCTGTGGTCCCAGCTATTAGAGAGACCAAGATGGGAGGATTGCTTGAGCCCGGGAGTTTGAGGCTGCAGTAAGCTGAGATCACCTCACTGCAGCTGCAGTGAGCCAAGATCATACCACTGCATTCTAGCCTGGGTGACAGAGTAAGATACTGTCTCAAAAAAAAAAAAAAAAAAAAAAAGGCAGGGCTGACATTTCTCCTTTCATAGTACAAGCTCTTCATCAGCTTCAATAGGAGGTAAGCAGAAGGATGACTTTTTCAGATATGACAGGGTATCAACAAAGTTTTGAAATTATTGAAAATGAAATAATATTTGAGATATAAATTTATATCTATTATTAACAATGAACCATGTCCTTAAGTGAATACTTTTCCTTGAGACCTGAGCTAGTAAAAATACTAAGACATCACAATTAGCATATTTTAAAAGACTGTTTATTTTATTTTTTATCTCACCTTTTACAATTCCTTTTAGCTGGGCACCATGGCTCAAGCCTACATAATCCCAGCACTTTGAGAGGCTGAGGCAGGAGGATTGCCTGAGGCCAGGAGTTCAAGACAGGCCTGGGCAACATAGCAAGACTCCATCTCTCAAAAAATAAAGATAAAAAATAAATTAGCCAGGTGTGGTGGTACATGCCTGTAGTCCCAGCTACTCTGGAGGCTGAAGCAGGAGGATTGCTTGAGCCCAGGAGTTTGAGGCTGCAGTGAGCTATGATCACACCACTGCATTCCAGCCTGGGCAACAGAGGGACTCTTACTCTAAAAAAAAAAAAAAAAAAATGAATAAACAAAAGTTAGTAATAAAAAAATAAAATTTATCTCATTTCTACATGGTGTTTTAAAGCAGTTGTAGGTATATATTTTAGAAAATGAATAAACACATATACTAGGAGATGTGCTGAAAAATGCTCCTCTGACAGAGGTAAGGAATCAGAAAAGCAGAGATCATTGGCTTCATAGTGAAGCAGCAGAAATTCAGAAGGCAATCAGTCAGTTGAAGTCGGTGCTAGAGTTTCATAGAATTTGGATTTGAGGTGCATAGAGATGGTGAGTCCAAGTGAAAGAAAAAGTGTCAACAAAGGCACGAAGAAAAGAACGTTAGAGACAGATATGACTACTCTGGGGCTGGCACTGGGAGGAATAAAGGTGTAATAGTTCACTTTGGGACATACTTGCCTCCTAAAAACCGGAAGTCTCCTAGGCTTTCATCATCTCCTGGTCTCACCCTCAATTTTGTCTGTCCCTAGCCTCAGCTATCGCCTCTGAGATGAGCCCCACAGACATATCTTTATATCAAGGCTGTCTTTTCCAGGTGCCAGCTGGATAGCTCCTCACATCTCCCTGACTCCTCACATTCCACAAGTTCAAAACATTTCATCAGCCTGAACCACCCCTTCACCAGTCTCCATCCTCTGACATCCTCTCCCTTTGCATTACAACCATGTAAAGGGATCTGTTGGACAAGTGTCTGTTTATTGTCCCTAAAGCTACTTTTTATACGTTTTTCATGAGGTAAAGCTATTATTATTTAACAAATATTTATTGAATATCTACCATGTGCCAGGCACTGATAAAGATATCCTGACTACATCAGTGGGGAAAACACACAATGATCCCTGATAAAGAAAAAGAAGAACATCTAAGTTTAAAATAATAAATCTACAGGTAAAATGAAATGCCAAGTCCACCAATTACCTGATCTACAAGAAAGATTTCTGTGAGACACTCGGCAACAACATCTGTTATTTTACAGGAGTAATATCCTGATGTTTGGAGTCAAACAGGTCTGGGTTCAAATCCCAGCTCAGTCACTAAGTTTAGCCTCTTAGGCAAGTTACCTGCAGCCTGCTTCCTCATCTGCAAAATAGGCCTAAAAATACAAAATTGGGGTGTTGTAGGTTTCTATGAAATAATACATGTAAGTACTTTACACATAGTTGGTGCTCAATGTTAGTTTTTCTTTAATAAATATGCTCATGTTGGTTTCACTGAGAAATGGTGCGTGTGTGTGTGTGTGTGTGTGAGACATACAAATAAATCAAGTTGAAGAGATAACGTGGCACGGGGGAGCTGAAGGACGAGGTCCTACCCAACCACTGCTGCCTCCTCTATGGAAGCTTCTCAACTTCCCGGTCAGAATTCACTTTTCCTGGGCCCAGGAATTATTTCTAGACCACAGTGATTTTTACTGCGGTGATGTCTATATCTTCATTGCTACAATTCTTGAAGGCAGTGTCTTACATTTCATGTCCCCTTCAGCACCCAATACTGTGCCAACCACAAATATTAGCCTTGTGGAATTCAGGTAGCTAATCATGTCCTAGCAAGACATTTTATAAAACTAGATGAAAGAATAATGGCATAGGTCATGTATTAGTCGCCTTGGGCCTCCATTACAAAATGCCACAGACCAGGTGGCTTAAACAACAGAACTTTATTTTTTCTCATTTCTGGAAGCTGGGAAGCCCAAAACCAAGGTGCTGTCAGAGTTGGTTTCTAGTGAGGGCTGTCTCCCTGGCTTGCAGATGGCCCGCTTCTTGCTGTATCCTCCCATGACCTTTCCTCCATGGGAACAGCAGAGAGGGAAGGCTCTCTGGTGTCTCATCCATTTCTTATAAGGATCCCAGTCCTATCGGAGTAGGGCCCCATTCTTATGACCTCATTTAACCCTAATTACTTTTTCTTTTTTTTTAGATGGAGTTTTGCTCTTGTTGCCCAGGCTGGAGTGCAATGGCGTGATCTTGACTCACTGCAACCTCTGCTTCCTGGGTTCAAGCAATTCTCCTGCCTCAGGCTCCTGAGTAGCTGGGATTACAGGCGTGCGTCATGTCTGGCTAATTTTTGTATTTTTAGTAGAGACGGGGTTTTACCCTGTTGACCAGTCCGGTCTCGAACTCCTGAACTCAGGTGATCCGTCCGCCTCAGCCTCACAAAGTGCTGGGATTACAGACGTGAGCCACTGTGCCTGGCCAACCTTAATTACTTCTTTAAAAGGCCCTGTCTTCTAATACGGCAGCATTGGGAGTTAGGGCTTCAACATATGATTTGGGGAGAGACAATTCAGTCCGTAACAGGTCCTTACCTTTATTTTCATCTGCAAAAAGAAATGTTAATTAAAGGGAGAGAGAGATTTGTTGTCCCTGATCTCGTAAAACTCACATCTATCTTCATCTATCAAGACTTGAAGACAAGGTTAGAAATGAAGAAAGAGGCAGGAAATAATGAGGAGCCCCCTCATGCAAATTGTTTCATTAGGGAAGAAAAACTAGTAATCAGGGAATTAGGAGTCTAGAGCTTAATGCCAACAAGGCCATTTACTTACTATGCACTAATCTCAGGCAATGCATCTAGCCTGTCTTCATTTTCTATTCTATAAAATGAGGTTAAGATTTCCCGCTACAAAAAAGATTCTGTGATTCAAAAATAAGGTAATATTTTCCATTTTAAATAATATGCTTTCCCCTTATTAATGTTTTCACACTCACTGTCTTTGAAAACATACTTAATCTTGGTTATTTTTACATTGTTTAATGCTTGATGTGAATTCACACCCTAAACACAATCCCTTTGTGTTTACTTTCTCTTCTTTACAATGCCCAGTATTTGAGCATAAATTGTTACTCTTGTCCCTGACCAGTTGAGAAGGTACATCTCTGATTTCTCGCCAGAGTGAGAAATAAAATATTGTAGTGTACTGCTCCCCAATGTCTTTCTCCTGTTTGAACCTCATCTACCTGAAATTTTATCTTTCTGGACCTTCCCTTCACCAGAAAAGTACAATTCCTAGGCAGCATTTCCTGAGCAAAACAGATGTGGACTGCATTCTTCAGTGAAGCTCAATGTGGCACTCCATTCTGGTCCCTGGATATAATTTAAGTTAACTTCACAACAGCCAACCAAAGTAAAAAAGGTGGGGATATACTCAGTAGTCCTGTTCACCAAGTTTTCCATCTCTCTGCCTGCCTTTTGGGCACATTGCAGGATTGCACATCCTGGTCACTCTAGGATTGGATGTGGCCATGAGACTAGTTGTAGCCAATGAGGAGAAGTGACTGGTATCACCTCTGGGGCTAGTATTGAATTGTAGGACCATCTGAGGGCACTCTTCTCCTCTGCCCTTGGCGATCAACAAAGATCAGCTAGTGACTGCTCTGATAGATTGGGTCATGGAGTGAGGACAAAGAGCAGAGAGTCTACCCATCTCCCCAAGTCCCTCTTTCTCCAGCACAGGGTGGACATATACCTTGAGAGAAAAATAAACTTTTTTGAAGGTAAAATTACAAACATTTGGAGGTTGTTTGTAACTGAGGCAAAACTTAGTCTATCCAACTGATGAAGATGACTACTATGGGCTCTAACCCTTTCCTACATTCTTATAATCTGAAAGATACAGCCCCTCCACCTTGGACAGCACAGCCCCACACACGTGGTTGTTCAAGTGCACACAACTAAATCTTTCAAGAGAAAATAGACTCTCAAGTTCAGTTAAAATACAAATATTCTCAGAACTCAGTTACCCAAATCCAAATTTGAAGTGTTCCATCATTTGAGATTCTGTAATTTGAGGGCCTTGTACTAGACCTGTGCTGTTCAACATGGTAGCCACCAGCCACCTGTGCTATGAAGTACTTGAAATGTAGCTAGTACAACCGAGGAACCAAATGTTTAATTCTACCTAATTTTAATTAGTTTAAGGTTAAAGTCAATGTAAAAGATTTTATTAATAATTCTTGATTACATGTTGAAATGGTAATATTTTGGCTATATTGAGCTAAATGAAATATATTCATAAAATTAATTGTACCTGTTTCTTCTTACTCCTTTTAATGTGGCTACTAGAAAATGTAAACTTGCATATGTGTGCCTGCCATTCTATTAATATTTCTAAATTTTAATTTTTTAATGTTTTAATTTTTTTTGAGATGGAGTTTTGCTCTTGTTGCCCAGGCTGCAGTGCAATGGCATAATCTCGGCTCACTGCAACCTCCACCTCTCGGGTTCAAGCGATTCTCCTGCCTCAGCCTCCTGCGTAGCTGGGACTACATGCATGCGCCACCATGCCCGGCTAATTTTTGTATTTTTAGTAGAGACAGGGCTTCACCATGTTGGCCAGGCTGGTCTTGAACTCCTGACCTTAGGTGATCCACCCGCTTCAGCCTCCCAAAGTGCTGAGATTACAGGCATGAGCCACCACACCTGGCCTTAATATTTCTATTGAATGATACCGGTCTAGAACCTAGTCCTCAGGGTTGTAAATCTTCATTCAAGTCCTGCTTTTCTATTTTCCAGTCCTATGTAAAACTATGTTGTCAACTCCCTTTAGTTTCTAGAGGAGTGAGTTTTCTCTTTTTTCTTTTTTTCTTCTGGAGATGGAGTCTCCCTCTATCACCCAGGCTGGAGTGCAGTGGCGTGATCTCAGCTCATTGCAACCTCCACCTCCCGAGTTCAAGTGATTCTCCTGCCTCAGCCTCTCAAGTAGCTGGGATTACAGGCGCACACTGCCATGCCCAGCTAATTTTTGTATTTTTAATAGAGACAGGCTTTCACCATGTTGGCCAGGCTGGTCTTGAACTCCTGACCTCAAGTTATCCACCTGCCTCGGCCTCCCAAAGTGCTGGGATTACAGGTGTGAACCACTGCGCCCAGGCTGAGTTTTCCCTTTCTAGCCCTAGAAATCCCTAATTCATTAAAGGTTGAAAGAAGTGTTTCCCCTGTTTCCCTAAGTCCTGACGAGCTCTCCCCTAGGGAATCCTACTGTGCCACTGTTCTCTCTGAAGCCAGCTTTCTCGGTCCTGCTGACAGGCCTTCTCCAACTTCCTTCTTGAATTGTTGTATCCTAGTTTCTTGCTTCCCTGTGTCTCTGTCTTTTTAAACCACCAAAGTGTCCTGGTTGGACATCATTTGCATTTACATGCTGACCCATTACTCTGAGACATCTCCATTATGTTTTCATTTAACAAGGAAATTACTAAAGATCTCTGTATTTATTGTAGGGGCCATAAGAAGGATGATGCATTGGGAAGAGCGCCTATCAGCTCACCACTGGGTTTTAGGAAAAGGATGCACTTGGCTTAATCTATTGCTTTTCTTGGGTGATCTCTGGGAAGATGTTTCTCCTGGCCACAGTCTCCCCTGTTAGAATGGCTGGTCGTAAAATATTTCTACCGGACAATCATGGGATTCAGTGACATCGCCGTAGGGTCTGTTCATTGATTTCCCCTGGAGCTCTTCACAATCAGAGTTTAAAAGATCTTCGATGATTCAAAGCCTGAACACTAGAAGAAGCTCTCAGGATCTTCCAGGCCCGGGGAGGAGCTAGCGTGATGAAGGCCTAGACTCCTTTCATTACCCTTCTTTGCATCAGATATTTATCTGGCCTTTGGTGCTGCCCCTCTGAATGTTAAGTAGCTGACCCAGTGTCATATTCTTAAAAGGCAAGTAAAACATCCCCCAACCGTGGCCTAGAGCCTACCAAAGGCCACTGATGGTACAGCAAGATATTTTCAAATCCTGCAAAGATCAAACAATTCTTCTACGGTTGCTCCGACAGCCGCAGAAAAACTACCCCCCACCTCCCCAAGCTAACTTCCTGACCCCAAAACCCAGAGTCTAATCACTGAGCCAATAGCTTTAAGTTTGGGGTTTTGACAGCTACGGAAAGCCAGGCTGCAGAAAGGTGGCTTCCAGACAAGGGCAGAGGAGGCTGCACGAGAGGTTCTGCAGGCTTACTTACTTTTAATCTGCTAGGTTCTTCTAATCTGCTTGCTGCTGCTTTGCATATATTTATGGTTTGAGTGCCTTCTCATTCCAACTCTTGAAGTGAATTAGTCCCAGGGATTGAAGTCAGGGAGGCTTCTCTTGCATGAACTAATCAGCAGGGCAGGACCTGAGTGTACCTTGCATGGTCTCTTTCCCAAACTGGGGGCTTCCAGAATAGAGGCTGACACAGATCAGGCTCTGAATCTGGATAGAGATTCAAACCCAAATAGACAGCACCAAGCTTCAAGCCAAATACAATTGTGAATAAAATAAATAAGTGAAAGTAATGGATGAATATTTTTATGTTGATAGGTATCACCAAGCTTATGCTCTCAGCTCAATGGCCTGGCCACACACTGCTTAAACCTCCGGGCTTGGAGACCAGAGCTGTCCCAGAATGCAGTGAGCGTGTATGTTCTACACCGCTGGCCTCGACCATTGCATATAAACACAGGTTTCACTCAAGCTGTTCTGCAAAGGAATATAGGAATGCAGGTTATTTACCAGTGAAAGAGTGTTTTAAGTGTGTTTAGAGGTGTAGACTGCGGTGGTTTTGCATATGTGAGGTAACCAATCATAGGATATGATTTTAAGGTCCAGAGCATGCTAGGGTTCTACCCACACTACTTCCCATTCATGAAATAGCTGATGCCTGAAATGCCCTGTGACCTTTACAATCATTTGGCTTAAGGGTAAGAATATTTCTAGAAGGAACAGTTCATTAAAGCTTATTAATTACCTCTAGAATAGATGATCCTATAGTATCAAATTCCTGAGAACTGTTTTGGAGGAAGAAAGAACAAAGGTTTAAGGTGCCTGAGGAGATATTTTAGAAAGAGAAATGGGTACAGTGAGTTCCCCTCACTTTTCTGCATCAGACCAGCTCTGGGTGAAGATGAGAATTGGAGAGGCAGGAAGAGAGGGGAGCAAGGGAATTGGGCAGTATGGATGACCTCGAGTTCCGCCTTCTCTTTCCTGCCCAGTTGCCCTTCACTTCAGCCTGCATGTTGCTGGAGCATAGACGCCAGACTGGGTTTGGTTATCTTTGTCACCTGGAGGGGAAGGGGGTGTGGTTTTATTTTAACACGGCTTCCTTTGCTGCTTGGGTGTTGCTCTCACAAGTGTTAACTTGCCCTGTTTGTTGGAACCGAGTAGTTGCTCCCTAAGCCCTTGTATTTCAGCAGAAAGAAGAAAAAAGCATCTCTTTGAAGGGAAGGTGGGTGAAAAAGAAAGCCACATTAAAAAGCCAGCCCGTGTTAAATTTGGGCTTGCTCCTATTTGTAAGAGGTTTAAAAATACCCTGGGCCCTTTTCTGCTTTTGCACGCTTATTTAGCAGTTTGCCCCCATTTCCAAGCAGCCCCTTGTAAAGGCGCTTCCTCTGCTCGTACACCAGCTGAGAGCTTTTGTACCTGTTCTCTGAAAGATTCAGTGGCTCTAGAAACTCCTGTTAGAAGCTTGAAGACTCTGGCCCCAGCTAGGAAAGAAGATCTGACTTCAAACATGAGAAACACTAATGAAGAATTCTTCATCCTGCTCCACCCACCCCAGCACACGCCCCAATCAAACAAACCTAAACCCACACTTCAGGGGTGTGTCCCCGCCACCCCCAGCTACTTATTCAAAGATAAGTTGACTTAATTGTTGTTGTGAGAGAATGGTGAAGTGTGCTTATTCCATGTGGGGTGGGGGTTTAAAACAGTTGAGCAAGTCAGGGAGCCATGGAGCTCTTCCTAGGAAATAAAATCCTTTGTGTGTCCTATAGGAATGAGTTTTAAAATCTGGTGCTCAAAATGGAACAACAAATGGGAGCAGACACCAGTAAAGAATGGGTTAAATATAATATGATGTAACCATAAATAGATAACTGAACAGTTGCAAAAAAAAGAATGAGGAAGCTTTTTGGGCACTGACATGGAACAATTACCAAGAGATATTAAGTCACACAAAAGCGAGGTATGGCACAATGTGGATAGCCTGCTGCTGCTGTATAAAATATCTCCCCTATACACACAGATTATCTAAAATCCACAAGACAGGATAAATTTTACACTGGCTCCCAGTGCCCTAGAAGGTTTGAGCCCCAGGTCTCCTCAAGTGTAACCTTCCCAATATTGGCCTTATTGACTTTCTTCCTCTTCCTTTCCTCATTCTCCTATCAGATTAGTTGCCTTTGGGAGGGAAACTTCATGCCTGGGGAACCAGGTCAGAAAGACATTTCATGGCCTATCTTTTTGTACTCTTTGCATTTTAAAATGTAAATGTGTTGCCTATTTAGAAAATAATAATATGGTTTAAATTAGGTGGTCAAAAGCTTAATGGAGTAGCAAGCCTAATTCTGGGGGTGCAAATCTCCCACCTGCCAATGGCAAATCTGGTTAATCCAGCCAGCAACCATCCCCTAGGCAGCCTAACAGCCTAGTGGCAGCAGGTACAACCTGCAGATTATCTTCAGAGGAATGTGGCAGCCTGTGAAGCACTCTGCTTTCTGAACCTGCACCTTTCAAATAGACTCCAGGATCATGCCAGGCTGGGTCAATTTCACCAGGCTGTCAACATCCCATAGCACAAATCTTAACATATAAATGAATTGGACTTCACAGGTTCTCAACTGACAAACTTTCTGGGAAAGGATTTTGGTCAGAAAGTTCATGAGCTTCTGGGTAATTCAAAATAAAACAAAATATACTATTGATTTTTCTAACTGTAAATTTAAGACTTGTTCAATGCAGATTACTTAAAGAAAAAAAAAATACACAAGGGCCAAGAATTCTCCTCACTGAACATGTTATTGGGGTCATCGCTTCATGGCAATGTATAGAGGTTGATATGGTTTGGCTGTGTCCCCACCCAAATCTCATCTGGAATTGAAACTTCCATAATTTCCACATGTCGTGGGAGGTGATTGAATTACGGGGACGGGTGTTTCCCATGCTATTCTCGTGACAGCGAATGAGTCTCACAAGATCTGATGGTTTTAAAAAGGGGAGTTTCCCTGAACAAGCTCTCTTCTCTTGTCTGATGCCATGTGAGATGTGCCTTTCACCTTCCACCATGATTGTGAGGCTTCCCCAGCCATGTGGAACTGTAAGTCCATTATATACCTCTTTTATAAATTGCCCAGTCTCAAATCTGTCTTTATCAGCAGCATGAAAGCAGACTAATACAGAGGTCGTCTTCTTGTTGTTTATAGCTGCATAGTATTCCACTGAGTGGACCTTCCATTGCCTTATTCAACCAATTTCCAAGCTTTTGCTATTATAAACAATGCTGCAATGTATAGTCACATATAAAAGTATTTGTGTAGTTTTACAACATATTTTTGGATAGATTCCTAGAAGTTGGATTACTGGATCAAAGGGAAAATGCATATGTAATTTTACTAGATATATCAAATTCCCATTCATGAGGCTTATGCCATTTTACATTCCCACTAGCAATGTATGGAAGCATCTATTTCACCACAGCCTCACCAACAAAATATGCTGTCAATCTTTTAGATTTTTGTCAGCCTGACAGGAGAGAATATTGTATCTCAATGAAGTTTGAAAGTGTATTCACTGAAAGTATGGTTGAGAGTCTTTTCATATATGCAGGATCCATTTTCCTTTCTTTTTCTGTGAACTCTCTGCTCATATTTCCAACCCATTTTTCATAGATGTGTTGGCTTTTTTCTTCTATATTTTTTGAAGCTCTTTACATATTATGGTTATTAACTCTTTGTGCTATAAGTTGCAAATGTTTCTTCCCAGTTTCTATAGCCTTTCAAAATACATATATTGTTAACCTCAGATGAAGAAACTAAAGGATAAAAGATTTAAGGATGCTTCCCAAGGCCATGAAATAAAAGCTACACACATTTCATTGATAACAAATTGTAGGTGCACAGTAGTTAATGACAAGAGGTCCCTCTGCAGACTCTGTCTGGATAGCAGTACATTTAGACTCAGAGCTCCAGAGTCCAGATCTACTGGATAATCTCAGGAATGTCAACTCTATGTGTGAGGCCGCTATTTCCATTTTTCTGAAAAACCAAGCAGAGCACCCTGTTTCCATTTTTATGGAGCTCATTTGTTCAATACCTTCATTTGTTCTGGAAACCCTCCATGTATATAGTGGAAGTCAGGCAAGGTCTCTCTGAGCGGGTGATATTTGAACTAAGACCTAAGACAAGCCGGCCATTGTGAAGATCTATGGAAGAGATTTCTGAGCAAGGCAAATACCAAGAGCTGAGTCCCTCAGAGAGAAAAGACATAAAATGTTCCAGAGAGGAACAACTGGAATACAAGGTGGAGCCCCGTGAATAATGGGGCACGTGATGGTAGATTAAGTTGACAGCAGAGGCTAGATTACACAGACTGTTCTAGGTTGCGTTACATGTTTTGGTTTTAACTATCTTTTTCCTCTGGCTGAGTCCAATTGTTTGTTTATTTATTTTTCCCATGAGTTAATTATTTTTACTCTGTCTTCAGCTTCTACTACAGGAAAACTAGCTCTCACTCCCACCGTGTACTCCTGTTAAAATTTGGAGAAAGCACTGTTCTTGTTCTCCCAGGACCTGGCAGCTCTTCTTCCTAGAGGAGAAAAGCAGATAACATACACAAGCACTTCATTTAGCACAGTTACACAAGAGGCAATTCATTCTCTATACAGAAAGGAAATACGTGTTCACACAGGCCGACACACGCAACCTGGGCTTTGCCCAACACAGACCAGTGATCATCCCTTGTACATTTGCAAGTTGCCTCTTACGCAAAGTTCATCCAGGTACTTTACAAGTTCCTTGTCGGGAGGAACTTTATTTATGTTTTGCACCCTTCATAAATTCTTAGGACATTGTTACATACTCAATAAACATTAGTGGCTGCTTACTTACTAAGTAGGTTTGCTTGGAGTTTAGCTATTAAGAAGCCCTATTTCAGCTGTCATGCCCATTGCAGGCAGTAGCAACAATTACAGAAGCCAAGGAAACTATTCAAAATAAATATTTCCTATGCTTTAGCACCCATTATCCCTCCTCCTTGCAACTCCCCACTGCTGGTAACAAATGAGTCTTTCCCCATCTCAGGAAAACCTGTGGAACCTGGAGAGGGCAGTGAAGAGCTAAATGAGTAATTCTGAAAGAAATTACACAACCTACCTGGAGTATAAGAGATCTACCACAGAATTTTAAATGCTGACTCTTTTTTATTGGATGCTTGTTTAATTTGAGATATTAAATATTCTGCTTGAGAAATGTGTTTTGTAATCACTTTTTATCTTTGGCTATAAATGATATTCCTCTTGTTCTTGATAATGATATCTAATTTAGTAATTTAATTTTCATTCCACCAGACAGGCGTTCCCACACACAATTGAAGTATGCATTTAGAAAGAAACCTAAGACTGAGCAGGTTGGCTCATACCTGTAATTCCAGAACTTTGGGAGGCCAAAGCAAGAGCATCACTTAAAGCCCGGATTTCAAGACCAGCCTGGGAAACATAGTGAGACCCCCGTCTCTACAAAAATATTTTAAAATTACCTAGGCATAACAGTGGTGCACACCTGTAGTCCTAGCTACTCAGGAGGCTGAGGTGGGAGGATCACTTGAGCCTGGGAGTTAGTGATTACAGTGAGCTATGATTAATCAGTGCCACTGCACTCCAGCCTGGGGAACAGAGCAAGATCCTGTCTCTAAAAAGAAAAAGAAACATAATATAGATGCCTTCCTTGGATCCAATTAATATTTACTGAGTGCTCCCTAGATGCCTGACACTTTCACAAACACTATTTTATTTAATATTCTCCCAGACTAGTTTAGTTTTTTCAGCAAACATTTATTAAGCACCTATAGGTGCCAGCATCATACCAGATGCTGGGGATACGTATCAGTCGGGATGGACTTGCTAATGTTGTGGTAACAGACAGTCCCACATCATAGTGACTTAAAACCAAGAAGGATTATTTCACACTCACACTGAACATGCAGCATGGGTTGGCTGGCAATCTGTTCTTCATCTCCATCATGCCCACTCAGAGCCCTGGGTTGACAGAGCACTCACTGCTCTACATTGCTGGTCAGCCAAGGAAATAGCCAAGGGGGTGGGAAGGTCTCAGCTTCTCCGGCCCAGGGTTGGCACAAATCACACTCATACAGAACCAGCCAGATGGCCTCAGGGGGTCAGGAGGTACAATTCTACCACATGCCCAGAAGCAGAGTTCAAAATAGTCTGCAACCAGCATCAAGGACTTAAAGGATGGAAAGTTTAAATGACGTGGTTCTTGCCTTTGGTGGAGCAATCAGTCCAGTTGGGGAGACAGACACATAATTTGAAATTTTCACATCCTCAGTGCCAACAGAAGTCTGCAAAGAGGTATGGGAGCAGAGAGGGAAAGTGGTGAATCCAGATTGGATGTATGGAGGGTAGCAAAGGCCTTGAAAGCCCAAAAAAATGATATTCACAGAGTCAGATGTAGACTCTGCTCATTCAGCTCTGTTCAGAGCGAGAGAATCTCAGCAAACGGAATTTGAGACTTTCAATCATATTGCCAAGGCCAATCCCATTATGAGATAACTGCCTCAGGGGTTATCAGAGCCTGATGCTATTGAACATGCTATTGTTTAAACAATTCCTCTTAGGCTAATTCTGGTGCTCTCTAAGCAAACATCTCCATAGGGATCCTCTTCCAATGTAATGTGAGTCTGCGAATGTACCTATCACTGAGGAATATTTAGGTCCAAAAAAAGTTTTATTTCTCACTTAACTGATGTGCTGACAAATCAAAAATTTGAGCCTGAAAGATTCAGCTCCTTTGTGGAATCACCAAGACAATGTCATGCTGTGAAACCTTATAAGAAAAAAAACAATTACAGGCTCCTTCCCTGGTCAATAGATATGCTCTCTGTATTGCACAGTGGACATGAGACCTAATTCATCTATGAATTTATTTTTTGTTCAATTTTTGAAATATGAGATATTTCAAATACACAAAAGGACCAAAATTATATAACAACATTCCATACACCAACCACCAGATTTGACCTTTTGTTGTTGTTGTTTTGTAGAGACAGGGTTTTGCTATGTGGCCCAGGCTGGTCTCAAACTCCTGGACTCAAGCAATCCTCCCACCTCGGCTTCCCAAAGTGCTGGGATTACAGTCATGAGCCACCATGCCTGGCCCAGATTTGACCTTTCATATTTTGAAATATTTTATTTTTTAGAAATAATTCAATGTCTAGTTAGTGTCCTTCTCCAACCCTTTCCCTCCTCTCTCTCCCCAGAGTTATGTCACTTCATACATATTTTTGTGTTTTTATAACATACAACTTATACTTTTATCACAAATAAACTACTGTGTTTTTAAACATTTGACATAAACATAATACATGCTCCTTTTGTAACTGGCTTTTTTCTTCTCAACATCAGCTTTTTCAAGATGTATTCGCATAATTACATGAAAATACAGGCCATGCATTTTAAATTGCTATAATACAGCATCTCTCAATCCTGACTACACATTAGAATTGCTTGGGGAACTTTAGAAAAAAACTGATTCCTGAGATCTACCCCAGGCCAATTCAATCCATGTGATCAATTTTGGTAACAGTTACATTTACCCTTAAAATGAATATATATTTCCTAATTCATGTGTACAGAATTTTATAAATATCCATCATACCTACCATGTTAATCATATTAGTCAAAATTCCTATGCCCTTACCTATTTTTTTGTCTTCTTAATTTATCAATTTCTAACTAATGTATACAATACGATTTCCTATTGTGGTTGTTGATTTGTCGATTTCTCCTTGAAGTTCTTCAGTTTGGGGTTTACATATTTTGAGACCATGTTGCTAGATACTTGCTCACTCAGGATTTTAATTTAAAGTTTTAATTGTAAAAGTTATTCCTATTTATTGCTATAAAATAATCATCTTCATGCATAATGTTTTCATTTTACAGTCTATTTTATTTGATATTTGTGTGAGTCCCGAGCTTTCCTTGTATTAGTATTTTCATAGTATCTCTTTTACCACTATTTTATTTTCAACTTTTTGTGATATTATACTTTTGTATTTTGAAACCATCATATCAAGGTTTTAAAGTCAGTTTTTTCTTTTTTTTTTTTTTTTTTTTTTTTTGACAGAGTCTGACTCTGTTGCCCAGGCTGGAGTACAGTGGTGCAATCTTGGATCTCAGTTCACTGCAACCTCCGCCTCCCAGGTTCAAGCATTTCTTGTGCCTCAGCTTCATGAGTAGCTGGGATTACAGACATGCGCCACCACTCCCAGCTAATTTTTGTATTTTTAGTAGAGACGAGATTTCACCATGTTGGCCAGGCTGGTCTCAAACTCCTGACCTCAGGTGATCTGCCCACCTCCCAAAGTGCTGGGATTACAGGTGTGAGCCGCCCCACCCAGCCTAAAGTCAGTTTTTCTTAAAAGAATCTGAGTCTCTGTATCTGAACTGGTGAATTTAGGCCATTTACATTTATAATGATTAGTGATATATTTATTTGGACCTATTTCTGTAATTCTGTTTTGGGCTTTCTATTTACTCTTTTCTTTTTCTTTTTTTCCCTTAAACTGTTGGATTTATCATATTTTCTATTTCCTCTTTTGCCTTGTTCTGGTTTTAAAGCAATATTTTCTATTTCTATATTTTGAGATTACCCTTAACATTCTTATATATGATTAATCAACAGAAATCTTAATTTAACCAATATTTCTAACTTCTTATAAATAATAGACTATTAAAACATTTTAAATTCAGTAAACTCCTATTCTACATGTAATAGTTTTCTTCTATTTTTAATTCCACCTTGAAATTACATCCCCAAAACTCATTATTTTGTTGATCCTATTATTGTTTTCATTTGTATCACTGCTTATCAATTTATTACTATTTCATATCATTTATTATACATTTTGGATTCCTGTACCATGCAGGCAAATAAATGTGGATATTAAGTCCATGTAAAGTATAGGTTGGTGGTTTCATTTTCTCAGGTCAGACTTTTTTTTCATCAAGAACCATATGGAAACACAGAGGTTTCCTTTTTGTATCTTTGGCCTTTTTTTTTTTTTTTTTTTTTGCCGGGGTGGGTTGGGGCGTTTTTTTGTTTGCTTGTTTTTTCACCCTATCATTGAGGGTACAGCCTCAGCCTCTCAAATGTCTTGGCTTTTGCAGAAACCTCAGATTTATTCCCTATATCATGCAAGTTCTAGCTCCTTATTTAACATATTGTCATCCTTAAAGCTAAGCCCCAGGTTGCAGGAACCCATAATCTTCACTCCAAGGGCAGCCACGTGTCAGATCACAAGTTTACTAATCTGGTTTTCAACTCCATCTTCTTTTCTGGGATCTAGGGATTTCCTTTTTTTCTGGCAAGCTTAGCAAATATTTCAAAAAAATTTTTACACACCTTATTTGGCTTCTCTCACAATTTGTAGCGGGAGAGTTTCAGGTTATCTTAGTCTACCCTTTTGCCAGAACTAAAGATATTCTGTGTATTTGGGGTACATGCACATATGCACAATAGCTTGTGTTATGCACGTGCAAAACATGCACATAAACTAACAACGCCCACAATTCCATAAGGTCAAATTTCTATAAGAAATTTCTTATTATATAATAACAAAATCACTCATAGTTGTTTCTCCTTCTCTGATTGAACCCTGACTAATACAAAAATTGGTACTAAGAGTGGTTTTGTTGTTTGCTTCTAAATGTGCTTGAAAATGTGTAGAAAACAAAAAAACAGCTCAGGACTAAATTCCCAGCTCAAGATCTACATAAGGGGCCTCAAATATATGACTACCCTAAAAGAAACTTTTATCTTCTTCTGCCTTAGGGCTAAGATTTTCAAAAGCCACACCCAAAGTCTAGAACAGCAGGTGGCTGACTTACAATGCAAATTGACTTCCCTTCCTCATAGAGTCTCCTATGTTAAAGTTAGGATATTAACTGGTAAAGAGGCTGAGTGTAGTGGTTCACACCTGTAATTTAGCACTTCAGGAGGCTGAGGCAGGAGAATTGCTTGAGGCCAGAAGTTCCAGAACAGCCCAGACAACACAGCAAGACCGCATCTCTACAAAAAAAGTTTAAAAAATTATTCAGATGTAGTGAAGCATGACTGTAGTCCCAGCTGCTCAGGAGGCTGACGTGGGACAATTGTTTGAGCCCAAGAGTTTGAGGCTGCAGTGAGCTATTTTACTACTGCACTCCAGCCTGGATAACACACTGAGACATTATCTCTAAAAGTATTTTTTAGGCAGGGCACAGTGGCTCACGCCTGTAATCCCAGTACTTTGGGAGGCCCAGGCGGGTGGATCACAAGGTCAGGAGATCGAGACCATCCTGGCTAACATGGTGAAACCCTGTCTCTACTAAAAATATAAAAAAAATAGCCGGGCGTGGTAGCAGGCACCTGTAGTCACAGCTACTCGGGAGGCTGAGGCAGGAGAATGGCATGAACCTGGGAGGTGGAGCTTGCAGTGAGCTGAGATCGCGCCACTGCAACCCAGCCTGGGTGACAGAGCGAGACTCCGTCTCAAAAAAAAAAAAAAACAACAACAAAAATAACCAATACTTTTTAATTGATAGAGAATGCAATCCTGAGTATTGGGATGTGAATATATGGGTAAATCCTAATGAAGCTGGTAGATTCAAACCCCTTAACTCTCTTAACTCTCCTTTGCCAATAGAGGCAGCCCTTCTTCCCCTAAGGAGATTAGTCTCCTCTTATCTGAAGAGCCTATCATTACCTCTCCTGAGATATATTGCCTTGCTGGAACTCCTGAGATATTTTGCCTTGCTTGATCTTCCTCCAGCCCTAATCCCACCACCATTCACTGCTCCTTTACTAGACCTAAATCTCAGTGGGTTTCTGTGTGAAGAAGACTCATGTGGTCAAGATACAAAGTGTGACTTAAGAGGAGGTACAATAAACAACAAATGAACTGAATTATTTTACCAGTTTTCAACAACAGAAATCTAAGTAACAACCAATTCCCAACCTTGAGCCAGTTCACAGACCCAGAACTCCTTGAATAAAGAAGAGACTGAGTCCCCTTGAGTAAGGACCATGCTACCCAGACAAAAAATACAGATACTAAATCTTCCTCTTAGCTCTCCCCAAAGGGACTTATGGCCTTTATCCAGGAAATTGTGCATTGGAGAAGGAAAAATGATCAGGCTTTTCAGTGAATACTGGACATCCACTAATTACTGTAGATCTAAAGCACCACTGTGATCCATCAATCAGCAGGATTTTATGGAAGTCAAGCAATGAATGGGATTTTGGCTCAAGTCTGTCTCACAGTAGCCCTGGTGGGTACCCTAACCACTGACAAAAGCATCACTGTATGCCACTGAGGTTTTGTGGCTGTTTGTTATGCATTATTATTGTGACAGCTGATAACTGATATAATTAAGAATATTTAGGTGAGGCTAACAACTGTTAGAATGGTTATCACCAAAAAGGCAAAAGTTAATTTGCAAGGATGTGGAGTAAAGAGAAACCTCACAAACTGTTGATAGGAATGTAAATTAACACTACTATTATGGAAAACAGTATAAAGGTTTCTCAAAAAATTAAAAATAGAACTACCATATGATCCAGCCAGCAATCCCACTACTCGGTTTATATCCCAAGGAAATAAAATCAGCGTGTCAAAGAGATATCCTCACTCCCATGCTTGTTGCAGCATTATGCCCAAGAGCCAAGATATGGAATCAACCTAGGTGTCCATCAGTGGATGAAGAGATGTTTTGAATGAGGTATAAGCTTGTCTAACCTGTGGCCCATGGGCTGCATGCAGCCAAGGATGGTTTTGAATGCAGCCCAACACAAATTCGTAAACTTTCTTAAAACATTATGATTTTTTTTTTGCAATTTGTGTTTTAGCTTATGAGCTATTGTTAGTGTTAGTGTATTTTATGTGTGGCCCAAGACAATTCTTACTCTTCCAATGTGGCTTGTGGAAGCCAAAAGATTGGATACCCTTGTAGTATATATACACACAACGGA
This sequence comes from Homo sapiens, assembly GCF_000001405.40. Taxonomy (NCBI): domain Eukaryota; kingdom Metazoa; phylum Chordata; class Mammalia; order Primates; family Hominidae; genus Homo; species Homo sapiens. The sequence goes on along the minus strand of NC_000015.10, from coordinate 38,640,973 downwards.
ATACTATTCAGTCATAAAGGAGAAGGAAATCCTATCATTTGCAACAACACGATGAAACTGGAAGACATTATGTCAAGTGAAATAAGTCAGGCACAGAAAGATAAATACTGCATGATCTTACTCACATGTGAAATCTAAAAAAGTTGATCTCATAGAAGTAGAGAGTAGAACGGTGGTTACAAGAGACTGAGGTGATTGGGGTGGGTTGGGGAGATTGTTGGTCAAAGGCTGTGAAATTTCAGTTAGGAAGAAAAAGTTTATGAAATCTATTATACAACATGGTAACTATAGTAAATAATACATTGTCTTCTTGAAAAACGCTAAGAAAGTGGATATAAAGTGTTCTTACCACAAAAATGATAACTACGTGAGGTAATGCTAATGTTAATTAGCTAGGTTTAGTCCTTCCACAATGTACATATACTTCATAATAATATGTTGTATACAATAAATACTTAGGATTTTATCTATCATTAAAAAAAATTAAGACTATTTAGAGGCAGTTAAATTTAAAGGATGTGATTTTTAGATGTGACATGTGGTATTTATTAGCCTTATTTACAGACTAGGAGATTAAGGAGATAAGGGAAAAACAATTTATGTGTTCAAGGTCTCAAAGGATGATACTAGACTGTGTCCAGTTGTTATTCTCTGGATAATAATCTACAAAAGTAAGATGTAACTACATTGCAGATAGGTTATCATGCCCTGTTTAACTAGAAGACATTTACAAAGTCGGTGGTACGATATTAAAAATTATGTTCTTTCTTTGCATTTTTCTATAGACTACCATTTAACCATAATATTAATAGTTGCCTATCTCTAGCTCTAGTTCTCTGTTTAGTGTCTTACAGAATGTGTTATATCTGTAATACTACTAATTCGCTTTATACCAAAGCATGCCCAAAACTGTGAGCCACCCTTTCCTTTAAGGCAAATTAGTGGGGTCCAAGCTCAGTTCTGTGTACAGAGTAACAGGCCACAGTAGGGAAATTTCTATAGCACAGAAGCACAAGAAAATCTCCTTGTCCTAACTGGACTCCCTCACTGAGCTCCCTATGTACCTACTTTCTACCATTAGTCACCCCTTGGGTTCTATTGTTAAAAGGAACTGGTAAAATTCCAATATTTCTTGAGAAGGGTGCCATAAAATACAGAGGATTTTCTCCTACGGCTGGAGGCTGGGGGGAAGGGAAAGTATGTAGAGAAGAAAGGTCAGGCCCAGTGAGGCCAATCGAAGATAAGCTAAGGCAATGGACAACCCTTTGGCTGGAGTCGGGGAGACCCATGGGGACCTTCTCAAGAGGGATCATGGAGGTTAGCAGTAGGCTTGTCTGCTTCTTCATTTGAAGGGGGCAGATGACTTCTTTCTAGGAGCCAGAGTGGGATATGATCAATGCCAAGAAGTGAAGCAGAACAAAAGTGGTAAAATGGTAAAGATCATTCATCAATTAGGTGTTAGAAGATGGGTGCTGGTCTCCAACTTGGCCACAGACGAGTTGCCTCACTTTGGGCAGGCACTTCACCTCTCTGGCCTCACTCCTCACCCTCCAAATGAGAGTCCACCAGAGGATCTTTCCTGATTTCACAACTGGTAAAATGTGCCCTGGCAATTTTTGTATTAGTACCAATTTTTGTATTAGGCCCCTGGACCTAACCAAGAAATGCAACAGAAACAAATACTTCTAAATCCCAAGTCTCAATGTCTAACTGTGATTTCCGAGTAGAAATGCTGTGTTTGCCGCTGAGAGTGACCACATCCAACAGTAATAGACCCCGGTTCCTTACCATGAGGCTAATGTGCACATGGCTTGGTGTGGTCTGAGCCATCCCCGGCACCTGCAGCCCTTGTTGACTTAACGGCACTGTTTCCAAAGAAGATTACTATAAAGCCATCTTTGCTGTGATGTTCAAGGTAACAGGTGGTTGTGGTTTCTACATGGGTCTCTATGCTCAACATCTTGCTTACTCCAACTTCTGTTCAAGTCAACCAGTCTCCTGGATGGAGCAGGCCTGAATCGTGCCACCAGTTGTAAGACCCATCACTACACACTACACTACAAATATTGTTCCTAATCTCTTCAGGATCAGGCTTCAGAGTTTATTCACCAAAGAGGCCCACAGCTAAGCCACACTCCTCTAACTTGGAGGAAACAGCTGTTATAACTGTACTTTCTAGCTGCTTTCCAGTTTTCAAAAGTCTTTGTAAATTCGTTGCAAATGCTGATTAATTCTCTCAACAGACCAGTAGGGAAATTTCTATAGGAAAAGTTTTTCCGTGTGACAAACCTGAGATACTGAGCCTATGAATTACCCTTTACTACATTACAGCTTGGCCTGAGCCTAGATCACAAGACACAAAAATGGTATAATATTCTCTCCCATGGCTCTAAGTCTCTTACATCTGAAAATCCCTGATGCATTTGCAAATCTCCCAGACTCCATCTTTACAGCCAAGAATGTATCTCCGTAATTCTGTCTGACAGATATGGACTAGCCAGTCTCATTCAATGAACATTGCATATCAACAAGTATTTATTAGGCTTCATTTAGCATACTTCTGCTTGCCAGAAACACACACATCTTTGTACCAATATGCAGGAATGATCATCACAATCAGTCTATAGCATCTCACACTCTTAGGCAATAACGTAAGACTCCTCCCAGCTAATATGTTAATGTGTAGAAAATACCAGATGGATCCCAATTTTCCTAGCCAAACTTATGACTTCAGAGTGAGGAGGAAAGTCTCTCAAACCTGTCCTGCTTGGAATACTCTTCTTAATTCAGATCAAGTGGTAGAAACTGATTAGGTTTCTCATGAAGCCTTTGGCCCTGCTCTGACCAAATTTCCCATGGGCAACCTATAAACTATGTCTGAGAGTTCCTCTAACAAAGAAACCAACAGCTAACCCATACTCCCCTAACTTTGGAGGAGTTGGCCTGAGTGAAGTCAAGGAGAGGAAGGGAAATCATCTACGTGTATGCAAAGGGAGTGTTCTCTTGAAAGCAAGATGGATCCTTGAACATTCACTTTCAGTTCAGATGTGCCCTGGCAGGCATTTGGGCATTGGCTTTGCCCAACATCCTATGAAATAACTTGTACTTCTTTCATTGATCCAGAAAGAGTAAATAATGGGGTCTGCCTGAAAATTTAATCAGGCTAGGCTTCCTGGCTTCATGAAGGTGTCAGTCTACAGTGGGAAACTTTCTCTCCCCATACATTCCTTTAGTAAAAAGGACAAGTTGTTTCAGGAGACAGTCTCAACATTAAATCAATTCTCCCCTTTCATTGTTACTGCCCATGCCCTAATTCAAGCCCGTATCACACATCTCATATGGACTTTTGCAAAGTTCCTAGAAGCCTAGACTTCTGCCTCTAGGCTTGCTCTCTTTAGTCCATTCTCAACAATGCCATGACAGTGTTCTCAAAATGAATTGTATGTGCTTCCTGCAGAAAAAAAAAAAATCCAAACTGTGTAGTTTGGTACTCAAGGCCCTTCAAAATGGAGTCTCAACTTGTATTTCCAATCTCATTGACCACATCTTTATGTGTCCTTTTCTCCTGACATATCTGAAGGGATAGCATCAATTTCTTATTGCCATATTAATTCTGTGTAACCAACACCCTGAACCCAATGGCTTGAAACAATAATTTATTCTCAGGCTCCTAGTCTACAGTTTGGCTGGAGTGGCTCTGTTAATGTGTTCCTTATGGGACCCAGGTTGAAGGAGGATCAGCTACTATCAGCTACCATCAAAAAGGTGAGCAGTAGTATGTGATACATCTCAAGGCCTAAATAGCTACTAAGAGACATATGGTCATTTTTTTCCACGTTCCATAGGCCAAAGCAAGTTACATGGCCAAGTTCAACATGGTGGGGAAAGGATATATATGGTACTTCTAGTAGGAGAAACTGCAATATCATATAGCAAAGGGCATTGATGCAGAGAAAGATAAAGAATGGGAGACAAATATCTATTGCTAAATAATAAATTATCCTTAAAAGAGCAAATATTTATCATCTCACAGATTCTATGGGTCAAGAATCCAAGAGGAGCTTAGCAGGTGGTTCAGGATCTCTCATGAAGTTGCAGCAAGCTCTCAGGCAGAGCTGCAGTCATCTGAGGCTAAAGGATGTGCTTTCCAGCTCACTCCCACGGTTGCTGGCGGACTCACTTCTCCACGTGGGCCTTTCCAAAGCCTGCCTGAGTGTCCTCACAAGTTGGCCGCCAGCTTCCCCCAGACTGAGTGATCCAAGACAGAGAAAGAGAGCCCAAGACAGAAGCCATAGAATTTTATAACTTCTTTGGGAAATGCCACACCATCACATCTTCTGTATTCTATTAGTCACACAGACCAACCCTGGTCCACTGTGGGAGGGGGCTGTACAAGGGCCTGAAAACCAGGAGGCAGGGGTCTTTGGAGCCATCTTGAAGACTGGGATCACAGCTCCCATTTTAATGTAATTTAGTTATCCTCATAAACTGCTGAAACGTTTCCACACTTCTGTATTATTGGGTCTAAACCACTTTAATCAATACAGGTAACAGTAATTGTACAAAATCCTTTGTTAAGTCAGGTTAATTTTTATACCAAAAATAGTAGCCATAAATGTTAACATCAATAGTTTTTCACCTTTTGGCTTTTTTGCATACCTGTCATCCTGTATATAAGTTTTCTTCACACCAGCACATACCCATTACCACTTATTCCCTATCCCCTAATCAACCAGGTGAATTCTCAAATATCACCTTCTCTAGTAAGTCTTTCCTGGCTACTGCACACACGTGAGGTTATCCTCCTACATGTGCTCAAAGCATTCGGTGCATACCTCAATTAAAAGTCTTTAACAAATTCTCCATGACACCACAGAGTATCTGTTTCCTTCTTCATCTTTTTAATTACACTATGAGATTTCCAGGGGCCAATATTTGGTAACAGTGACTCAATGAACATCTGAAAAAAAGGCGAGAGGGATTAAAGGAGAAATGGAGAGAACACAAGGCCAAATCCTGATAGGTTTTTAATATTGTTTCCCTACCACCTGCTGGTTAAGCTCCTCCTACCTGCCAGGCAGGTGTTGATGCTTCTATAGTCATCATCTTAGTTAATCCTCACAATAACCTGGTAAATGAAAATTATTTGGTGAGGAGTCAGTTTTCAAGCTCAGAAAATTAAGTTTCCCAGCACACGGTAAAACCAGAATTTCATCCTTGACTCTTGTATTACAAAGCCGTGATTTTCACAGCACCCCATACAGCCTCTGTGGGGAAGAGCCCCACGGTTTCCACTCTACGCAGCAGTGCATCCCCTGCTTAGTAGAACTGGTTCTCCCATTTAGGATCTTGCTATGTCAGTCTATGGAAATGGTTCGGTAGGGCATTCCTTGACTGACTGCTCTTTTTGTGCCCTGTTCAGGGCTCCAGAACCTGCACCTGGGAAAGCCTTGGAGCACTCTCTCTCATCTAAGAGGGTAAGCTGTATCTGGAGGGGTACAGAAATTACAGAGGAGCTTGAAGAAACCCACAGCCCTGCAGGCAAGCATAGCCCAGCAGCAAAGTCCAGCTCCCCACATACTCTGACACAAAGATGAAAAGGGGCTGCCGCAGGCATCTCACTCCAGATGTCCGTCACTGGAGCCAGGCAGAGAGTCCTGTGGGGTTTGACATTTAAAGGTCACAACTCCCAGGGAAGTTGTGAGGATGAAATGAATGGTCTACATCAAAGCATTCAGAGTTCTTTGAAAGAAAACTGCTGTATAAATTCATAGCATATTTTTGAAAATCATTATTTTTTTAATTTCTTTTTTTGTTCCAACCAGTTAACTTGGGTATGCATATATACATACACACACTCACACAGAAACACACAAGTCAGGCACGGTGGCTCACATCTGCAATCCCAGCTACCTGGGTGGCTGACACAGGAAGATGTCTTGAGCCCAGGAGTTTAAGACTGCAGTGAGCCATGATTGTGCCACCCGAGTCCAGTCTGGGCAAGAGAGAGAGAGACCCCCATCTCTTAAAAATAAACAAATAACAAAAACACACAAAATAGATATATTGATTTTAGATAAATTAAAACTTGAATCATGTTACAGATATGGGGGAGGCGAGTATTATAGTCTTGTCTTTTTTTCCTCCCTTTTTATTGGCCTCCCCCTTCCTACCCCCTATCTACCCTCACAGCACTAAAAACCTATTTGGTATCCTTCTATGTCTTTTTCTCCCAGCTCACATGCATACTTATACTATCCTAAGGGTAAGTCACTGCTTGTTTAACAGTAGAAATCATATTATACAAGCATTTCAGCATTCTGCATTTCTTTTTCAACAATATCTCATAGAAATGTCCCCAAGTCAAATGAGATAGTTCTAAGTTATTATTTTTAAAGTTGTACAATATGTTATGATGCGGATGGGCCCATATTTTTTTATCCATCCCTGTCTTGATAGACACTTACTTGTCTCCAGATTTCTTTAATGTTATAAACAAAGCATCAATAAGATTTATAGATAGAGCTCCACATTTTGGAGTTTTGTTTCCGAGGCCCCAGGAAAGGGATTGCTGCCTCAGATGGAATATGTATTTTGGTTTTCAGGAAGTTTTTTCAGTCTGATGGAACTAAAGTGATAGCTCATTGTTATTTTGGAATGTGCATTTCCCTGACTACTAGTGAGAGTAAGCACTTCTTCATGTATTTGTTAGCATTTTGATTTCTCCTCTAGTGAATTTCTTTTCCATATCATTTTCCTTATTTTTGTTGAATCATTTGTCTTTTTCCTTACTACTTTATAAGCGCTCTTCAAATATTATAGACAAAAATCTTGGTCTTCTACATTGGAGCCATATTTTTCCATATTTATCATTTGTTTCTTGATATTATTTATGGTCTCCTCTGACATCATTGTTATTTTTGTATATATATATATATATGCACATATTTATATATATTTTTATAGTCTCTGGTTTTCTGTCTTAGCTAAGAAAATGTCCTCTCCTCCTAAATTATTCATGAAGTTTTGTAGATTTGATTGTATGTTGTTGTATTGTTTTGCATTTATGCCTTTAATCCATCTGAAATATATTTTGTTTTTGAACATGATGTAAGACAAATTCTAATTTTATCTTTATCCACATGAAGAAAAAATTATGCCAACACCATTTCTATAAAAATCCCCTATTTTCTCATTAGATCACCTTTGTAATATATTAAATCCTCACGTAGGTTCACATTGTTTTCTACTTTCTTTATTCCATTGTGCTGGTCTATTTCTCCATTCCTATGACAACGTCATCTTTATATGATTAGAAGTTGTTTTGCTATCTGCTAAAGCAAATCCAACTCCCTCTTTCTTTTTAGTCACACTTTCCTAGCTACTTTTGGACACTTGTCCTTCTATATGATATTTAAGATGATTTTTTTTCCAATTTCAAAGAGAAAAAGCTATTGAGATTCTCTAAAATTTAATTAAATTTTCACATTAGTTTTAGAAAAAATACAATTCTAAGCCTCCATTTTCAAGAACAAATTATGTCTTTAATAAATTTTTTATAATTGTCATTGCTACTCAGAATGGAATATTTTCTCTGTGTTCATTTTAGGTGCTTATGGTAATATAGGACAAGCTAATGAATTTCTATATATTTATATTATAAATAGCCATGAAAAAGTCTTTTATTTATTCTAGTATTTTTTACTAGATACTGCTTTTCTAAGTATACAGTTGCAGATCCAGCAAAGGGGATTATTTTATCTCTTCTATTCCAAAGTTTACACAAATTGTTCTTTTTAAAAACTATTACGTTAACCAGAATCTCTAAGCAAATATTAAGAAAGAATATTCACGACAGTCAATCTCATCTAGATTTTAACTGGAATGGTTTTAGTAAGGTTGTATAATTTTGCAAAATAATTTTATCGCTGCCAAGGACCTCATTTCCCAAATACTCTTCACTTGGTGAGAGCGGTGCAGGGATTTCTCAGGTAGCAGCATGTCTAGGAAGAAAAGGTGATGAGAGGGAGGAGTGAGATACCAGGAGTGGTGGAGGACAGGGTGCAGGGTGAGATACCAGGAGTGGTGGAGGACAGGGTGCAGGGTGAGATACCAGGAGTGGTGGAGGACAGGGTGCTTCCGGGAGCACCCCACCATGAGAGCAGAGGCCGGGTTACATGAAGGCATCTGTGTGCCAGTAGGAAACTCTCTACCTGCCAGCAAGTCAACAGGTCCTCCCTTCTCCCATCTACAGAATCACTTACTTCCAATTGTCCTCTTCAGTTCATCGTGAACCCAGCTTCTAATTCCTTCTCATTCCACATCCCTGGGCATGGAAATCCCAGCCCCACCCCAGCTCTCCGCAGCCTCTTCCTTCCATCATCCTGAGGACTCCTGAATCCCACTTCTTCCTCTAAGTGAGACCCACCTGAGCATGTGTTTCACTATTTTTACATGTCTCACTATTTACTACTAACCAAAGACAAATTCCTGGCCAGACAAGGTGGCTCACACCTGTAATCCCAGCACTTTGGGAGGCTGAGATGGGCAGATCACTGGAGCTCAGGTGTTCAAGACCAGCCTGGGCAACATGGAGAAACCCTGCTCATTTTAGGTGCTTATGGTATTATAGGACAAGCTAATGAATTTGTATATATTTATCTTATAAATAGCCATGAACAAAGTCTTTTAAAAAAATACAAAAAATTAGCTGGGCTCAGTGGCATGCCTGTGGTCCCAGCTACTCAGGAGGCTGAGGTGGGAGGATCACTTGAACCTAAGGCTGCAGTGAGCCTAGGTCATGCCACTGCACTCCAGCCTGGGTGACAGAGTAAGACCCTGTCTCAAAAAAAAAAAAAAAAAAAAACAACCTGGCAACTCAGACACTGCATAGGAGAACCATTTACTTTTGTTGTGAAGAGCTATCCTGTGCATTGTAGGATGTTTAGCAGCATCCGTGGCCTCTACCCACTAGATGCCAACAGCACCTCCCTTTCCAGTTGTGAGAACCAAGAATGTCTACAAACATTGTCAAATGTCCCCTGGTGATGATGAGTTGAGCTGGGGATGGGTGGTCGTGGGTGGAAAGGAAGCAAAATCACCCTATAGGGTGCCCCAGTCTGTATACCCTGAAGCCTGATACCTAGAGTTGCCTATGTATCAAACAGCTCTTTTGCAAATCATTGCCTGTAGATTGAAGCATCTGCCCTTGTCACTTTCAATTTGGAACTTATTTGAAAATACTGCCTCTTTCCTCTCTTCAAAGAGATCTTAATACATATGGCTTGCTTCGCTTGACTGGCAGTCACCCAAGCCTCTTGTTGAAGGATGATGGCTCAGAGATCCTGAAAGTTAATTTCGTGTGTGCCACATCAGGGTCAGTTCACACCAATGTTACCTATTTTAAGTTGCAAGAGTGGGATCATTTTTATTTAGCTTGCTGGTATATCACAGCATGAAGCTACATGTACTTTGGTTCCTACTGATGATGGAGATAAAATATGTGCAGCTTTCAGAATTGCAATTTTCAAAAGGAAATTAGCTTGCCCCTGAGCAGCCTGACACTGCAGTTTGGCTGATGACATCCTAGTAAACAACCTACAAACAAACTCTTGACTTTAGAAATAAGTAGGAGCTATTTATAGGCAAGCAATAATTTTCAAGTGGGTAAGTCAAGGGGAAAAATAAGCTGAGAAAAGTCAGCAAGGAAACTCCCATTTCACTCAATACCTTGAAGTGAGGAACTGTAGGGCCATTCACCAAAATGGAAAGTTTGCGTCACTATTACTAATGGAGGAATGATGTCTTGGTGAATTTTTAACTTGTTGAAAATGCCAACCCATATTATATGAAACAGCCACAATTTAAAACATAAAACATGAAGGCATATCCTCAAGACTAAGGAAACAAAGGGATTTCAACCAGGATCTTGGAAGTATCAATCAGATAACAGGTATCCTAACAGCTGAGATGCTGCTAAAAGGCCATCTGCTGAGAATGTGAGGTTTCCCATTCTGAGACTTTTTGAGAGAGGAGTCCATGTGCATGTGAGTGTAAAGCCCCCTCTGCATTTTGAAAGGGTGTCATGTCCCTGCTGTTGTGTTCTTACAAAGGAAAATCCAAAAACTTTGAATTGTCCTTGGAGGAAGGGCAAGCCAGGATAGGACACGGGCTGCAAGCAGCTCTGATGACAAGGAGGCGACATCCTAACAGGGGCAAGCAACCAGGTGGGCTCTGCAAAGGCAAAGATGGGATCTTGAGAAAGCTGCACTGTTGGCCCTTGGCCAGGGACACAGTCTCCTTCCCAATCAGCTTTTCCGGGCTGCATCTTAGGGCTTCTGAGATTCAGGGCTTTTGTGGCTCATAAATTCACTGGAACTTAAGACAAAGCTCAAGGCAAAGAGCAACAGCTGGTTGATGGGAAAGTGTGACCCTTGGTTCCCAGGGACAGGGATAAACCTTGCTCTCTTTTAAGATGGTAATGATCTCAGCATCTAAGACCTACATGAGAGAGATATAGATACTGTTCATCGTGATCAGGGACTAGCAAACCTTTTCTGAAAAAGATCCAGGTAGTAAATATATTAGGCCTTGCAGGCCATGTGGGCTCTTCACAACTATTCAATTCTGCCAGTGGAGCACCAAGCAGCCCTCGACAATACGTAAAAGAATGGACATGACTATTTCCCAAAAAAACTTTATTTACAAAAATTGACAGTGGGCCAGATTTGGCCCATAGGCCATGGTCTGCCAACTACTGATCTTGATGAGTGACATCAAGCACAGCTAAATTTCCCCACCTAAATAGGTCAGTCATTCCAACCTGTCTGGACCTTGCCCTCGTCTTCTCTCTTAGTGCTTCTTCATAACCTCAGCCTTTCCCTGCTCCAACAAATATTTCCATTGCTGAAAATATTACCCTCTTAAAATATATCATTAACCCATCACTTCCCACCTCAAAAATCCTTAATAGTTCCCCAGTGCTTAGAGTAAAATGATCAAAATCTCTCAATATAGCATTCAAATCCCTCCCCAATCCACTAGGCCTTCCCCATGCACATCCCGAGCTCCCACCATGGTGGCAAAGACACCTCTCCCCAAATATGCCAGGCAATTACCCGCCTCCAAACTTTGTCTAGACACGTCCTCTACCTTGTGATACCATTCCCACAGTCCCTACCTGTCAGTCATTCTCATTCTTACACTGTCACTTCTAATTCACTTTCACTTGAAGCCTTTCCTTTCTGTCTATGATAAATGATTTGCTCCCCTCAATGAGCTCCCATAGAATTGAATTTATCCCTTAACACAGTACGCCTTAAGTTCCATTTGCTGCCTGAGTCATCACATGCCTCCTTGCCATTCCTTGTTTTTATATGCCACAGTATGTTCAATTCAATCATTTGATCATTCATCCATTAACAGATACGTTTTGCACACCCATTGTATGTTGTGCAGTCTCAGGCTAGTGGGGAGAGACAGCTATGCAAAAATAAATAAACAATTTGCTATATTAGAGCATTTCAGATAGAGATAAATGCCAATTAAGGAAAACAACACAAGGTAATTTGTTAGGAAGAGTGAGAGTGTGGTTAGGGGCAAAGCTATTTTTCCCAGGGGAAAGAGGGAAGGCCTCTCTGAGGAGATACTGTTGGACTGATACCAACTATTGATGCTAAATTGAATATTGAATTGTGAGATGCAAACACTTATGCAAAGCTCTGCACAGAGAAAACACTTTTAAGTGGCCCTTGAATTCATAATAAAAATATTCCATAATTTAATAAATTATAATACAGTTGTTAAAAAGGAACGAAGTAGGTATAGCTATACAGGCACATATGAAAAGATATCTAAGATATACTGTTAAGTGGAAATAAAAGCAATTTGCAAAAGTATGTAATATATATTTTCATTTTTGAAATTAAAAATATTCATATGTAGACGCATGTTAATCTATGCCCAAGAAAGTCCTGGAAGGATACACAAGTGAAAGTTAAGAATGGTAGTTTCTGGGGGTGATAATGAGAGATTTTGATACTTTTGCTTTCCATTTTACACCTTTCTGTACAGTTTGAAATTTTTGCAAGAAGCAATTTTTACAATATTTTTGGCAAAAAAAGATTTTTGCCCAAAAATCAATTTATCATAAAAAATTTCCCTTCACAAAGGCTTCTTCAGTGTTTTTCAGTCTGTAACTTATGAGTACATTTTCCCTGACATACAAAGAGAAAATTCTTCTCCATTGTCCTTACCATTATCGAAACTTGTGTGCCTCCGTACGTCTATCCCTTCAATACCCTTAACACACACACACACATACCCAGAGCTGCTATGCACCCTCACAATTCAGAGGGCATTGTTTTCCATGTTCCAGTGTCCCAAGGCATTCACTGAAACTCTGCTCTAAACAGGCTGAGGTTGCCAGATAAAATACAGGACCAACAGCTAAGTTTGTTTCCAATTAACAGTGAATAATTTTTTAATGTGTTATTTTCTCAAATATTGCATACTAAAAAAAAAATGCTCAAAATTTACTCTTTGTTCACCTGGAACTCAAATGTAACTGAGTGTCCTGTATTTTTATTTGCCAAATCTAGCAACCCTAAAGCAGCCACACGTCCTGAATGAAAGACACTAAAATCTTAAATGAAGGACATTACGTCTTCTCCATGAATCTACCAAGTTAGAGGAATGGTGCATTTTTCCAAACCCTGACTCTGCCAACGTAGTTAAACATGGTCCCATGGCTCTCCTTTCACTGTCTTCTCAAAGACATATTTACGTATGTTAGGGCTTAATTGTATGTTTTAATATACCTTCTCTTGTCCTTCCAGGAGCCTTGTCAACATCCACGCTGCTTAGATAGAACGTCCAGCAGAGAGAGACAGACAACGCCTTATCTTCACATGCCCAGAGCTAGAAGTCAGCATATCTTTTAGGCAGTGGTGCTGAGCCCTGACGCACACTAGACTCACCCGAGAAACTTTCCAAACGTACCCACCCCTAGTCTCCGCCCCAGATAAATTAATCCAGAATCTTCAGCAGTGGGAGCCAGGTGCTCTGCAGTTCCCCAGGTGATCCTACGGTACAGCCAGCATTGTGAACAATTACTTTAACACCTAGGCCATCTGTACTCTACCCTCAGGCTTAAGTCCCATAAAACGGTGCCCTTCAGACTTTATGTGCACACAGATAAGCTTGGGATGCTATCAAAATGCAGATTCTGATTCCACAAATCTGGGGCGGGGCTTGAGATTCTGCATTGATAACAAGCTCCCAGGTGATGCTGATGCTGCTGACCCTTGAGACACACTTAGAGTAACAAGACCACTAAAAAAAGAACTAAACCAAAGTCATTGCAGCTTTTTACTTTACAATTCATATAACAGGGAAAATAAATATTATAATGAGATTGATAATAAAAACTTTCTTTGGATCCACAGTCGTCCTAAGACTAGCACCATATGTGCACTCCAGTTTCAAGTGGCAACTTCTCTGGATTCATTTCCTACCCGTAGGAAGCTAAACAGAAAATAACATTAGTTCGAGTTTCAGCAGACGGATCATTTTCAGACGGGAATACTCAGAAACTTCAGGCTAAACCCCCTGCCCAAGGGTCATAAAACCCCTACAGACATGCCAGGCTTGGCTGAGGAATAACTTCTCACAACTATTTTCAGATAGGAGCAACAACATTTTAGTGGAACGGCTGGGGATGTGCTGCCTAAGGACAGGGAGGTGGGTTACATGGCCTCAGAATGGCCCTGCAGCCCTGTGGAGCCATAACTCAGCACGGCTCCCATAACAGCCTGGGCCAATTCTCCAAGCAAAATTTCCATATGTAATGGACGAGAGTTCCTGAGGTTCTAGTTTGAGCCTCTCCTCTCCCACTGACCAGCTCTGTGACCTTTAGGACACGTTATGCCGCTTAAGCCTTAGATCCCTCAGGTCCTCTGCAAAATGGGAACACCAGTGGATGTTTAGATGAGATTATATGTAAAGTATTTAGTTAGCACAGTGCCTGGCACCTTAGCAGCACTGAATCTTAGCTATTATTATAGGTCCTCCTACGTCTTTAAGTGAGATGAAAATACTAGCCTTGGTGTCACTCACAGAGAGGAGCTGAGCAGCTGCATTCAATACAGCACTGAGATCAAAAGTTCTGCTTCCCTCTGGGCTGCCTTTTCGTTTACCCTGTGTGAAGGACAGCAATTGGTGCCCAGAGAGAAATATAATAATAATCACACTGTATCTGCACACATGAAGAAAATAGATCAGGCTTGAAGGGAAAGTGCAGCAGATTTTCTCCCACTTCACGGGAAGGGAAGTTTGTCTTGTGACCAGAGCTACTTCCTTTTGAGGCCAGGGAAGAAAGAACTAAGGCCAGATTGAGTTACTCTGTGTACCCTCTATAGGAGTAAAGGCTTAGTGTGGTGCTATTAGTGAGGTCTGCAAATGGCAGGGGAGAGGAGCTAGTGAAGAAAAAGTGCCATAGGTTTTTAATATGGATGAGAAGCTGCCTGCTTTCTCCTAAGCAAATGAGGAGGGAGAGAAGTAAGGAACTCAAAACTATTTGCAGGTGGTCTCTGGGATAAAGGGATAAACAGTGGAGGTGATATTATCCTGAGCTACATTTCAGTACAAAACCTACCAGTATTAAGTCCTGCTGCTGGGAGACCATCTCTGACTTGTTTCAGCAAAGAGACAATAAAAATGTAAAAATAGCAGATAACCCTTGAAATTCCAGTGTCAGCCCCAAAGAACAGCTTCCAAAGATGAAGAGTGGGTGGACTTCCAGAGACACAGATTTAGATTTCTAACTTTAGCCTGAACTTTCTGAAGCTTCTCAGCGGTACCAGGAAAAAGATTTGGTGTGAAGGAGGCTAAGAATAGCAGCTCAAATCAGACTGTGGAATTAGATGAGTTTCAATCAGCCATGTGTCCCCCCCCAGTGTCTTTCCCTCCTCCCCAGCCTCGCTGGGACAGGGACACCCATAGAGCTGGAGAGTTGGAGCTGTAAGAGAACAATGACAACAAAAGCTGACATTTCCTTAATGATTAGGACTTGCAGGCTGTATGCTAAGCACTCAATAGATGGGTTCGTTTAATATTTCCAATATTAGGAGTAACTCCATTTTACGAATGGAAATATTTATACTTAAAAATATCAAGAAACAAATCCAAGGTCAACCAGCTGGTTAAGTGGTGGAGCTGGAAAAAGAGCAATAGGTGCTGGGAAATAGAAAAAATGGAAAGAAGTAGAAGACTAAGCACCTTGATAGGAAGAGGAGAGCTTCAAGCATTGAAAGGGCTAAATGCGGCACTACCCAAAATAGCAAAGACTTGGAACCAACCCAAATGTCCAACAATGATAGACTGGATTAAGAAAATGTGGCACATATACACCATGGAATACTATGCAGCCATAAAAAATGATGAGTTCATGTCCTTTGTAGGGACATGGATGGAGCTGGAAACCATCATTCTCAGCAAACTATCGCAAGGACAAAAAACCAAACACCGCATGTTCTCACTTATAGGTGGGAATTGAACAATGAGAACACTTGGACACAGGAAGGGGAACATCACACACCGGGGCCTGTTGGGGGGTGTGGGGAGGGGGGAGGGGTAGCATTAGGAGATATACCTAATGTAAATGACGAGTTAATGGGTGCAGCACACCAACATGGCACATGCATACATATGTAACAAAGCTGCACATTGTGCACATGTACCCTAGAACTTAAAGTATAATAATAAAAAATATATATATATATATATATATACAAAAAAAAAAAGAAAGGGCTAAATAATGGGTGGCATGGGCTGCTTTCCACCTCTATTGGAAACGAATAGAGATTTCTTAGACTACAGCAAGAAAAAAGGAATTTGGTTAGAGAGCGAAGAAAAAAGAAAAAACTCCTGGATTGCAACACTACGTGACATAACATTCATTGTTAAGAGACAATGATTAACCTGCTGAGTTAATTTTAAAAAAGGGGTGGGGGAAGGTGGTTTTGTGCTTCTCCAAGTGTGTTTCACAGAACACTAGTTCCTTAAGATATTAATAGGAATAATCAAATATACTCAGGAAATATTGTGCTAAATAGAGTTAAACAGGTTTCTTTAGTGAAGGAGCTCTAAGAGCTTTATGAGCTCAGTATGTTGTGAAACTCTAGTGGTGGAATAGAGTAGGTGGCGTTTCCCAAACTTATCTGACCAGAACCCGTTTTCAAACTAGTCTTTCCTCAAATATACTTGGGGAAGGCCTGGGGTTTTCTGAGATGATTTAAGTATGGAACTTTCTGGAAGCTAGGGACTGGCCTTGCTACTCAAAGTGAGTCCGTGCACTTCATTATCATTGTAAGCATCACTTAGGGGCTTGTAAGAAAGCTTAGGTGCTTTCTTACAAGTATCTGGCACCTTGGTGCTCCTCCATGGGGCTTCTCTACACGGAGAGCTTGGACTTCCTCGAAGCATAGCATTCTCAGAGTACTGGACTTCTTCCATGGCAGCTGGCTGCCAAGATGGAGAAAACAGATGCTGCCAGATTCTCAGCCCCACCCCAGACCTACAGAATCAGACTCTGCTTCCTAACAGTATGCCCTGATGGTTTATTATATGCAGATTAAAGCTTGAGAAGCTCAAAATTTCTTCAAGCCTCAGGATATGGTAACACACAATTCTACAGCAGCCATATCTCTAACATTAGCTGTCTGCTATATAACAAACGGCCTGAAAATTTACTGTCTTGAAACACTAATGACTTATTTTTCACAATTTTGTAGGTTGACTTGGCTTAGTTGGTGGGTTCTTCTGCCTTCACTAGGCTGAATTCATGGGCTGGACTGCCAAGGTTTCACTCTTGTATCTGGCGCCTTGGTGCTCCTCCATGGGGCTTCTCTACGAGGAGAGCTTGGACTTCCTCAAAACAGCATTCTCAGAGAACTGGACTTCTTCCATGGCAGCTGGCTGCCAAAGATGGAGAAAACAGATGCTGCCGATTCTATTAAGGCCTGGCTTGAAAGTCCTAGAACAGCACTTCTGCTGCATTCTACTTATTAGTCAAAACAAACCACAAGGCCAATTAGATTTGAGGAGAGGAAAAATGGTTTCCACCTCTCGATAGGTGAAGTACCATGCATATGCAAGGCAAGGAATTGGTAATGGCCGTCTTTGGAGACTATCTACCATACTCTCTACCCCCTCTTGAGTGATATTAGATGCTGTGCATGATCCCTTCTTAAACTCTAAGTACTTGAAAAATGCTTTAATATGTGTCCCAGACTGGCTCCTCCTCCAAGGTAAACAGGAACTTCAACCCACTTTACAAAGGAAAGGTATGTCCCATTTATGGAATGCCAGTGCCAGGGGTGTGGGGAGGGGTGTTAGGTCTCGTTATTCATCAACACCAACTAAAATCATTTATTCTAAACCTACTATGTGCCAGGAACTTGGTTCTGCATATATAGCATTATATAGTATAATGTACAATTCTAAGAGTACTTTCTCAATGATTTCCTATCCTTCTAATGGTAGGAAACAAACACTAAACTAGTAAATCATTAAGTAAACAGAATAATTTTGGAAAGCAATAAGGCTATGAAGAAAATAAAATAGTGTGATGTGATTGTGAGTGACTTTCTAAGTTGATTTAAATTAAGAGGTCAAGGAATACCCCGTGGAGGGATTGTCATTAACTGAGACTTGAAGGATGAGGAGGCAGCTGCTTGAAAAGCTGAGATCACAGTGGCAAAGAGTGCAAGTGCAAAGGCCCTGAGGCAGGGATGGGCTCTACATGCCTAAGGGGCAGAAAGAAAGTCACTGGACCTGGTGCACAGGTCTCAAGGGGCAGGGAGCCTGAGATGGGGCAGGAGGAGTGGGTGGTGGGGTCAGGCGTTCACAGGGCTCTGTAGGTGAGAGCGAGAGTATCTCATTACTTTCTGACTGCCATGGGAAACCACTGGACAGTTTAACGCAGGATGTGACACAGCTTGATTTGCACTTTTACAAAAAGACTCTGGCTGCGTGAGAAATAGATTATAGAGAGAGGGCTGGGCACAGTGGCTCACACCTGTAATCCCAGCACTTTGGGAGGCCAAGGCAGGCAGATCACTTGAGGTCAGGAGTTCCAGACCAGCCTGGCCAACATGGCGAAACCCCATTTCTACTAACAAATACAAAAATTAGCTGGGTATGGTGGCGAGCACCTGTAATCCCAGCTACTCCGGAGGCTGAGGCTTGAAAATTGCTTCAATCTGGGAGGTGGAGGTTGCAGTGAGCTCAGATCACGCCACTGCGCTCCAGCCTGGGTGACAGAGTGACACTCTGTCTTAAAAAAAAAAAAATTATGTAGAGAGAAGAGCAGAAGCAGAGAGACCAGTTAGGAGGCAAATGCAACATTCCAGGCAGGAGGAAATAGCAGCTTGCACTAAGGTGGGGCTCTGGGTGCGGACGAGCCAGGTGGAGTATCCCTGTCCTCGCCAACCTCCTACCATCAGGGAAATGCAGTCAGACGTCATCCCAGACCCTGTGGTTCCACGTGAAGAAATACATGTCTTGATTAGGACTTCACAGGGTAGAACATTGCTCCAAGTCTCTTATCTTTTTTTAGTTTTATTGGGTTTAGATGATGAGGATTAGAATAAAATTTTCCTACATATCCTTTTGTATCTGGAAATATGTGACCATGAGACACTTTATTTCCTTCCTTAATCTTCCAGGGTCCTGACCCAAAATCCAGATTGGTCTGAATTAGGTCTGGTCTGCATCTACTGCAGCAGAAGGTGAGTATAATACCACGGTGAACCCCGGCAGCAGTTTACGGCGCAGCTAGTTAATATTCACTGACTACCTTTGTTCATGTTTCAAATATTTTGGCAAGGCCATCCATCACCTCTTGCCTTCAGAGATTAAGCAGAAAGAAGCTGCTCTATGATTCCTTTCTTCCCACTTGAACCCAGAATGTCCACAGATGCTATATCTGGTGGCCACCTCAATCCCACAGGTACTCTTTAGTTGGGACAGCATGAAGTGACAAAGTTTGTATTTCTTATTTCCATGATATTACCATCTTTTTAAATCCTTTACATGTTGCTGCTTCTGATTTTGCAAGCCATGGGCATGATGTATAACATGTTCAATTTTCTGAGATCATTTCAATTTTTACATTCAATGTATCATTCTAATTGTTATACATTGATGGTTCATTCAATGTATAACAAAACAAATTTCATTTTTTATACTTCTCTAGTTTCATGTAAGCTCCAAAATCAGGGAAAAAAAACTACTTATCAAACCCTATCTCTAAATTTTGTTCAGAAACACAATCACTATAAATAATCTCTGCCTCTGAGAAAGTTTCAATAGGTGTAACTTTGTACATCATTGACTCCTTCAAAATAAAATATTTATCCACTATGTGCCAGGCCTGTGCCAAAAAACTCAGAATCTAATGCAGTTTTGAGCATGATGCTTTAATCAATTAAGAACATAACAAATGACCTTTGTTCATTATAAGCGAATTTCGTTCTACTCTGTTGGGTAGGAGTATACCAGATGGATCAGGTAAACAATGTGACAGGGAGAGAAGCCAGGAGAACAGAAGGCTCTAGCAACACATATCTCATTTCTGCCTTTATTTATTTCCCCAAAACCTTTCTTAAAGTCTGCAGCTAACAGAACAGGCAGTTTTGGAACCTTGACCCCAATGCCTATTTGTTCATGGGTTGGTAAGAGAAAAGGGACTTAGTTTCCCTAGGGGCTCATCAATAAAGAAAAAGAATGGCTTTCTCCTCCTTATTCCTCTGGGAGCTTGGAATAACAGTCATGTTCTGCCTACTAGTTGCAGAAGCTGTTACTTGTGAAGTAAGACAATAGGGTTGATAGTAAGCTGGGTTGATATGGTAAGGAGGGGGAGAGAGAGAGAGAGTGGGGAGGAGGGAGCGAAGTAAGAGGGGGGAGGAGAGAAAAAGTGGTTTAATAAAGAAAACAAGAGCAGTGATAAGAGACTGTTAGAAAGGCAATGAGGAAGTCAGAATCACAGAATCCTGAATGAGAAGTGCAAACTTACTCTTCCAATCCTCTTTTAAAACATAAAGTAGGCTGGGCATGGTGGCTCATGCCTGTAGTCCCAGCACTTTGGGGGGCTGAGGAGGGAGTATCTCTTGAGGCAATGCATTCCAGATCAGCCTGGGCAACATAGTGAGACCCTGTGTCTACAAACAATTTTTTTTTCAAATTAGCTGAGCATTGTGGCATGCACCTGTAGTCCCAGCTACTGGGGGATAGGGGTGGTGGGGAAGGGCTGAGGTGGGAGGATCACTTGAGCCTGGTGAGTTGTGATTGTGCCACTGCACTCCAGCCTGGGTAACAGAGACCTTGTCTCAAAAAAAAGAAAACAGACTGAAGTGACTGAAGCAGAGCGGCAGGGGTGAGACCGGGGGACCTGGCTCTTCTAATTCTCAGAGCCTTTTTTCCCACATTAACTTCATTTGAGGATTTTGAGAAACTCCAGTTATGTCCAACTCCTACATAGCACCTTGCACTGTGTAAATGTTGAATGGCACTCACCCAGGTAGTGGCGATGACAGCAATCATATCGGTATTAGCACAAAGCTTTCCTCAGGTCTCTGAGTAGCTTTCAATAAGGAAAAGTCAGTGACAAGGGCAACAGCCAGGGTATAGAGCCTTGCTGAGATCTGTGGTTTATTTTTAGTTTGGAACTCCTCTCAGTCTCAGTTCTTTCTCCATGGGGTTTTCTCCTTTAAAGCTGTTGTGTGGGATGCAGGTGGCTGTGGGGAGGAGAGAGAGACTTCTAAAAACAAAGGAAAGAATGGTTTTCAACCACTCAGGATAATGGCATGGGCACAAACCTAACCAGTGGCAGCTCGTTGATCCAGAGCTAGAGGGGGTGCAAGAGAAGGAAAGAGCAGAGAGAAAAAAAGCGACCCCTTATAGAACTGCCCAAAAGAGGAAAGCCTCTGGAAAATGACTGGCACAGGGAATTTTATAAGATTTTAAAGAATAAATAAATAACTCTGCTTCCTGCTCTCTCTCTCATGAGACAGTTCTGGACACAGAAGAGTGGCTTCAACATGCAAAAGGAGAAGATGCAAAAAGAAGAAAGTGGAAAACAATGCGTCAATTCCCCTCATGCCTATATGTCCAGTTTAAAGGAGATCTATCTGAGCATTCTGTTCGTTGAATGACTTATCGGGGAGGAAGGCTATTTCCATAGGATAAGAGGTCCCTCATCTCTTCCCCTCAATCCATCCTTTTCTTAAAAGCCAGGTTCCCAGCACTTTGGGAGGCCGAGGCGGGCGGATCACGAGGTCAGGAGATCGAGACCATCCCGGCTAAAACGGTGAAACCCCGTCTCTACTAAAAATACAAAAAATTAGCCGGGCGTAGTGGCGGGCGCCTGTAGTCCCAGCTACTTGGGAGGCTGAGGCAGGAGAATGGCGTGAACCCGGGAGGCGGAGCTTGCAGTGAGCCGAGATCGCGCCACTGCACTCCAGCCTGGGCGACAGAGCGAGACTCCGTCTCAAAAAAAAAAAAAAAAAAAAAAAAGCCAGGTTAACCTTCATAATGTTTCTGGGTAACTTATATTTGTTTCCAAAACTGCCCATGGTTCCCAATGCATACAGTTTTGTCAAGCCCAGTGTCACAGGCTGATACTCAGGCCCCATCTAGTATACATGCCAGCTTTGTCTCACACCATTCCCCTTTAGATACCGTCTGCTCTCCACCCTCTGCCTGAACCGTTTCCTATTTCCCAAACACATTCCATGCTTCTCCAGTTCTGTAACTTGCTCCTGCTGCCTGGAATAACAGCAGTAGGAAGAGTCTGGACACTTTGCTTTAAATCCTACCTTTATTAATTTATTAGCTGTGTGACCTATAGCAATTTTTTGAACCATTGAGTCCCATTCCCTCATCTTTAAAATTAGGGATTATAACATCTGCCTCACAGAATCATAGAGATCAAATTAGATAACACTGTAAAAGCAGCAAACATAATAGGTGCCCAATAAACGTTGGTCCCTTCTCTTTATTATCCTTCTATACTGAGTACAAATATTACCTCCTTCTTACTGTAGGCAGAAGAGCCACTCTCTCCACTGTACTGAGCAAACAGTTATGGGAGAATATTCATGGCACAGTGAGGGAGGTACCAGGTCAACCAAGTCCATCTTGGAAGCAAATGGGCTGGCAGATGACATGGTCATATGTCCTCCGACACAGAGACTTGCAGTTGTAGAGCTAGAAATCCTTACAGATTATATAACCAGGTCTCCTGTCTAATAGATCAGGAAATGGAGGCCTAGTGAGAAATCAAGACTGGACTCCTCCCTTTTGCTCTTTCCTTTTTACCATGCCTTGAATAAAGGCCAAAATTAGCTGAGCCATCCAGAGGTCCAGGAATGCCCTGTGATAAGACTGGAACTGAACTGCGAGCCAAAGAGCTTCTGCAGAAGTGTCCAGTCCATTGCCTTTTTTCCATACAGGGATGCACATTTTACCCACTCAGCACTTATTGGGCTTCTACTAAGGGTTGGTCCACACCTATAAGGAAGATATTCAAATGTCTGAGACAGCCATCATCCTGCCCTTAAGACTGACAGCCCAGCTAGAAAGGTGTCGTGTGTTGAAATAATAGCCATGCAGTATGGGAACCATGTGCACACCCCCATAGGAGCACTGAAAGATGGGGTGGTGCTCCCTGGGAGAACAGAAAAATCATCACAAAGAAGGAGAAGAATGACTTGGAACTTGAAGAATAAGCAGCTCGCTGTGTAGACAGATGTTGGGACGGGCATTCTCACTTGATAATTTATTTTTATTCTTCATACAAACAATGACAAGAGCACATGCTGGAGGTGAGGCTGCACACCTGTGTCTGCTGGCAACTTCTTTCTCATCACAATGGAAGATTCAGCTCCAGAAAAGGCAGCCAAGGACTGTCTCAGGCTGTGCCAGGGATATTTATGAGCCAATTGCCAGCTACTCATTATCTTCCCTACTTTATTTGCTTTCCATCAGTTACTTCTAAGGGTTCCCACATCACCTCCTTTATTGCTGGGATTAAGGTGAGCCTAGATAGGAGAAATCAGGAGCTCAGATATAGACAATTCAACCCAGAAAAAAAAAAAGACAAAAGCAAGTAGGAAAGCTCTTACGTTAGAAATAAGTGGGTAACCTCTCAAAAGGTGTTTTTGCACAATGGGTCAGTTGGGGTTTCCAGAAAGTAGATGCCAAGATGGAGTTGGAAGTGCAAGAGATTTATTGGAGGCAAGACCTGTGAAAGATAAAGAGAAACAAAAACAAAAAGGGGAGTGAATAGAGAAGGCCTTCAGTTTACAATAGAGGTTTGACTCCTGTGAAAAGAAAGGGGAAAGAAAGAGGAATAAGTAGAAAGTTCAGCAGCAAAGATTGCCCAGAGAGGAGAAATGACTGGCCTTTTACCGTGCTGAGCTCAGTCATTGGCTAGGGCAACCTGGGCAGGTCATGGCTTTGGTCCCTCAGGAATGGGCCACTGACAGCACACCTCACAGCTGGTTCTCTCTCTCTCTTTTGTTTTTTTTTTTTCAAGACGATGTTTCGCTCTTGTTGCCCAGGCTGGAGTGCAATGGTGTGATCTCGTCTCACTGCAATCTCCACCTCCCAGGTTCAAGCGTTCTCCTGCTTCAGCCCCCCTAGTAGCTGGTATTACAGGCATGTGCCACCATGCCCGGCTAATTTTGTATTTTTAGTAGAGACGGGGTTTCTCCATGTTGGTCAGGCTGGTCTTGAACTCCCGACCTCAGGTGATCTGCCCACCTCGGCCTCCCAAAGTGCTGGGATTACAGGCATGAGCCACCGACAGCAGGTTCTCTCTTAAAGGGAGACGAGCAGCACCTCCCCATGGCTGCTGAACACTTGTGTCATCCTACAGCAAAATAATTTAGAGGGGAATTTACTGTGCTAATAGATAGTAGAAACTTGTTGTAGGTATGCGGTGTATAAACATGGATCTTAAGATGACAGATTAAGCCGGGTGCAGTGGCTCACACCTGTAATCCCAGCACTTTGGGAGGCCAAGGTGGGCGGATCACCTGAGGTCAGGAGTTCGAGACCAGCCTGACCAACATGGAGAAACCCCGTCTCTACTAAAAATACAAAATTAGCCAGGCGTGGTGGCACATACCTGTAATCCCAGCTACTCAGGAGGCTGAGGCAGAAGAATCGCTTGAACCCAGGAGTTGGAGGTTGCAGTGAGCCAAGATCGTGCCACTGCACTCCGGCCTGGGCAACAAGAGTGATACTCCATCTCAAATAATAATAATAATAATGGATTAATTATAGACTTTAATTGCTAGTTAATTAATGGTATACCTGGCAGGAAAAATTCTATCACTAGCGCTTATGACTGGTCTGGGCTGAAGGTGTGTCTTCTAGCCTTGAGCTCTTAGCTCTCTATGAACCAAAACTCCCCACCCTCTAAGCAAGTGACTGATCACTAAATGAAAAGAATTGTAAGTCAAAGTTCTTAGCTAGATATAGAGAGAGAATGGGGTAAGGGAGAAAGAATAATCCATTAGACCTTCAACACTGTGAGTATAGGATTCCACTGGTCTTTTCCCCCTGTGAATCACTAGCTGTTCCCAGTATCTGGCACATGGAAGCCCTCAAAAAATATAAGATAAATTAATCAGATAAACAGATGAATGTCACCCACCCTCTCCAAATAAAACATTTCTCTCTAGCACTTATCCTTCCCTGTGTTTAGCTTCTCAGACATACTAATTTTGATTTTGTTTCCTATATTCTTTTTACACATCATGCTGTATCCACTGGGGTTCATTGTGGTAAAGAACAGAATCTTTTCTTTTCTTTCTTTCTTTTTTTTCTTTTTAAGACAGGGTCTCACTCTGTTGCCCAGGCTGGAATGCAGTGGCTCACTGCAACCTCCACCTCTTGGGTTCAAACGATTCTCCTGCCTCAGCTTCCCAAGGAGCTGGGATCACAGGCAGGCTCCACCACGCCCAGCTAATTTTTGTATTTTTAGTAGAGATGGGGTTTCACCATGTTGGCCAGGCTGGTCTTGAACTCCTGGCCTCAAGTGATCCACCTGCCTCAGCCTCCCAAAGTGATGAGATTACAGGCGTGAGCCACCATGCCCGGCCAAACAGAATCTTTTCTAACTAGGTAGTTAGTGATATTTTCAGGATATTAAATGGTTTACAAAATCACTTGGAAAGAAATAAACCCTAGGCTGAGTTGTTGGGAAAGACTCCCGAAGCACAGTGCAGAACTGGGCCACCAAGAGAGCTGTTGCCTCCTCTGCAACCAGAAAGTGACCTCCTCTAGAACCACAGTGCTGCTGCAGCAATAGGAGGCTGCCAAGATAAGGAATCCCCTACGGCTGCCAGCTCTGGATCTCACCAAACCTGCAATGACATAAATGAATGCCCCTACTCTGCCCCTCACTACCCATGAAAGTAATGAATAGATGCTGGAAGCTTTGGTAGTGCTGCTGCAGAAAAGCCAAACACCACCACATGCCTGTCGGCTGCAGGAGCATGGCCCCCATCACATTTCTGTCTTCTCAATCTCATGTGAGTATTCCTCATTGATCAAACCTGAATCACCTGAGAAAGCCTACCTGCCAGGGAGTTTACTAGCCTCTGTGGAATAGAAGAAAGCACTGTCAAGGGAGGGCAGAGTGAACTGAATGAGCTATTCCACCAGATTCCCCCTTGGGAGGAAACTTTGGAGAAGGTCTTATCTGCTTATATCCTATCAATTGAAAAGTAAGTATCTTCAGTCCAATCCTAAGGTTGGGTTGTACCCTCACTTGTGAAGAGATTTAAAACAATGTTTGTGAGTTTTCTATGGAGATTAACAAACAAAACAAACAAACAAACAAAACGGGAGTCATTGGTCTTTAGTTGTCTTCCGCAAGGGGACAGTATTCTAGCTCACTGAATACCTCTTTCCATGCCATGGGGTCACTGATGCCATTCTATAGGCATAACTTTTGTGAGGTCAAATAGTTAACAACCCTTGAATAGTTCATAGCAACCAAACCACAACTCCTAGGTTTGACTTTTGGTGCTCTTGTGACTTCTGTGTCTCCATGGGAATCATTATAACATGGTTCACATTAGTCAGTAAGAGATACTGATTGAGCATTCACTGCATGCCAAGCACCGCTTGCACATGTAATAGGCATGCTGAATAAGTACAATTGTGACTTACTCAGACCTGTCTCTGTCTCCCATTGTCCCTAGATAGTTTATCAGTGGGTAACCTTCCCTGCCCCTGGAGAAAAGCCCTGGCAGCTTTAGGTGCTTTTCTGCTCACTCCTGGGTAGTAGAAGAGCACTGGAGTCACTTGAAGCCACAGGACATTTGAGCTTCAGGCACAATAATTTCCAGTCCCATGTAATAATCAAGAGGCTGAACTTGACTTAGCTATGAATTCTCTCTCCTCAGGCCAGCTTCAGGCTGGAAGCCCATAGAGGGGAAGGAGCCTTGGCACTTGGCTCTTCTTGCCCCCATCACAGTCTTCCCGACTCCTTCACTGCCAGATCTAAAGGAGAAGCAGAGTGCGGGGAGGTCAGTGGGCAGGACAGCACATAACTGACTGAATGGCTTTGTGACCTCTGGGCCTGGCACATGGTTAACACCGTTGTCTCTGGGAAGGGGAACTCTTTTCTCTCATGAAACACATTTTTCCCAATTTTTTTATTGCATTAAGAAACACATAGTCCGGTTGCAGTGGCTCACGCCTGTAATCCCAGCACTTTGGGAGGCCAAGGCAAGCGGGTCATGAGGTCAGGAGATCGAGACCATCCTGGCTAACACAGTGAAACCCCGTCTCTACTAAAAATACAAAAAAATTAGCCGGGCATGGTGGCGGACACCTGTAGTCCCAGCTACTCAGGAGGCTGAGGCAGGAGAATGGCGTGGACCTGGGAGGCAGAGTTTGCAGTGAGCCGAGATCGCACCACTGCACTCCAGCCTAGGTGACAGAGCGAGAAAAAAAATGCTCACACAGCTAATTTTCTTGCCTTCATTTCTAATAAAATCTGTCTCAATTCGTCTCAAAATAAATAAATTAATTAATTAAATAAACACATAACACAAAATTTACCATCTTAACCATTGTTTAGTGTAAGGTTCACTGGTATGACATGCATTTATAATGTTGCACAATTATCACTGCCATCCATCTCCTGAAGCCTCTTCATCTTGTAAAACAGAAACTCTATACCCATTAAACGTAACTCTCTATTTCCCCCTCCTCCAGCTCCTGGTAATCACCATTCCACTGTCTCTGTGATTTGACTGATGTCCTGGAACACTTTTGTGGCTCTTCATGAGTCACCTGGTAGACCCATCTGTCCTGCAGCACCCGTTGACCTGGTGAATATATCGCTATTTTTGGTGGCTTCTTGCAACTCTTTCCTCATCGCTGGGTATTGGGCATGTATCTCTGGCCCTTTTCTATGGAGTTTCTCCCCTCCTCCCTCTCCTCTCAAGACGGGACCTGTCCTATTGGATGGGATGCAAGATGGCTCCACCTCATCTCTTGTGAGGGGCCTTCACCCAGTCCACAGGAAATGGGGAAACACTTGTGGCATCCTTGCCCTGCAAAGTCCTTGATCTGGCTAAGGGGACTGAGAGACATGAAAGAGGTCCTCGAAGCTGTTTCTTCTGTAAATCTGCAGAGGGTGTGGGGGTGGTGGGATCTGTCTCACACTCCTTTCAGTAGCTGATAACTGTCATATTGGTGCCTCAGTCAAAACAGGAGCAGGAATGGCTCCATTGTGGCCTCCTGCCGCACAGGCCCTCTAACATTCCTTCCCAGGGATTTGCACTGGCCCTCCCTTCATGCAGTAAGTTCCTCAGCTGTAGAAATTGTGCTCATGTTCCTCTCTCCCATCACTAACCAGCCCCTTCACACCTTCAAGATCCAAGCTCACCTCCCACTCCTTTGGTGAAGCTTGAAGTCTTTTTGAGTCTTCTTCAGAGCTCCCTAAGACATTTACCTACATTTTTTACTACATTTTGTGGTGGTGTTTTTTCCCAACTATTTGCCTTACCTAGTAGCCTAAAAACTCTGCAAGGACAGGGCCCATGTCTTAGTCAAGTTATACCTCTAGTTTAGCACTACACTCAGTCCATAGAAGGCAATCCATTTGTTCATCCAGCACATGTTTGTTGAGTGACTACTATTTGACAGGCACTGTAGACACCTCAGTGAACAAAACACACAAAGCCTTCACTTTCTTGGCACTGGAAGGGACAAATGCATTTACGGCACTTCACGGATTCCCCTGACAGAAGTCCTTGTCTATGCTAAGTCCTACACAGGTACAGCCCATTGAAGAGGTGAGTAAGATTCTCAACTACTTAACGTGGAGGCTATGGAACACACTGCTTCTTTTCTTAGTATCCATCACACTTCTAAACAGTTGCCACTGACACTTCTGGAGAAGTCCAACCTGTTCCATGCACATAGACTCACCCATTCAATGACACAATTTATTCCAAAGAAGGCCTGGTAGACGTCTTGAAAGTCTAATATCGGGAGCTCTGTCATGCTTCTTGAGAAAGGTGATGCTTCTCAGAAGGGTGCATCCTTCCCCATGAGTCACCTGGGTACATATCCAGCCCAGGGCTCCCAGCAGCTACACCAGATCTGCGCATGCAGAGAGGGAGAAAAAAAATGCTCACACAGCTAATTTTCTTGCCTTCATTGCTAATAAAAGTTTCTAGGTTATGAGACTACTGTTTTGTTGCACTTCTTTGTGAAGGGAGGCAAGGACAATAAAAATAAGGCAAATCATACCTGAACATTGGAGGTGGAAAATATCTGTGTCTGAATCTGTCAGTGCTAACAAATATATGCATCGAACTCATTGATAACAACAGTCTCTTCATAGAGCATGACCCAGATGTACACTTATAGGGCCTAGAAAAGAAAAAAGAACATTTCCCCTATACTTTACTCCACTAAGCAAGAAATTCTCAAGATGGAACTTCCACTAAGGCAAGATGACTCTAGAAGCTCTGCGCTTAGATAGTTGTGAAGGGCAGTGGGCATAAGAAGCTTCAGTGATAGTTGTTAACAGTGTAGGTTCCTAGACCCTAAACATTTTGATTCAGGGATCAGTCAGAGCCCAAAACATCATAGGATTTGCTTTAGCTTTTAGTATATTTGCTATGGAATTTACTCTCTAGAGAGTCAATTTGTCAAATACCTGTGCTTGATCTCAGATTAAGCAGGGTAGGGCAGACCTTCCATGGGAAAAGTTGATGGGCCATTTTCAGACTTTGGGTTGACACAGAGAAGAGCATGTCCCAGGGAAGCAAAACTATGGGAGGCTGGACCCTGAAGGAGAGGATGTCTCAGAAAAGATTAGCTCTGCATCGGATCAGCACATAGGCTGCCGGTTCCTGGGAGGAAGGGAAGCAGCAGTCCTGTGCTCAAAACGGAGTTACATAGCAAGGACACAGAGCACATTTTTCTCTTAAAATCTTTCTAGTTTCTCAGAAGGCTTCCTGAGCTAAGACTCCTCTGCCCACGGTAAGCCCTTCTTATAAAAGAGAGTGTCAGTACCACAAAACCAAGTTGTGAAACAGCTGAGCTGCCAATTTCCTGGAGGCCATCACTGAACCCAAGGCTGGGCTCAATCTGAACTGAACTGGCTTTTCCAGGTATCTTGACTCAACCAGCCCATCCAAAACTTCCCTACAAAAAAGGAGATATCACCTTAGCAAACACCATTGGTTTGTCCTCTCCTCTCATTTGGAGTTGGTGTTGTTTTATGGCACTGACAATGGAAACTAGGAGTATAAATGAGACATTCTCAGAGCTAAGTAGAGTCTATTTAGTTTTACGACCAGGGGCCAGGAGGCATGCTACTCCGCCCACCTCCCAAGAGACTGCTGCAAAAATAGGCCAGCATGATGCTGAATCTGCAAATGTAAATGCAAATTTCAGTATGACGCTCTGCCCTAGTGGTTCTCCCTTTTGGACCTGCTGCTTCTCTTTCATAGGTTTCATGTTTCATCCCCACCCCTACCTTCTAACAGATGCTATGTAGAGTTCAAATTCCCTGTGTTTACTCTGTTCTTCATCTGAGATGCTCCCCCACTTTCGTCAATCTATCGCGTATCTTCAAGATCTAGTTCTGGTTTTCAACCTTCCATCAAGGCGTGCTTGACAACTCTGAACTTCAGAAAGCCTAACTGCGTAATTGTAATCTATAGTGGTGGTTCCAAAATTCGACTACAAAACAAAACTCTGCAAAGACCTTTTAAAGTATTTAACCATTACCCTCCTCAGATTGTCCAAGTTAGAAATTTGGGCGATAAGGACCAGGAAATCTGTCTTCTGTTTTGTTGTTGTTTTTAAATGTTTTCCTAGGCCCTCATTTAAGAATCACTGGCCTAGAAAGAGGTTGTACTTGATATATACTATCATTATTGTTTTTTAATTGTTTCAAGTTTGCTACTTCTGTTTTTTCTACCAACCCACTGCCTCCCCACTCCTACACACACACACACACACACACACACACACACACACACACATACACACACAGCTACACATGTACACACTGACAAACATACCCACAGCATAGTGCAGGACTGAGTACATGGTGAAAACAAAACAAATTATTGATTCTAGATTACCATACCTGAGGATGAAAGAAGGAAACAACATGGTGGGAGTACGAATTATTTATATCTTCCTTTTGTTGTGACTGTATGAAGAACAAATCTTGCACATGACTCAAACCAACCTCTCAAGAGCTCGTCTTAAAGGGTAGAGCTGGTTTTCACTGCACTGGACGCCAGCCTGCGCATGCCCTTCAAGACTCCCTCAAGGGAAGGGAGGGTGAGGATAAAGACACAGACAATGGGCTCTTGGGAAAGGGAACTAAGTAAAGCCAGGCCTTAGGAGAACTGAAAAGCCATCAGAAATATTAATAACAATGATAATAGCTATTATTTTGTGAAGATTTACTATGTGCCAGGCACTATGCTAAGCAATTCACTGGCAGAGATACCCTTTTTAAAGATTCCTCCTTCGAAGATGAAGAAATTGAGTCCCAGAGAAGTTAGGTCATTTGTCCAAGTTCACAAATGACAGAGTCCAGAGTCTAATCCAGGCCTATCAGACCCCAGAGTTGGAGTGTTTAACTATTTTTTCCATTTCTTAAGAAACGGAAACCGATCCAAAATGGCTGCCTCACCCCTAGAGCTTTTATACAGGCTCTTATCTCTATGACTCTAGTTTAAATTCTTGAGAAAATCTGACTAGCTAATGAATTAACTGGATTTGAGTCGAGCGTTCATCCATGATCCAATCAGCCATAGCTAGAAGGATCACTCTAGAGCTCTGATTGGTATAGGCAAATTGCCTGATATAGCCATCATACCAGGGCATTGCTTACTATCCCTGAAACCAGAACACTGGAGTAGGCGATGTAAAGTTGTTACCTCCCTCACATGTAGAATCAGGCTAATAATGGTACACCCCCACAGTGCTATTTTGAGATTTAAAGGAGTCAATCTATATGAAGTGCATAGAACAGTGTGTAGTTCTCAGGAATTGCTATGAATGGCATTATTATTCAACTTATATTACCACCACTTTTGCTTTCATTTTCCAGTATGCTATGTTCTTGACTCCCAACTTAGTTTGATTGCCTTGACCCACACCTTTCAAAAGTATGTACACGAAGAACTGCCAAACTTAAACCTCTCTGCAAACACATCTTTTCCAGTGTAGCTTTGATAACACCCTGAGACAAGCAGAGGTGAATGTCTCCCAGTCTGAAAATTTCCAGGGCTATTCTACAGTGACCCAAACCAAGGCTAGCTTTTATCTTTGGGAAAGCAATTACAAAAATCAAGTCTTAAGGGAAGAAAGTCGATTTCGCAGAAGTGATAGGCAGAAATGCCCTCCAGCAAACTCTGTCCCTGAAGTCACATGTGTTACTCCATTCATTCATTTAACAAGGAAACGATGCATTAGTGACTATGAATAACAGGTAAAAAGGACTATCATACTGAGCGTGTCCAAACAACCAAAGTGAGTGATGCGTTGACATTACATTCCTAAGTAATGCCAGGACAAGAAATATGGGGAATTTAGATATTACGAGAAGGTAGTTATGAATCTCAGCACAGTTCTCCTAGAATCAACTTAAGGAATGCTTTATTACAAAATAGGCATTCAAACGTTTGTTGATTTGATAGAGTCAATAAAGTACAAAGAGAGACATCTCTGCCATGAAGCATTATCCAAACAAGAAAGGTAAGGAATTTCTCACCCTCAGTTATGCTGTATGTTATCATAACAACCACTAACTTACATCTGTGTTATTTCACATTTCTCGTTTGATATTCCCAACTATTCCCCTGCAAGCAAAGTAAGACCATGATTATCCAATTTTACAGATGATAAACTCGAGGCTCAGCACCTTCTACTGCTTGTCACTGCTAGTAAAAAGAAAGTACAACTAGAACCCAGGTCTTCTGACCCGTGTGTCCTTCCCCTGCCCCATGATGCCTCTGTGTGAGGTGTTTCTGGTATAAACTGTGGGAAGAAGCTTCCAAATAGCAAGATCAACTGGTTGAGAAATCATTGGTGTTTTTTAAAGTGTGTCCCTTAAATCACTATTGTGTCATGATAATCCAAGAAAAAGCTTGGGACCCACTGCTCACCATGCAGCCCATCTTGATTTACAATGCACATTAGTTTATTAAAGGCTCTCAGCAATCGTATCATAAAGAAACCCAAATAACTTATATTAGCTCTGTATTCCTCAAACTTATATGAGCATAAAACTCTGTAGGCATTATTTATTAATATTACACAGAGGCATATTCTTTGGAAAACATTTGAGACTGTGTTAAAAAGAATTATTAGGTGACATGAGTAAATTAACTAAAGAATTATGCCTCACTCTACCTTGCCTAATTCCCAGTTTCTTAAACCCAAACTAATTTCTAAAAGCAATACTAATTCTAAGTATAATTTCTGGACATCCAGTTAACTATTAGAAAGCATATAAGGAGAGATGAAACTTTAAAGAACTGAAGCAGGTTTTAGAAGAGCAGATTAATATAGAAATAGAGTTTCTACCTCTACCCTCCCCATGGCCTACAGGAACTCCAGGTGGCCTTCATACTTCATTCTTTCTCTCCACCTACATAGCTTTTCGTTTATCTAGGGTTATGTCAGTGGCATGAGGAGTAAGATATTTTTTTTTTCTGTTCCTCATCTGTAGCTTTCCCCACAAAGAGAACTTTCTCTAATCTTCAGGGATAAATCTTTGGCTTTCTGGAGATCAACATCTGATATAGAAAGTGGAGGCTGGGCGCGGTGGCTCATGCCTGTAATCCCAGAACTTTGGGAGGCCAAGGCGGGTGGGTCACGAGGTCACGAGTTCAAGACCAGCCTGGCCAATATGGTGAAACCCCGTCTCTACTAAAAATACAAAAATTAGCTGGGCGTGGTGGCATGGCGTGGCACACCTGTAGTCCCAGCTGCTCCAGAGGCTGAGGCAGGAGAATCACTTGAACCTGGGAGGCGGAGATTGCAGTGAACCAACATCATGCCACTGCACTCCAGCCTGGGTGACAGAGCAAGACTCCATCTCAAAAAAAAAAAAAGTGGAAAATTGGTCACCCTGTGGTTGCCAGGAACAATGACTGGCAGCATTAAAAGAGAAGGGAAAGGAAAGCATGTGCCTTAGAAAAACCTTTATCAAGGATTAATTAACCAACCAAATGAAATCCACAGCACAAACAGAGTGAGTGAGCCCTTTCTTCATCAAACTACTTTTTTACACCTTCTTATCAGTGGCTGTGGCTCCACAGCTAACTACCTCCCCAGTTTATGTTCCTTTCCCTGAAAGAATTTGACTTTTGACTCTCCTTGACTGCACACGTTTACATCCATATTAAATTCATCAGACCAAACTGCCAATTTATTGCACATGTATCCGATCATGCAGTTCAGGACATGCTATCCCAAAATATGGCACCTTGGCAATCAAGGAAGCCGCAGAAGCAGAAAGGCCACTCTCACTTTCTGCCTCCCTTCTCCCCTGAAGCCGGCCATAAAATCTAGCTGATGCTCCCTGAAGTAGGTCATAAGATTCTCATTCCAGAGGGGTCCTCCCTATACCTGGGGAAAAGGAGTGGAAGACACAGAGACTCCAAGAAGTATCAGAACAAACAGGCCTGCTGAGTTTCCCCCAGTTCGTTACCATTAGGTCACATCCCCTTTGTCTGATCACACCTCTACATGACTGTCTACTCTTCGTCAAACCTAAGCATAAAAATACGCAGCTCTCCCTGTTTCTTTGAGTCTTTATTTCTGAAGATTCCTGTGTCACATATCAAATAAATGTGCATGCTCTTCTATCATTAATCTGTCTTTTGTTACAGGAGTCTCAACCATGAATCTTGTGATGGGTGAAGAAAATATATTACTTTTTCTCCCCTACACTCACTTGGGGAAACACACGTGCTTCCTTGCTACACATGATTCCAAAGGGCTTAGGCTTCCCAGAGACTTTTCTTTTCCTCAGGTTCTCCTCTCTCAGGTTTCTTCTTTACCATCAGAGAATTTTTCCAGGAAACAATCCTGAAGGTTAAGACAATGTGACCTAGAGGGCATAGGCGAGCCTCTCCTCTGGCCCCAAGGCTGCAGATAGCCACTTCCTTAGTGGCCCAGCCTTCTCTCAAGAACAGGGAACACATTTATTCCAGGAGGGTTTCTCCAGAGCAGAGGTGAGTTAACGCCTTCCAGAGGGTCAGCTGGGCCACTCCACTGTTCCCACCTTCCCTGCCCTCATTGTCTCCATCAGTTATTTTCCTGGGAGACAGTGCACGCTGCAGTTCCTCCCAGGGAAAACAGCAGTCTGAGGACTGGGGTCCCGGAGCACAGACCACCCACTCCATTGTTTTAGTCAGAACAATGTGGCTAACACTGAGCACTGTTGAGTCACCTCTTGGGAAATCGGCATTCAGTCATCTCTTTTCTCTCTTGCTCTGAGAAAGAGCAAAATTAACTTTCTAGATGTTACCAAGTAAAGGATTCTTCCTTGAGGTTTTTAACAACCCAAGGCAGAAAAAAGCACCCTACTCAGATGATTCCCCCCTTAGCTGCTTGTAATGTTCTTTGTACCATTTTTTTTATCACTCTACTTAGGTTAAAGATGGTACTTTTCGCAAAGGTTAATAATAAAACTTCTGAATAATAAATATTGCAATTTAACAAACAAAAACAAATGTAAAACGTACAGAAGTTTTAAAATGTTTTAGTGTATATATATTATATAAATATAATTAATGTTAATAGACATTAGTAAGTTCACATAACAATGCTATGCAATAGGTATGATTATCTCCATTTTACAGATTAGAAAACAGAGGAGGAGAAAGGTAAATTCCCTATATAGCTAATATAGTGAATAGGAGAACTGGCGCTACTTTACTTTTTCCTGCCAGTCTCTTTGTCCTTGTGTCCCCGTCACTGAGAGGTATTACCCCTCTGAAAAAGGTCCTCCCTCTTGCACGCACACATGCACACACAACCACACAGTTAAAAAAAATTATTTGGACATTTGTTAAAATGGTAAGGAAGACTTTATTCAAGGCCACTGAATTGAGAGATATTACAATAGAGGAAACAGATCAGGCTCAACTCCAAATAAATGGACAAGTAGAAATTTATAGCCAAGGAGCAGGGGGAGGATATCAGTGGATGGAAAATTACTAAGAGGAGACAGCTAAAGCAGAGAGATTCTTGCTAACCCAACTTCACAGGATTCTTGCTGAGGGCAGGCCGAGGACTTACGCATCAAAGGCTGGGGATGAGGAATTTGATCAGCAGTCAGAGGTGATCAGATATCAAGGGTGAAGGGATTCTGGCTAAACTGTATTCTTACTAAAACTGGGTGTGGTATCAAGACAAGGCTGAAGTGTAATCCAGAAGAGGGCTGAGGATCTTGAGTAAAGTTTGGTCCAGGAGGGAATCTTTGTCAACACTCACACCCACGCCCACACCCATATGCCCCCCCGACACACACGCACGCACACACGCACAAACCAGGTTGCCCTCTGGCATTCTCCATAGTGTTTTTCATTTTCTAAGAAAATGAGGACTGGGTAGAGTGGCTCAGTCCTGTAATCCCAGCACATTGGAAGGCTGAGACAGGAGAATCACTGCTTGCACCCAGAAATTCGAGACCAGCCTTTGCAATACAGCAAAAGACTGCATCTCTATCAAAAACAAACCAACAAAAATTAGCTGAATGTGGTGGCATGCACTTGTAATCCCAGCTACTAAGGAGGCTGAGCTGGGAGGAATGCTTGAGCCTGGGAGTTCGAGGCTGCAGTGAGCTGTTATCAAGCCACTGCCCTCCAGCCTGGGTAAGAAAGAGAGACAGAAAAGAAAGAAAAGATTGGGGCAAGTTAATGATCGGAAAGCTGGAGTTCTAAACACTGCCTCCCTTTTTATTTTTGATCTCTGGGACAAGTGAGGATAAGCGGAGGACCATTCTTTTTTTTTTTCTTTTTTCTTCTTGGAACTCCCTGAGAAAGTCTTGGGTGCTGGGTATAGAGAAAGAATAATTTTTTCTTCAACTCCCATAGGTTATTAGTTGAAATGGACCCCTATAACAAGAAAAAAACAAACGGAAGTCTATTAACATATACATTTCCTATGTACATGGGAGATACCAAGGGGATGAGTAGCTCTCAAAGAGGTGGCTTTGAATTCCAGCTTATAGAGCATCTTCAACAAGGAATAGTAAATTTTTAGAGAAGTGACAAGACAGAGTAAAAGGACTTCAACTCTCTAGGGGCAGCAACTTGGGGGCAGGCAAATCAAAGGCAGTAAAGGCTAGTTAGCAAAGCGCAGTCATGTAGATTTGTGGGGTACCATCTCAGAACGGTTTGTAAATCGGGCAGCCCTCAGAACCAGGAGACATTCAGAAAGTTCCACTTCACAAAGTGGGCAGGC
Organism: Homo sapiens; assembly: GCF_000001405.40. NCBI lineage: Eukaryota > Metazoa > Chordata > Mammalia > Primates > Hominidae > Homo > Homo sapiens. Next base: position 38,603,929 of record NC_000015.10, on the reverse strand, counting down.
AGCATTTACAGACAGAAGACCCAAGTAAGCTACAGAAACAGCTTGATTGGTTACATCTGCAATTGACTGATGCTCTGCTACAGTGATTGGCTGAGACTGCTTTATGTTACCGAAGTGTAAACCTAAATTAGACTTTCAGGTAGTTCCTGTACTAAATTAGGTTGCGGTTCTTTACATAGAGACTCAAAGTCCAGAGCCATCCTCAGGCCAGATTTAATTTAATTTAACAGTGGTTAACCTTTGTTCTCACTGGTAGAGAGGGTAGGTGGGATACCATTTGTCTTTGGAAATCTGTGTCCTGCTTTTAGACAAATAGAGGGAGGGCAAAGAGCTTTCCTTCATCTGAGTATTTTTTAACTGTCTTCAGCTAAAACATCCTTCATCTTAGGAGGTGACCTATTCTGGTCTCCCACAAGGAGAAAGGCAAAACAGAGCAATCAATCATCTGGGGTCCCAGTTGTTGCTGCTAGGTCTCAGTGGGCCCAGCCGAGGGCAGCACTCCAGGAGAGGCAGGAGGCAGGAAAGCCAAAGCAAGCAATGCAGATTCCAGCTTCGGGCTGCCTCAGTAAAGCAAATCTGCTTCCCGCATGGGCTGTTTCAGCTTCTCATCTTTGATCGTTTCTTCATCCAGGGGAATATTTAATGCTTTTTAACTGGTTTTCAATATGTCCCTATTGTAAGAGGCCAAGTAGTGCTATGAAGTCCTTCCCGCCATGATTTCAGACAAAGCATGTTTAGCAGTCCCGCAGATTTAAGCACACAGCAGGGTTAGGAAAAACTGAAAAAATGTTGAAATGAGCAAAAAGATTAATGGATGTTCTTTCAACTGAATGCTAGACATTGTCTGGAGCAGGGCTGTCTGATTCTATAGAGGTCTGTGCTTTTCTTTGCCATCGACTATTTTGCATCTCTGTAGAGATAGACATTAACTTGTGGAGAACTAAATAGGGATGATTCCCATTTGTAAAAAAGCAAATCAATTTTATCCTGTAAAGTTACCCATTGATTTCTACCTTGTGGCACAGGCTGTTTTTGCATGGAGTAGTAAATTAATTTCAGCATTCCTGATTCTCTATAGAAATGACTAGTCTTTGGATTTTCCCTTGCACTGGTTATAAAATCCTACAGTCTTCTCAATCTTTTTTTTTTTGAGACAGTCTCACTCTGTCGCCCAGGCTGGAGTGCAGTGGCGCGATCTCGACTCACTGCAAGCTCCACCTCCTGGGTTCACTCCATTCTCCTGCCTCAGCCTCCTGAAGAGCTGGGACTACAGGCGCCCGCCACCACGCCCGGCTAATTTTTTGCATTTTTAGTAGAGACAGGGTTTCACCGTGTTAGCCAGGATGGTCTCGATCTCCTGACCTCATGATCTGCCCGCCTCAGCCTCCCAAAGTGCTGGGATTAGAGGCCTGAGCCACCGCGCCCAGCCTTGTCCTCTCAATCTTAATGAGTTAAGTAAAACATTTGACATGTGTGCATTCTATATTTGCATGTGTAGGGGAAAAGAAATATTTTTCCCCAACTTTTATTTCCCTCAGGTTTATGGCTGAGGGCCCCATAACAAAGACATTTGTTTAATACACGTTTATTTAATACAAGTTTTAGATGACACGAGAGCCTTCAGAAATGAAGACTCAAAGAAACAAGAAAACCTGTGTATTTTTATGCTGTTTGATGAAGAGTCGACAGTCATGGGAAAGTGTAAATTGGACAAAAGGAGTGTGACCTAACGATAACAGTGTGACCATTACCTAACGGTAATGGACTGGGAGGAACATAGCCAGGCCTGTTTGGTCAGATTCTTGTCTGTGTCCCTGTGTCTTCAGAGATAAGGGTGTTCTTTTCTTCCAAGTATAAGGAGGGCCCCTCTGGAATGAGGGTCTTATGAACTGCTTCAGGGAAAAAGGTTAGAGAGTGGCCTTCCTAGGTTTTATAATGTACCTCACGGGAGAAGGGCAAGGGGAAGGGGAAAGTGGCCTTTCTGCTTCTGCTGTCTTCTCAGATCCCAAGGGGCCATATTTGGGATAGTACATCCTAAACTCCATCATATGAGAGTCATGATTTTATGTTTTTTAAAAACTTATTCTCTGACAGTAGGAATTCCACAATATGGTAACTAACATTAAAATCCTCCCTCACTCCTCTGCTCTTGAGTGTGACCCAAAAATTAGAGCAGATGCCAGACCATTCTGGCTCCCAAAAAGATGCAAGTTTGCAAGTAAATAGACAAAGTGTTTCAAAGTTCCTTGTGAGGGGACTAGGATCTCATGAACCATCTTTGGTAGAGACTCCCTGGGGCACTGAGGCTGCACATGGCCTACCTGAAAAGCTCAGCCAGCAAGGTCTGTGTACGAGCCGGGCATATCTTCACATGTATGCTACACCTAAACTAGGAGAGCTTGGACAAAATCTTCCTAACGAAAGGGGTGGGGAAAACTAAAATGAAAAAAGCAAAAGAGAATTCTCACTGATATGACATAAGTTACTTGAGAATTTTGGACTCTTCAGATTGCACCTTTTCTCTGCAATATCATTAACTCACACATATCAGCATGGACCAGAACATGGCTATAATGAACAGGGGGTGGACACCGACTTTACCCGAGCATTCCATCCTATGCCTCTTCTATTACTATTTGTTTCCTTTAACCCTACTTTGTGTAAAAAAAAAAAAGAAAAACAGGGCTGGAGGCAGTGAGTAGTGAGTGGCCCATTGTCATCCAATTGCCTGACTCCACGCCTTGCTTGCCACTACCTCTGATGCCCATCTACAGACAAAAGCAGATGAGAAATAGCACCACAAAGGCAAGTACCAGTCATCCCTTAGTATCTGCAGAGGACTGGCTCCAGGACCCCCTCTCCAACACACCTCGGATACCAAAATTCAAGGATGCTCAAGTCCCTGATATAAAATGGCATGGTATTTGCATATAACCTACATACATCCTCCAGGATACTTTAAATCATCTCTAGATTACTTATAATACTTAATATATTTTAAATGCTTAATATAATTTAAATGCAAATTATTGTTATACTGTATTGTCTTATTTGCCTTATTTTTTATTGTTTTTTTTTTAATATTTTCCATTCCCAATTGGTTGAATCTGTGAATGTGGAACTCACAGATGTGGAGGTGTGACTATAGCCTGGTGTCATTAAATAAGAAACAGAAAGGAGACCCAAAGACCATCTGGTTTCCAAGCATGGTCCATAGACCACCTGCATCAGAATCACCTGTAGAGCTTGTTAAAAATGTGGACTCCTGTTGCCCACTTCTAAAGATTCTTAATTAGTTGGCGATGCTTATGTATTCCATAGTTTGTAAGTCATTATATTTTAGTCCAAATATCAAAAAGAAGGGAGCATGCTGCTCATCCTCTGTGGGCCTCACTTAAAAACTAGTCAGGGTAGAGCCAGACTGGGCTCCAGATATTCCACTGTGCAGGCCCTTCCCACCATGCTCTGCTGCCTGTCAGGCACAGTTAAGGTGGAGAAATGCAACCAGCTTGATAAAAGTGTTTTGCTTTTCACCATCTGTCTCCCATTTTCAAACCATCTGTTCCTTCTCATGAATTATTTTGGCTATTAAGGCACTAGAGGGTGATGATTAAAGCTGAATTCTGGACCCAGAATACCAGGATTTAAATTCTAACTTTGTCACTTTCTAGCCTCGAAACCCTGGGTAAGTTACATATCCTTTCTGTGCCTGAGTTTTGTAGTCTATAATAATTCTGATGGGGCTCAGGATATACCACCCCAAAATATGACTGTAGGAGACCAGAATATGCCACTCCAAAATATGCCTCTTTGGCATATTGATGATTTTGAGCTGGTTATTTTGAGAAACTGAAGACAAAGAAGTGGCTCTGAAAAGTTACCATTTTGTAAGAGAAATTTACATTTATAAAGAAAATCTCCATTTGTAAGTGTGTCTCCCTCTGCTAAATCACTAAAGATTGTTAACCAGTGGATGGAGAAGGCATGGACTTAAATCTGGATAACAAACCGTACCCTGTTTTAGGGTCCTTTCCCTGGCCATCTTGTCTTAACCAGGCTTTCCCCCACAACAAACACACACACCCTTCTTTCATAGAATGACTGTATTTAAGACTTAAATGCTTTCTTTGAGATCTACTCTAGAGATTTACCTATTTCTCTGGGTTTTCTCCCATGTATACATGAGGTATACATGTTCATAAACTTCTGTTTGTTTTTTTCTTGTTAATCTGTCTTTTGTTACAGGGAGTCCCAGTTAAGAAGAGTAGAGAGAAAATTATGTTTTCTCTCCTACATAGCTACTATTATTATTGTAAGAATTATACTTATTAAAGGAAGAGTGATGGTTTAACACAGCTTGTGAGAATTCAAATAATAGTGCACGTACTGGGTCTTAAACAGAGCCTGGTGTGTCATAAGTGCTCAGTAACTATCACCCTTATTATTATTGGCTTCTCTCCTATGATTTCCTTAAGATAGGAAGAGAGGGCTGGGCGTGGTGGCTCATGCCTGTAATCCCAGCACTTTGGGAGGCCGAGGTGAGTGGATCACCTGAGATCAGGAGTTAGAGACCAGCCTGGCCAACATAGTGAAACCCTGTCTCTACTAAAAATACAAAAATTAGCTAGGCATGGTGGCAGGCGCCTGTAATCCAGCTCAGGAGGCTGAGGCAGGAGAATCACTTGAACTCAGGAGGCGGAGGCTGCAGCGAGCCGAGATCATGCCATTGCACTGCAGCTTGGGCAACAAGAGAGAATATCTGTCAAAAACAAAAAAAGGAGAAAAGAAAAGATAGCAAGAGAGTTTAACAATTAATTGGGCAATCATGGGTATAATACTGAGGGGCAGTTGCCCCGTTACAATCTTAAGTCACTGGCCCATTACTCCCTCCCTTGGCCATTATCAGTCAAGTTCACTGCCCTTGAAGTTCTGCCCAGGTGCAGGTTTGGTGAGGACTGAGCTTGGCTGGTACAGAACTGTATGAGGCAAGTGCAAGAAAGGAAGGGAACTCAACCGTGTCTCTGTAACTATGCAGTATGTCATTCTAAAGTATTTTTCCTTTGGTTAGCTGTCAGTACAATTAAATGTGCATTTTAATACTTCTTCCCCTGATAAAAATCAGAAAGACATCTACTAAAACAGGGCATAGGCCTCTCAGGGAAGAAAAAGCTAGAACATCTTTCCTCCCATCCCCATTTTATCTTGTTCTTATATACCCCACCTCAAGCTTTCCTCCCAGACCTCCAAGTTGGTGACTTTCTTGGACTGGAACTAAATCCTGAGATCAATTCAGCACCACTTGCTGTGGCAAAGAAGAACTAGATTTCTTAAGCATTTAGTATAAATATCATCTTTTTAAAAGAGGATGACATTAAGAAGTGGTAACTACCAAACCAAAGCCTGTTATTTAAATAAAGAGCAAGTGTTACTTGTCATGAAGCTGAGTGTGTTGAAGTGTGCCCCAGCAATGAAAATCACTTTAGATAATCACTCTTCTTGCTTTTTAGAGAATTCATGAGACTCACCACGCATATCGAGGAGTTGGAAAGTCATTAAAAGTGGCTGAAGCATGGCATTTTTCAGCGCACCTTGCAGCACAGCTATTACACTGCCCTGGGGTAACACAGCTTGGTGAGCATATGAGTTTCTGAGACACTGCCTATTTATTAAACGAGTATTCATTCTATGATGCCCTGGGCACTAGAGGCCAGAGGGGATGTATAAGAAGATTTTGCTTTGGGCAGGGCACCATGGCTGATGCCTGTAATCCTAGCACTTTGGGAGGCTGAGGAGGGAAGACTGCTTGAGCTCAGGAGTTTGAGACCAGCCTGGGCAATACAGTGAGACCCTGTCTCTACCAAAAATTTAAAATTTAGACAGGTGTGGTGGTGTGCTCCTGTAGTCTCAGTTACTCTTGAGGCTGAGGTGGGAGCATAGAGGTCAAGCCTGCAGTGAGCCATGATTGCACCACTGCACTCCAGCCTGGGTGACAGACAGAGACCCGACCTCAGAAAAAAAAAAAAAAAGACTCTACTTTTTCTGGCCACTTGCTATCTGTTTAACTCTTGGAGTAAATACTGTAAATCTCTTTGAGGTTCAATTTTTCATCTGGAACACAGGGAGCAAAATAATTAACTACATTGGTTAGGATGCTTTTGTGGGGACTGTAAGTTACAGAAAAAGCATGACTCAAGAGCTTTAACACAATCATGGGACATCCCATTTTACATAACAGAAAGTGCTCAAGTATGAGCACAGGTATGCCAGGTAATTGGGGCCTGCATCTGTTCTCTAGGCTCTACCCCTCTCCCTCTGTGTTGGCTTCCTTTACAGCATGGCAATTCCAGGCAAATGTCCAAACACCGCAAGGTCCAGGGGAAGGAAGAAGGATGTCTTCCTGCATGCCTCATTTGTATCAGTGAGGAAACCTTCCCTGCTTCCCAACCAGGTACCAGACCAAGCTTCTCCTCCTACTTCATTAGCTGATACTATGTCACATGACCACCTCTGAACCAATCACTGGTAAGAGGTTACATGATTGGCTTAGACTATTCAGTACTTTCCCCTGGGCTGAGGAGAGAATCACCTTCCATGTCGACCAGGGGATAGGGAAGAAGACAAATACCTAAACGAGAGCAGGACTCTGCCAACAGGGATGGAGCAGTAGCTGGCTGGTGTGTAGGCACCCAATGCTGTCTCCTACACTGCCCACCGAACTCTTGTGATGAATAGATGAGACCATGAATGAAAATGGCCTACCACAGCGTCTGACTGTGAGGATAATAATAGCAGCTGACATTTTGGAGGATGTATAATGTGGTAGGCACTTTAGATGAGTTATCTAGTTTAATTAATACTCTGTGGGGTAGGAACCATTATCATGCTCATCTTTTTTTTTTATTTTTTTTTTATTTTACTTTAAGTTTTAGGGTACATGTACACAACGTGTAGGTTTGTTACATATGTATACATATGCCATGCTGGAGTGCTGCACCCATTAACTTGTCATTTACATTAGGTATATCTCCTAATGCTATCCCTCCCCCCTCCCCCCACCCAACAACAGGCCCCGGTGTGTGATGTTCCCCTTCCTGTGTCCATGTGTTCTCATTGTTCAATTCCCACCTATGAGTGAGAACATGCAGTGTTTGGTTTTTTGTCCTTGCGATAGTTTGCTGAGAATGATGATTTCCAGCTTCATCCATGTCCCTACAAAGGACATGAACTCATCATTTTTTATGGCTGCATAGTATTCCATGGTGTATATGTGCCACATTTTCTTAATCCAGTCTATCATTGTTGGACATTTGGGTTGGTTGCAAGTCTTTGCTATTGTGAATAGTGCCGCAATAAACATGTGTGCATGTGTCTTTATAGCAGCATGAATTATAATCCTTTAGGTATATACCCAGTAATGGGATGGCTGGGTCAAATGGTATTCCTAGTTCTAGATCCCTGAGGAATCGCCACACTGACTTCCACAATGGTTGAACTAGTTTCCCATCTCAGGTGCAGAGACACACATAGGCTCAAAATAAAGGGGTGGAGGAAGATCTACCAAGCAAATGGAAAACAAAAAAAGGCAGGGGTTGCAATCCTAGTCTCTGATAAAACAGATTTTAAACCAACAAAGATCAAAAGAGACAAAGAAGGCCATTACATAATGGTAAAGGGATCAATTCAGCAAGAAGAGCTAACTATCTTAAATATATATGCACCCAATACAGGAGCACCCAGATTCATAAAGCAAGTCCTTAGAGACCTACAAAGAGACTTAGACTCCCACACAATAATAATGGGAGACTTTAACACCCCACTGTCAACATTAGACAGATCAAGGAGATAGAAAGTTAACAAGGATAGCCAGGAATTGAACTCAGCTCTGCACCAAGTGGACCTAATAGACATTTGCATAACTCTCCATCCCAAATCAACAGAATATACATTCTTCTCAGCACCACACCGCACTTATTCCAAAACTGACCACATAGTTGGAAGTAAAGCTCTCCTCAGCAAATGTAAAAGAACAGAAATTATAACAAACTGTCTCTCAGACCACAGTGCAATCAAACTAGAACTCAGGATTAAGAAACTCACTCAAAACCGTTCAACTACATGGAAACTGAACAACCTGCTCCTGAATGACTACTGGGTACATAATGAAATGAAGGCAGAAATAAAGACGTTCTTTGAAACCAACGAGAACAAAGACACAACATACCAGAATCTCTGGGACATATCATGCTCATCTTATAGATGAGGACACTGAAGCACAGATGGGTTAAGCAACTTGACCAAGGCAGAGTCTACATTCAAACTCAGACCATCTGACTTCAAAGTCTGATTCCCAGGTACTCATTCTGTCAGATTTACTACACTGATGTTAGTCAAATGCATCACCTCATCCCTTCCCTAATTTCAAGAAATGTATGGGTTTTAGGTTCAATGGGATTAACACACAAGAAAAACGAGAACAATATGAGAGAGCAGCTAGTGACACTCTCAATGGCATCACAGAGGAGGGAAAAGATCAATGCACTGAGCATAGGGAAAGACAACACAGGGGACATCAGGAAGGCCACCGACAGGGCCTGGGCTTGGGGCAGGTGTGAGTGTAGGGAGGCAATGAAGGGTACCCCAGACTGGTGTGGCAGCTTGTAGTTTCCAGGAATAAAAAGCTACTTTTATATGATCTGGGCAAAGGGAAGCAGTTTTGGTATCCACTAGTTAGAGAAGTGACAAAGCATTGCAGAGGTCCAGCCACATTCAGTTTTAGGAGAGAGACTGTGAAGGCTGCTTCACTCATGAAACCATGGGCTCTTGTGCTGCATTGCAATGGACTTCATGAGTCATACAACTTTGTGCAAGGGAAGCCCAATTCCATCAGTAAACTCTTAATGATCCTAATAGCCTTATACCTACTGCCCGTTCGTTCGGTCTGTAGTGTTATGAACTGCAAAAAGAAGTTTAATCTTGGTGGACAAGGCCTAGAATCCCCCTCCCACTCCCAAATCATGTCAAAACCTCCTTCTGCAGATTTGGATTGGATGAAGTTTGGTGCTAGAGTTCGAACTCAAGGTACCAACGCACATATCCTCATTTCTCACATCTCCTTAGCTCCCTAAAGATTATATTCCCAGGCCTGCTCTATGGGTGCCCACATCTTCCAAATGACTCTGGAGATGTGGACCTAAACTTCACATTCTTGTGAAAAGTGTCCTGGGTTTCCCAGTCAAAGACTTTAGAATACTGGACACTAGATGGTATTTCCTGAGGAATATGACTTGAGGAAGGAAGAGGGTTTCTCTTTACATCTTACACCATTTCCTATAGCACCAACTTTCATGCCAAGAAAGGACCTCCAAGGACATGCTCTGGGCAGGGTTTGGGGTCATATTTTTTTCCTACATTGATGTGTCTGAATCAAACTAATGTCCCTATCCTATTTAAAGACTTGTCTGTTGACAGGTTTTGGTTCTTGTTCAGCATCATTTACTTAAAGTTACTTCCCAGATTTCTTTGCTTTCTAACATTTAGGCATTAGGTACCTTTCTACGTTAATAAAACAGAACTAAGTTGGGAAAGGATGTTCTTTGGAGTCAGAGATGGATTCCAAATCACAGCATTGTCAATCACTGCTGGGTGCCTGTGGACCCAGGACTGAACTTCTGAGGCAAAGTTCTTGTGTGCCAGACAGCACAAGGCTCCCATCTTAACAGGGTTAAAAAAATAAGTATAAGGAAGGCATCTAGATCATTGTCTGGCACATAATTTATGTTTTAAGTGTTAGTTTCTCATTCGTCCGCCCCCCATCCTTTTCTCTTTAGAGAAAGCAGGGAAATATTCAAAATTGTAAAAGCAAAAGAGCGTTTTGTAGTTGTCATGATGCCTGATGATGCCACTAAGTTACTGTGTGACCTGGGGTGAGTCCTTTACCTTGTCTTGTTTCCATTTTCTCATCTACAAAAAGAAGAGCTTTCATATTCTCAAAACTACCCATATATTTTAAATTACATTTTTTAATTACATAATGTCTACATTCCCCAAGTTCTGAGTCATAAAAATTCCCGAAATTCATCGCCATGTCCAGGCTCCTGGGTCATCTCCCACCACTGGGTGTGGTCCAGTTTCTTCCGTTTCAAGTTTACCCACTGGAGCCCTCCTGCTTTTGATGTGTTGTCAAATGGCTGCTATCTAAGATTAACAAGTACTTACTGACCACTTAGGAAGGGGCAGTGGCAGGGATCCAGTGATAGGGATCTCCAAAGGACCCAGTGGCCAGACCTGTCTAGACGGCCAGCAGTTCAGTAAAAGTGACTGATAGCAAACACAGGTGGAAAAGAATGTAAGGTCACCTTGCCCTGTGATTTGCAAACTATGTGCCTCTGAGACCTGGATGTCCCTTAGAGCCCCTGGCAGCAGAAAGGGAGGGAAGGCAGAAGAAAACGGGCCCAGCCCCACTCCACCAGAGTGTGTTCACCTCTGATCCATTTATTTCCTGGGTTTCTGCAGAAGTTTCTGCTAGAAGAGTCTACTGACAAAAAGGGGAAAAAAAAGTCTTGAAAGCTACCCACTTTAATCTTACCCTTTCATTTTACATATAAGGAAACTGTCCTTTACACTTCAAAAGCCTCAGAATAATTCCTGTCCTCTTTAGATCCAACAATTCCACTTTCAGGTAAGTTAGTCCTAAGAAAATAATTATGGATTTGTGAATGTTTCAAGAATGTTCATCACACAATGCTTTACAGTAGAGAAAAAAATAATGGAAGCACCAGCAAGAAAGAGGAGTAGTTGAATAAATCTTTTTTTTTTTTTTTTTTTTTTTTTTGAGATGGAGTCTCACTCTATCGCCCAGGCTGGAGTGCAATGGCGCGATCTTGGCTCACTGCAAGCTCTGCCTCCCAGGTTCACGCCATTCTCCTGCCTCAGCCTCCCAAGTAGCTGGGACTACAGGCGCCCGCCACCTTTCCCGGCTAATTTTTTTGTATTTTTAGTAGAGACGGGGCTTCACTGGGTTAGCCAGGATGGTCTCAATCTGACCTCGTGATCCACCCGCCTGAATAAATCTTACATCCCCAAACATGGAAAACTGGGAGGTCTCCTATATTACAGATGAAAAGTACTTGTATGGAAAAAATGTTCATAATATATTGCTAAGTGGAACACAGGAACACAGACACATGCAGGTGTATTTGTTTTGCCTCTAACATCTCCATCTGTGTCATAGAACAGTCTCTAAAGGGACATCATTGTGTCCTGGCAGTCTGGCAGTCTCTAAAGGGACATCACTGTGCTGATAATGGTCTGCCATTGCCCTATGGCATCACCCATTCTTTCTCTCCTGCATGACCTCTTCACTGCCACAGCAAGACATCCATGCTACGCTGCCACGTCTGGATGCCCCAGTGCTTCCATTCCTAGTACATCAGAATTCTGCTGGGGTTTTGACAAAAACAGATAACTGTGAGCCACATTTTTTCTTGATCTTAAAACAGCCATGCTCATACTCAGAGCTGCACAGTCTTTCTTAAATGGTTCCATCCATTTCTGGCCATCAACCCCTATCCAGCAGGTGTCAAGTCCAGTTTGTCACCAAGAATTGGAATAGACACCCCGGAACCTTTCATTCTGCTTTCTGCTTCCACTTTCTCTGCCTTCTGTAACAGTAGAAGGTTCATTGCCTGATGCATGTGGCAAGTCAATATGCCGAGACACTAGGTCACAGCAGAGAAAGAGATTTAATCTTAGGGTCACCAAATAAGGATGTTGACAAAAAGAGTCAAACTCTGTAAAATATATGAAGAGATTTATTCTGAGCCAAATATGGGTGACCAATGGCCGGTGACACAGCCCTCAGAAGATCCTGAGAACATGTGTCCAGTGTAGTCAGACTACAACTTGGCTTTATACATTTTAGGGAGACATAAGACGTCAATCAATACATGTAAGATGTACGTTGGTTTGGCCCGGAAAGGCAGGACAACCAGAAGTTGGGGGGCAACTTCCAAGTCAGAGGTGGATTCAAAGATTTTCTAATTGGCATTTGGTTGAAAGTGTTAAGTTATTGTCTAAATACCTAGAATCAATAGAAGGGAATGTCCAGGTTAAGATAAGGGGTTGTGGAGACCATGGTTCCCATTATTCAGAGGAAACCTCCAGGTAGCAGACTGCAGAGAGAATAGATCGTCAATGTTTCTTATCAGACTTAAAGTCTGCTCTATTCATCATTCCAAAAGGGAGGAGGGTAGAATGAGACATGTCCAGCTTCCCCTTCCCATCACAGCGGGAACTGGTTTTTCAGGTTAATTTCAGAACTCCAGTGGCCGAGTGGAGGGGTCCATCCAGATGGTTGGGGGGCTTCGAATTTTATTTTTAGTTTACAAGGAGATGAGAAGAAACCTCAAATCCATCTCCCTGAGGAATTCAGGGTTAGGGTTTTGGAGTGGGCCAAAGTGTGGAGATCATTGATTATTTGAAGAGTGCAGGGGGAAGTCATGGGATGGGAAGATGAAGAAGCTGTATTCTCACACTGATCTCCTTCCTCTGTGTGGTCTTCAAACTGGTTGCTGGAATTTGGGGGTCTGAAAAACATCTTCCTTCATATCATAGCGCATACACCTGCACACATGCACACACTTACGAACACATAAAAACACATGCTCATAAACAGACCCACACATGAGAACAACACACCTAAATCCCAATGGTTCTTAGATTGCACTCAAAAAGTTGTGGTCCAATCAGTCACCCCAAGCCTCACAATCTTATGATATCTAGTTAAATTTCTCAAGTTTGGGCCAATTGGTATAAAGAAGCCCAGTGCCAGGTATTTTTGTTTGTTTGTTTGTTTTTAAAGTCTGACTTATAGAATATCTTTAAGGATACAGAATTTTGTATTGGTATTCTTATTTCTCAACTTCACAGGACATACATTAATTGAAGATTCTTTTAGAATGCTACCCATCTACTTTGCTAAACTTATCTGTAATTAGTACCCAGCCCCAGCATTTTAAAAGTTATGTGAATCTTCAAAGGTAGTCTTCTTCTTAGCAGGTTAACAATTTGCTCCCACAATCATATGCTTAGGCTTAATAAACCCTTTCTTCATACATATATTTAAAAAACAGAAGCTTCATCTCATACCTCTGGAATTACTAATCTCTAAAACTACTGAGTGTGGATTAGTGACATTTTACTGTGTCACTTATCTAATTGAAGAGCATAGAGCTCAGTCAAAATTAAGCAAAGATGGACCCTGATCCCTTTCCAGGCCATACCCTTTTTGGAACTAGTTTAGGGGTGTCCTGGCTGAGGCAGCTTCAGAGAAGATGGAAGGAGAGAGGCAGTAGACCTCTGAGATCAGCCAGCCCCTCCAGAAATCCGCTATATTTATGATCAACATTCTTATGATTTTGTTTTCTTGACAAAACAAGCTATTAAATTCAGAAGATATTTGACATTTATATTCATAGTAAAAATATAAGTATATTTTCGGTTCATATTTCCAAGTCTCAGATTAAAAAACAAAGGTGAGATATCCAAGGCCAACACTGAAATTCTTAGGGATCAAGCTGGCATTTGCCTCCCTAAACCACCAGACCAGGTGCAGCACAGAACAAGGGTTGCAGTGGGGATAACTTCCAGGATATAGAAAATGTTGGTAACCTTTTTTTTTTTTTTTTTTTTTGAGACAGACTTTCACTCTTGTTGCACAAGCTGGAGTGCAATGGCATGATCTCGGCTCACTGCAACCCCCACCTCCCGGGTTCAAGAGATTCTCCTGCCTCAGCCTCCTGAGTAGCTGGGATTACAGGTGTGCACCACCACACCTGGCTAATTTTTTGTATTTTTAGTAGAAACAGGGTTTCACCATGTTAGCCAGGCTGGTCTTGAACTTATGACCTCAGGTGATCTGCCCGTCTCGGCCTCCCAAAATGCTGGGATTACAGGCGTGAGCCACCGTGCCCAGCCGGTAACCATGTTTTTTTAAAAGTACGTGGCCTTTTGCCCTTTTTAATGAAACAAAATAACTCAGCACGGAGGGATCATGCAAAAATCAAACTGTATAATGTGAATCAGTTCTGGGAAGGCCAGTCGGACTTTTCACATAATACCTGCTAGGAACCAGGAAACAGAAAAGGGATGAAGAAAGGCAAAGACAAATGCTTTACCACCTGTGATGTAATCTTTTCAAGAAAAACTAGATACTCTTTTGGTCAGAAGGCCAAGCTGGAGTTTGGAGACGTGATGCAACTCTCAATTTGTTAGTGACTCACCCTGCAGCACTTATCTCCGTGCCTTGGGGAGGACTCTTGTGAGTAATGAACAATGAACAGGAAGGGAAAGTCCTCTGTGAATTAAGAAAAATTAGGCACCTGTCTACTAAAGTATCAGGAAAAATGTAGGAAGATTTGGGATTTCTCACCCCTTGGCCCTGAAAGCCTGGAACTGTGTTGTTCCAGACAGTCAGTTATAAAGGCTCATGCTAGTATGTTTCCAGGGGTCTCTCAGGCCCCTCGCCTCCTGCAGGTACCCAGTTCATCTTTAGATGTCTTTGGGTTCCTCGGTGGTCTCAGAGAGCTAAGCCTTCCCAGCTGCACCCAGGACGGGGTTAACTTCAGTGCCAGAGTTGATAAGACCCTGCCTGGCCTCCAGATCAGTGCTGAGATCTGAGTTAAACCTCCTTAAGAAACAACTAGACCTCAACAGCTTTCAAAAGGAGTAAAAAGAAAGAAAATGAAAGAAGGAATCTGGTACACTGGCAACCATTTCCCTGAGTTCTGTTCCCTGTTGGAATGATATGACTGCTTTCTGTTAGATATGTATCTGTAACTACAGCCATACTCCTCAGGAAAGACAAGGTGAGAATAAGTGCAAACGGCAGGAAAGGGTTACTTCTTTCTTACCCTTCTGGATGGACTGATGAGTAATGAGCACTAAGTACCTTCAGATGGTGGCTGACCTGCCAATCAAAGTGCAATACTGCCTGGATTCCAGACAGAACAGTTTCATGTGCATTCTCCCTGCAAAATGAGCAACTTTGGTTCAGTGAGGGGTGAAACTCTGAATACAAGGGACTGAAAGGACTTTTGTTTTAGACAATCTTTTGAAACCTTCATTTTCTGTAGCTCTCGTCCTATTCATGTCACTCAACAATGACTTACTGTTCAGAAAGAGCTGCATCTGCCAAAAACGTTGGGCCTTGAGATTGTGATTCAAAAGCCACCCCTGATTCTCAGAAACCTATCCTAGGTTTGGGATATCTGCTAAACTTTACTAAAGTTACGGCAAACAAAATATTAAGTTGTCCATCTCATACAACTCATCACTCGCTGCCTCCAAGTCAATAGGGCAAAAATACAGCTTTTAGCAGAGAAAAGAATCCTTCACTAAAGGAAGAAGTCAGGGGGGCCGGTGGGTGGAGGGCAGGGTGGACAGAGTTAAACGATTTTTCAGGAAGCTGGACCTTTCCTGCTTTAGCAGAGCTAGAAACTAGGTAAGTCATCCCGCTTGCCTGCGTTTCCTTGTATTTCATCTCTAGCCCAGTCTGTTTTACAGGCATCCTTGGATAGTTTACCATACACCCCTTCTTTTGTATACGCCTGTGTTTGTAAGGACAGGATTTCGTATGTACTCTTAGGATGGCAGAGGTGCCAGGCATCCACATTAAATGAAGATAAAATGAAAAGTGGTACTCCAATGTTCTGGAAGAATAAAAGGAAAATTCAGACACTAGTGGAATAGCAACGAATACAAGTTCGTGTCACTTGTGAGTCTTTCAAAGGGGCTGGAGACCAGGGAGAAAAGTGGCACCACTGAGCCAGAGAACTTCCTAGCATATGATTTCCCCTTTGCTGAGAGCAAGGCAAATTGAGGGATCCTTCATTTCAGTGCTCAGATCTGTAGCAGAAGCTGCAAGCAGGCTGGGTAGAACAACAAGGTAGAAAGATACTGAGAACACTGGGTGTCTGGAGTATTCCAGGACAGGATGGTGTAGGGTGGGAGCTTGAGGGACTGGGCAAAATAATCCCCAAAAGAGAAAAGACCATATCAGTCTTAATTTTCCCTAATTTAACCAGGTCTGAGCAAATGTCTGAATTTATGTCTGCATTGCAGAAAAATATTCACAGCTGTTGAAAGTAGATTTTGAGACTGGAGCACAGTTCCATTAATAGTTCAGTCATGAGAATAAAAGGTAAAATAAAAAGCTAAGAGTCTTGTTACAAAAACAAATTAATAAATAAAACTTCTGGGTTTGTAGTTAGAAAGACCTAAGGAATCATGATTGAATCACTTGATTTTATAATTCCCCATTTCTTAAAGGGAAGGCCCAAAGCCCTCAGAAAAGGAATCATGGAGAAGAGATTGTAGCAAGAACCACACTTCCGTCCCAAAACACTCGCATATATAAACACGCACACACACACAAAGTATGGTACCTGGCACGTGAGAACTGGTATCATAGGGGAACGTGGCCTCCACCAACATATTTAATAGCACATTGGCAACATTTGTACTTTCACTTTTCAAATAACTTGAAACTGAAAACTTAGGGTAAGGCCAGAAGTTTTAAGTCAGTGACTTCTCTTTCCCCAACCAATGGCTAAGTCACTTTAGGACAATTCTCACTTGAGGTGGGCCAAGGAGCAGCTTGTCACTAGACCAAAATTCTGACCCCATGACGCTCAGGTTTGTAACTTGTAGTTGATAGGACAGCTAAAAGGTTAGCACTTCCTTAGAGCATCAACAATATAGTTAGAGTTGGTTATTTACCATCTTTACCTCACCCAGCTCCTCATAATGGGTAATAACCAGCTAGCTGAACTGTTTAGGGTACAAAATCTATTATGTTATATTATGGGTAGGCAGTGTAGCAAAGTGGTGATAAGCTTGAGCTCCAGCATCACACTGACTTGAAACCTAGCTCACGGGTGTGTTCTTGGATGAGTTACTTAACCTTTCTAAGCCTTAAGTTCCTCATCTATAAAGCAAGAACAAATAACAATGGTAATTCATCACAAAGTTTGTTTGTGAGGATAAAGTGAAATGTATTCTTACTTTTTTTAATATACTTTAAGTTCTAGGGTACATGTGCACAATGTGCAGGTTTGTTTCATATGTATACATGTGCCATGTCGGTGTGCTGCACCCATTAACTCGTCATTTACATTAGGTATATCTCCTAATGCTATCACTCCCCCCTCCTCCCACCCCATAACAGGCCCCAGTGTGTGATGTTCCCCACCCTGTGTCCAAGTGTTCTCATTGTTCAATTCCCACCTATGAGTGAGAACATGCGGAGTTTTGTTTTCTGTCCTTGAGATAGTTTGCCCAGAATGATGGTTTCCAGCTTCATCCATGTCCCTACAAAGGACATGAACTCATCCTGTCTTATGGCTGCATAGTATTCCATGGTGTATATGTGCCACATTTCCTTCATCCAGTCTATCATTGATGGACATTTCGGTTGGTTCCAAGTCTTTGCTATTGTGAATAGTGCCACAATAAACATACGTGTGAATGTGTCTTTATAGCAGCATGATTTATAATCCTTTGGGTATATACCCAGTAATGGGATTGCTGGGTCAAATGGTATTTCTAGTTCTAGATCCTTGAGGAATTGCCACACTGTCTTCCACAATGGTTGAACCAGTTTACAGTCCCAAACAATAGTGTAAAAGTGTTCCTATTTCCCCACATCCTCTCCAGCACCTGTTGCTTCCTGACTTTTTAATGATCGCCATTCTAACTGGTGTGAGATGATATCTCACTGAGGTTTTAATTTGCATTTCTCTGATGGCCAATGATGAGGAGCATTTTTTCATGTGTCTGTTGGTTGCATAAATATCTTCTTTTGAGAAGTGTCTGTTCATATCCTTTGCCTACTTTTTGATGGGGTTGTTCGATTTTTTCTTGTAAATTTGTTTAAGTTCTTTGTAGATTCTGGATATTAGCCCTTGGTCAGATGGGTAGATTGTAAAAATTTTCTCCCATTCTGTAGGTTGCCTGTTCATTCTGATGGTAGTTTCTTTTACTGTGCAGAAGCTCTTTAGTTTAATTAGATCCCATTTGTCAATTTTGGCTTTTGTTGCCATTGCTTTTGGTGTTTTAGACATGAAGTCCTTGCCCATGCCTATGTCCTGAATGGTATTGCCTAGGTTTTCTTCTAGGGTTTTTATGGTTTTAGGTCTAACATTTAAGTCTTTAATCCATCTTGAATTCATTTTTGTATAAGGTGTAAGGAAGGGATCCAGTTTCAGCTTTCTACCTATGGCTAGCCAGTTTTCCCAGCACCATTTATTAAACAGGGAATCCTTTCCCCATTTCTTGTTTTTGTCAGGTTTGTGAAAGATCGGATGGTTGTAGATGTGTGGTATTATTCCTGAGGACTCTGTTCTGTTCCCTTGGTCTATATCTCTGTTTTGGTACCAGTACCATGCTGTTTTGATTACTGTAGCCTTGTAGTATAGTTTGAAGTCAGGTAGCGTGATGCCTCCAGCTTTGTTCTTTTAGCTTAGGACTGTCTTGGCAATGCAAGCAATTTTTTGGTTCCATATGAACTTTAAAGTAGTTTTTTCCAATTCTGTGAAGAAAGTCATTGGTAGCTTGATGGGGATGCCATTGAATCTATAAATTACCTTGGGCAGTATGGCCATTTTCACGACATTGATTCTTCCTATCCATGAGCATGGAATGTCCTTCCATTTGTTTGTGTCCTCTTTTATCTCATTGAGCAGTGGTTTGTAGTTCTGCTTGAAGAAGTCCTTCACATCCCTTGTAAGTTGGATTCCTAGGTATTTTATTCTCTTTGAAGCAATTGTGAATGGGAGTTCACTCATGATTTGGATCTCTGTTTGTCTGTTATTGGTGTATAGGAATGCTTGTTATTTTTCCACATTGATTTTGTATCCTGAGACTTTGCTGAAATTGCTTATCAGCTTAAGGAGATTTTGGGCTGAGACGATGGGGTTTTCTAAATATACAATCATGTTATCTGCAAACAGGGACAATTTGACTTCTTCTTTTCCTAATTGAATACCCTTTATTTCTTTTTCCTGCCTGATTGCCCTGGCCAGAACTTCCAATACTATGCTGAATAGGAGTGGTGAGAGATGGCATCCCTGTCTTGTGCCAGTTTTCAAAGGGAATGCTTCCAGTTTTTGCCCATTCAGTATGGTATTGGCTGTGGGTTTGTCATAAATAGCTCTTATTATTTTGAGATACATTCCATCAATATCCAGTTTATTGAGAGTTTTTAGCATGAAGAGCTGTTGAATTTTGTCGAAGGCCTTTTCTTCATCTATTGAGATAATCATGTGTTTTTTGTCTTTGGTTCTGTTTATATGATGGATTACATTTATTGATTTGCGTATGTTGAACCAGCCTTGCATCCCAGGGATGAAGCCAACTTCATCATGGTGGACAAGCTTTTTGATGTGCTGCTGGATTCGGTTTGCCAGTATTTTATTGAGGATTTTTGCATTGATGTTCATCAGGGATATTGGTCTAAAATTCTTATTTTTTGTGTCTCTGCCAGGCTTTGGTATCAGGATGATGCTGGCCTCATAAAATGAGTTAGTGAGGATTCCTTCTTCTTCTATTGATTGGAATAGTTTCAGAAGGAATGGTACCAGCTCCTCTTTAGAATGGTACCTCTGATAGAATTTGGCTGTGAATCCATCTGGTCCTGGACTTTTTTTGGTTGGTAGACTATTAATTATTGCCTCAATTTCAGAGCCTGTTATTAGTCTATTCAGGGATTCAACTTCTTCCTGGTTTAGTCTCGGGAGGGTGTATGTGTCCAGGAATTTATCCATTTCTTCTACATTTTCCAGTTTATTTGTATAGAGGTGTTTATAGTATTCTCTGACGGTAGTTTGTATTTCTGTGGGATCAGTGGTGATATCCCTTTTACCATTTTTTATTGTGTCTATTTGATTCTTCTCTTTTCTTCTTTATTAATCTTGTTAATGGTCTATCAATTTTATTGATCTTTTCAGACAACCAGCTCCTGGATTCATTGATTTTTTGAAGGGCTTTTTGTGTCTCTATCTCCTTCAGTTCTGCTCTGATCTTAATTATTTCTTGCCTTCTGCTAGCTTTTGAATTTGTTTGCTCTTGCTTCTCTAGTTCTTTTAATTGTGATGTTAGGGTGTCAATTTTAGATCTTTCCTCCTTTCTCTTGTGGGCATTTAGTGCTATAAATTTCCGGCTACACACTGCTTTAAATGTGTCCCATAGATTCTGGTATGTTGTGTCTTTGTTCTCATTGGTTTTAAAGAACATCTTTATTTCTGCCTTCATTTTGTTATGTACCCAGTAGTCATTCAGAAGCAGGTTGTTCAGTTTCCATGTAGTTGAACGGTTTTGAGTGAGTTTCTTAATCCTGAGTTCTAATTTGATTGCACTGTGGTCTGAGAGACAGTTTGTTATAATTTCTGTTCTTTTACATTTGCTGAGGAGTGCTTTACCTACAACTATGTGGTCAGTTTTGGCATAAGTGTGATGTGGTGCTGAGAAGAATGTATATTCTGTTGATTTGGGGTGGAGAGTTCTGTAGATGTCTATTAGGTCCACTTGGTGCAGAGCTGAGTTCAATTCCTGGCTATCCTTATTAACTTTCTATCTCGTTGATCTGTCTAATGTTGACAGTGGGGTGTTGAAGCCTCCCATTATTATTGTGTGGGAGTCTAAGTCTCTTTGTAGGTCTCTAAGAACTTGCTTTATGAATCTGGGTGCTCCTGTATTGGGTGCATATATATTTAAGATAGTTAGCTCTTCTTGCTGAATTGATCCCTTTACCATTATGTAATGGCCTTCTTTGTCTCTTTTGATCTTTGTTGGTTTAAAGTCTGTTTTATCAGAGACTAGGATTGCAACCCCTGCTTTTTTTTTTGTTTTCCATTTGTTGGTAGATCTTCCTCCATCCCTTTATTTTGAGCTTATGTGTGTCTCTGCATGTGAGATGGGTCTCCTGAATACAGCACACTGATGGGTCTCGACTCTTTATCCAATTTGCCAGTCTGTGTCTTTTAATTGGAGCATTTAGCCCATTTATATTTAAGGTTAATATTGTTATGTGTGAATTTGATCCTGTCATCATGATGTTAGTTGGTTATTTTGCTGGTTAGTTGATGCGGTTTCTTCCTAGCATTGATGGTCTTTACAATTTGGCATGTTTTTGCAGTGGCTGGTACCGGTTTTTCCTTTCCATGTTTAGTGCTTCCTTCAGGAGCTCTTGTAAAGCAGGCCTAGTGGTGACAAAATCTCTCAGCATTTGCTTGTCTGTAAAGGATTTTATTTCTCCTTCACTTATGAAGTTTAGTTTGTCTGGATATGAAATTCTGGGTTGAAAATTCTTTTCTTCAAGAATGTTGAATATTGGCCCCCACTCTCTACTGGCTTGTAGAGTTTCCGCCGAGAAATCCACTATTAGTCTGATGGGTTTCCCTTTGTGGGTAACCCGGCCTTTCTCTCTGGCTGCCCTTAACATTTTTTCCTTCATTTCAACTTTGGTGTATCTGACAATTATGTCTTGGAGTTGCTCTTCTCAAGGAGTATCTTTGTGGCATTCTCTGTATTTCCTGAATTTGAATGTTGGCCTGTCTTGCTAGGTTGGGGAAATTCTCCTGGATAATATCCTGAAGAGTGTTTTCCAACTTGATTCCCTTCCCCCTGTCACTTTCAGGTAGACCAATCAGACGTAGATTTGGTCTTTTCACATAGTCCCATATTTCTTGGAGGCTTTGTTTGTTTCTTTTTACTCTTTTTTCTCTAAACTTCTCTTCTCGCTTCATTTCATTCATTTGATCTTCAATCACTGATACCCTTTCTTCCACTTGATCGAATCGGCTACTGAAGCTTGTGCATGCGTTACATAGTTCTTGTGCCATGGTTTTCAGCTCCATCAGGTCATTTAAGGTCTTCTCTACGCTATTTATTCTATTTAGCCGTTTGTCTAATCTTTTTTCAAGGCTTTTAGCTTCTTTGTAATGGGTTCGAACATCCTCCTTTAGCTGGGAGAAGTTTGTTATTACCGATCATCTGAAGCCTTCTCTCAACTCATCAAAGTCATTCTTCTTCCAGCTTTGTTCCGTTGCTGGCGAGGAGCTGTGTTTCTTTGGAGGAGGAGAGGCGGTCTGATTTTTAGAATTTTCAGCTTTTCTGCTCTGGTTTTTCCCGATATTTGTGGTTTTATCTACCTTTGGTCTTTGATGATGGTGACGTACTGATGGGGTTTTGCTGTGGATGTCCTTTCTGTTTGTTAGTTTTCCTTCTAACAGTCAGGACCCTCAGCTGCAGGTCTGTTGGAGTTTGCTGGAGGTCCACTCCAGATCCTGTTTGCCTGGGTGTCACCAGTGGAGGTTGCAGAGCAGCAAATATTGCAGAACGGCAAATGATGCTGCCTGATCTTTCCTCTGGAAGCTTCATCTCAGAGGGGCACCTGGCTGTATGAGGTGTCAGTCAGCCCCTACTGGGAGGTGTCTCCCAGTTAGGCTACTCGGGGGTTAGGGACCCACTTGAGGAGGCAGTCTGTCCATTCTCAGATCTCATACTCCATGCTGGGAGAACCACTACTCTCTTCAAAGCTGTCAGACAGGGACGTCTAAGACTGCAGAAGTTTCTGTTTCCTTCTGTTCAGCTATGCCCTGCCCCCAGAGATGGAGTCTACAGAGGCAGGCAGGCTTCCTTGAGCTACGGTGGGATTCACCCAGTTTGAGCTTCCTGGCCACTTTGTTTACCTACTCAAGCCTCAGCAATGGCGGACATCCCTCCCCCAGACTCGCTGCCGCCTTGCATTTAGATCTCAGACTGCTGTGCCAGCAGTGAGCAAGGCTCCGTGGGCGTAGGACCCTCTGAGCCAGGTACAGGATATAATCTCCTTGTGTGCCATTTGCTAGGACCATTGGAAAAGCACAGTATTAGGGTGGGAGTGTCCCAATTTTCCAGGTACCGTCTGTCACAGCTTCCCTTGGCTAGGAAAGAGAATTCCCCGACCCCTTCCACTTCCCAGGTGAGGTGATGCCCCACCCTGCTTTGGCTCACACTCGGTGGGCTGCACCCACTGTCTGACAAGCCCCAGTGAGATGAACCCGGTACCTCAGTTGGAAATGCAGAAATCACCCGTCTTCTGTGTCACTCACGCTGGGAGCTGTAGACTGGAGCTATTCCTATTTGGCCATCTTGGAACCTCTGAAACGTATTCTTACATCTTGGCACCACACTTGACATACAGGATGTACTCAATATGTTGGTTCATATAATCTTCATAAGAAATTTAAGGGAAACAAAATACAGAGGAAAAAGTAAGAAACCTTCTGTTTGATCACGGAATCTAGCCCAGCATAACTTAACATGCAAGTTAGCCCTCTTTTGGTTTGCTTGTTTATGTGTTTTGCCTCCCACCAGTTGTGCCCAATAGTCCTCAATAGCCTGGGGCTTGCCGAGTCCTTTCTGGTTGGGCCTCTGGGTATACCAGCCCCAAGCTCAAGTCTGACCCAGAAGCAGGTACTTGCCCATTCCCTGCTACAGGACAGGGGCTTCTTAGTCACTAAGCTGACAGCTACCTGGACCATAGGTACTGCCTTTTTGGTTCCTCTAAGCTAGACCCTCTAAACTTGAATGACCTTTTGGAGCCCCTAATTTGTTTGTTTTGTTTTGTTTTTAATAGGTTTTATTTTTAGAGCAATTTTATACTTACAGCAAAATTGATTTAGCAACATCCCTGGTCTCCTAAAAAAAAAAAAAATTGAGCAGAAGCTACAAAGATTTCCCACATACCTCCTTCCTCTACACAAGCACAGCCTCCAACATTATCTATATCCCCCACCAGACTGGTGCATTTGTTTCAACTGATGAACCTGCATTTGCATATTTTTATCACCCAGAGTCCACAGATTACATTAGGGTCCACTCTTGGTGTTGTACGTTCTACAAGTCTGGATGAATGTTAATGACATGTAACCATTGTTATCATATCATACAGAATCATTTCACTGCCCTAAACATCCTGTTAGAACCCCCAGTTTTAAAGAGGATTTTGTGTTTACCTCTCCTCCCCAGACAGGCCTTCACTTCCCATCCCATTTCTCATCCTACTGCTCTCCAGGTGGTGATTATTCATATGCCTCCCTTACTGCAAGTTCAAAACGGACATGAAAGGAGTTCCTCCTCTAAATTCACCTTTTCTTCTTATTTTACACTAAGTTTTTTCAACAGGCAGAAGCCACCAACTCTGCTGGAACCAGGAAAGAGCACTTTGTCTTTCATGAAAGAGTAAGCCTAACTCCCAGGGCCAACTTATCCAGGAGGCACAGTGCCGAGGGCTCAAATTTAAAATTTCTTTTAAAATCAAAGAAAAAAGGAATATGACAATGGATACATAATAATGAATCCAGTCTGGGTTATAGTCATCCTTATGCCAACACAATCACAATATGTATTAGGAGTTTTTTTCTTTTTTTCTTTTCTTTTTTTTTTTTTTTTTTTTTTTTGAGATAGGCTCTTGCTCTGTCACCCAGGCTGAAGTGCAGTGGCTTGATTTCAGCTCACTGCAGCCTTGACTTCCCAAGATCAGATGATTCTCCCATCTTAGTCTCCTGAGTAGCTGGGACCATAGGCGTGCACCAAAAATGCCCAGCTAATTTTTTTTTTTTAATTTATTGTAGAGATGGAGTTTTGCCATGTTGCTCAGGCTGGTCTTGAACTCCTGGGCTCAAGCAGTCCTCCCACCTCAGCCTCCCAAAGTGCTGGGATTACAGGTATGAACCACTGCCTGGCCAAAATATATTGTTAAATATATTTTTATGGAAGAAGGGGTGCATGCATGTAAAAATGTGGCTCTGCCACTCCTGCTGAGTTTGGAGAGGTCATCATAGAAGGCCTGAAGCAAACTCGCCCACCTCCCACCTCTACCTGCCACCCTCACCCCCTACTCTAGCCATTTACTTCCTCTGGCTGGTACAGGGCAAAAGTCACAGTGACTTTGATTTTTAAAAAGGACTTTTTTTTAAACCACCACCAACATTGATTATATATAACTTGTTTATTTCACACATACATCATAAATCTAACCCAGATTTCTTCACACCCCCAGTCCAAACACAAACTATTGACGTCAAAGCAACTGACACTACAGTAGGATTGTACCTGCCTGGGCCAAATTAAGATCCAGCATGAGGTAGCCCTCCGCTGGAGGCAAAGCCTGACTTTTAGGGCACTTGAAAATCACACATAAGTGTGCACTGATTACATTTATTGTAATATATGGCAATGCTTTTCACTGATTATTTAAGATCGATAAAGCTGAATATGTGGCTGACTACCTAGTCAAGAGTTAAATCTCAGCCACACTTGTGAAGCCATAATGCAGACTTCTCCAGCTGCACACTTTGTTAAGAGTCAAGTATTTTCCATTTGATGCAAGATGCAGAAAAAAAATACAAAAAAAGCAGTGTTTTACAGTAAATTTCGGCTATCCTTAGGCTGTGTACTGAGAGATTATTTTGACCAAAAGTGTGAATCAGTTGCAAATTAGACAGATGCAGACCAATCTTGATCCATACTTGCAGCAAATGTAAGCTTTCAGCTTTGTTTTTCAATCAATGCATTTCTAATTTTCATGATGTTCTCCTGTGTGAGACTTGATGACTTGTGAAATACAAACTCTATATTCACAGAGAACATGGTTATCCTCGGGGTTGAACTGAGACAATCTCACTTCCCAATTCCAAAGCCAGAGAGCACAAAAGAGATGAACATAGAAGATAAATTATTTTATCCCATGTTATACTTCCATGGGAAGTATGGGGAGACGGCTTTCTCCCTATGAGAGTTTCACTCCTTATTCTCATGACAAAGAATCAAGCTGAAAAAAATATGCTTAAGCCCTGTGTGGGATGAGGAAGATTGTGCTTTGGCAGAGAGGTAGTGGGAAAACTGAAAATCAAGAAGCAAAATGCTTGTAATCTGTGTATGAAGTGGACTACTTTAGGACACCTTAAATATGGGTAAAGTATGACCCCTTTTGAGGGAGAAAAAAAATTTTGCAGCCTTTAAGGATGCATCTGCAGATGATCGCAGTTTGAGAAACACCCACCCACATTGATTTGCAATGATTTTCTCCACTGCTCACATGCAAGTTTATCTATTAATACTCAGGAGTTTTCATTTCAATACTACGCTTATCACAGTAATTTTAAAAATGCATATTAAATTAAACAGTTTTGTACTCAGAAAACCACATCCTTTGGCTGGTCCTGGCAATTTGAATCTTTCTATGAACGCTTTTTTCCAGCTTTTACCCTTGTATCTTCGTAGGTGTTAAATTATTAAGTAGCGTTAATGCAGTAAGGTGCTGGGTATACAATAGGAGTCTTAAAAATAGTGGTTGCATTACGAAACTGGTTTTAGCATTTAAATTATTGCTCTTCGGATTGCAATGCCAGGCTTTTGAAAGAGGCCCAGTGCTGAATTTTAATTAACTCAGCCTTCTTCTCAGCAGCCTTCATCTCAAGCACCCAAAGGCAAACTTGGCAGTGGTGTTAATTTAATCACATCCAAAGTGGAGCGAGGGATTTAAGTAACTCACGGGGGACTCTTCAAGGTGTGAAACCTCTCGGACTCTGTGAAGGCAAAAAGATTAAGTCAGACTTGAAACTTTACTTACACCTTGGCAGGTGGGGAGGAGACAGAATCAGAGAATAAGCTCCTGAGTGTTGTAGTTCAGCAAAGCGTTCTACTCTTCCTTACCTCTGCATATTCCTCTTCTCTAAAACACCTCCTCCTCTTTTGCCTCACTTGTGTTCAGCTCACTATTTATCTCACTCTACTTGTTAGCCTAGGCCTCATTTCCTCTGAGAGGTTAGCACTTCATCAGCCAAGATATTGGGTAGGTGCCCCTTGGATGTCATGGTGTAGCACTTATTAGGTAACCGAAACATTCACTGTTGTAGGCCCACAGCCTGGCACAGAAGAAGCACTCAAAACCCTAATGTGTCTTCAGTGCCTCTGCATGCAAGCTGTAGGTCATGGCATATAATCATCGCAAAGTTCTATTAGGTAGGTGTTGTTTGTACCCAATTTTACAAACAGGCTTAGAAAAGTTATTGACTGCTTAGAGTCA
The DNA here is from genome assembly GCF_000001405.40 of Homo sapiens. Taxonomy (NCBI): domain Eukaryota; kingdom Metazoa; phylum Chordata; class Mammalia; order Primates; family Hominidae; genus Homo; species Homo sapiens. Next base: position 38,576,802 of record NC_000015.10, on the reverse strand, counting down.
CATTACTAAGAAGCATTAGGGCTGAGAGTTCAACTCAATCTAACTCCAAAGGTCACACATTTAACCACCATGCCATTCTGCCACCCAAACATTTGCAAAAAAAAAGATATTGTTTGATGAAGTTGAACAAAGTAGATTCACCAGCAAATTACCTTTGCTCCTGCAACTTACCTTTGCTGGCCTCACTCTCTGTTTTTGTAAACCTATTCAGGCCATAATCAGAAAGCAATAAGTTCTATGCCAGAATGAGTCAAAATAGCATTTATTTATTGAATAGGTACATGCAAATAATACAAAATAAAAGTTTCAAAAGGAGGGACAATGAAAAGTAAGAGTCCCCTGACTCAGAGCCACTGAGTTCCCTTTTCCAGAAGTAATCATCAAGATCTGTTGTTATCATGGGAGATAGACAGAGATCTGTATTTTGTAAACTGTGATCCCAACCCAGTAATGGATGGATTTAGTGGGTTCTGACCAGCGTATTTTTTAAAGTCATAATAGAAAAAGAAACAAATGTGAAGGATGAGAATGAAGCACATGTAGTAAGGGTAAATGTTGTTCGTGTATCTTGTGTTTCAGTTTTACACGTAGCATAAATGTACACCTGATGGTAACAGAGTATAAAATGGCTCCCTTACTGTGAAGCAATGTTTGAAGTAGTTTGAAAGCCACAGACCTGCCAGACCCTTACAGCTTAACATTATGGAGGTCACCTGTACCAAGAACCTTCCATCCCTGCTGCTCATTAGCCTGAGTGACCCCATTAAAACAGAAGTCAGATTCCATCCCTCCTCTGCGCAAACCCTTTCAAGAACTCTCCTCTTACCAGGAGTAAAAGCCATGAGACAACATGTATTTCAATTTGTTTGTTGTGTTAGCATCCTTAAAAAAACACCAACATGAAATTTGATCATATTTAGAGAGACTATTTAGGCCAATCTGACTGAAAATGTGGGTTTTGTGATCCATATAAAAGACTTTGGGGGGCTCTGGAAAGGGCCTTTGAAGAGACAGGCAGCACCCTTCACAGCAGCTGAAAACAAAATGGATTATTATATTTAGGGCCTAATTTGTGATGATGTGGTTTAAAATACAATTTGCATGACATTTATAAAATTTCCTTTGAAGAATCCTGGGGGTGCCTCAGGGAGACGGAGCACTCTCCAGAGCAGCAGACCTGTGGGACAGACAGAACCCCAGAGGGATGCACTGCCCATTCCAGAATATGCCCAGGACCAAGCACGAAGCAGAAGTCTAACCACCAGCCCCGTCCAAAAGGGCACAGGGGCACAAGGAGCCACTTCTCATGTGGGCAGTTCCTCACAGGCTTGGACTAAGGTGAGCAGCAGTGGGGATTTATCATATTTAATCTACTGCTGAATGGGACAGCCAAAAACATTGAGGCCAACTCTCCCCATCAGAAGCAGGAGCAGCACTCATCAGGACAGTAGAGGATGGTACCATATCCCCTCCCTCCTTTTCCCTCTCCCTGTCTCTTCACTCTCTGGAGCTGTGTGCTCCTTATCGCAGTGGTTTTGTCCTCACAGGTCCATGTGGAGGCTTCAACTAGGGCATCTCATGGTGGCCCCAAGAGATTAGGGGTAGCAGCTCCTGGAAATCAGGGTGTGAAACCATGGCATATTTATTTATTTGTTGACTTGGCTACTGTCCTCTAGACATGTGAGCTCATGTGAACAAGGATCCTGCCTGTATGGTTCTCTACCAGATTCTCAAGGCATCCAGGAAATATATCTTAAATGGATGAATCAGTGCTAGGCAATGGACCGGAGACCACGGTAGTCAATAGGTTCTCCAAGCACAACCAATCATGAAGCAGATGCAGATAGGTGGGTGTGCACCCCTCTGCACCTGGAGGCAGCCCTGCATATGCCTTCTAGGGTGAGCCACTGGTTCCGATGTGTGTGGTGTAGCTCCCTTTGTGTGTGCTTACCTGGTGAAAATAGATGGGCAGCAGAAGGAAGCACACAAGCAAAAGTACTGGGGCTACAAAGGGTGCAGTGAACATCAATTTCTATAAGTGACCAAGGTGCACTCTAAGAGGTCAGGTGCTTGGGAGGGCATGGCTGGAGAGGTAAGATCCAGTCATGCAGGTACATGATGTTAAAAAGTTTGCACTTTATTCTGTAGGCAATTGGAGACTCCTAGGCAGTTTAGAAGCAAAAGAATTATGTGACCATGTACATGAAAGAAGCAACATGAAAGAAGAATCAGAGAAAAGGAGGTTATGTAATTAGGGACGCCAGTTACAAAGCTATTACACATGTCCAGGTAAGAGATGATGGGGGCTTAGACCAGCATGTGGCTTTAAAGATGGAGAGGAAGCCCTTGGGAACAATGAAAGGAGGTGGTGGTTGAAAATGTGGGTCTAAATGCTAGGTGACAAAGGTGGATATTCGGACAGAAGAGTCATATAGGTCCTGCTGAGGCCATGGGAGAAAATTAAAACACCTACTTTGAGTAACGGATCATTTAGAAAATCTGAAGAAAGCTAACAACCCTTCCCCCAGAAAAAACATACACAAAAATTTAGATATAGTTTCAGAAGCTTCACATATAGTATAGTCCCTTCTCCCCAGTTAATCTCCTCATGGACATTAATTAAGAGTCCATGATTGAGAGAAGGAAGAATAACAAAGAAAGCATCCAGAGGAAGGGCCTCACCCAAGGGGTGAGAAGAGGAAGACTCCCCAACCAGACACCTAGGAAAAATAGAAGAGAGGGTAAATGAGGGTACAAGATAACACACTTGGGTGGCTGGCAAGATGGCCAAATAGGAACAGCTCTGGTCTGCAGCTCCCAGCGAGATCAACACAGAAGGCACATGATTTCCGCATTTCCAACTGAGGAAACTGGCTCATCTCATTGGGACTGGTTAGACAGTGGGTGCAGCCCACGGAGGGCGAGCCAAAGCAGGGTGGGGCATCACCTCACCAGGGAAGTGCAAGGGGCCAGGGAACGCCCTCCCTAGCCAAGGGAAGCTGTGAGGGATTGTGCCATGAGGAATGGTACACTCTGGCCCAGATACTACACTTTTCCCACAGTCTTTGCAACTCGCAGACCAGGAGATTCCCTCAGGTGCCTATGCCACCAGGGCCCTGGGTTTCAAGCACAAAACTGGGCAGCCATTTGGGCAGACACTGAGCTAGCTGCAGGAGTTTTTTTTTTCATACCCCAGTGGCACATGGAATGCCAGTGAGACAGAACCATTCACTCCCCTGGAAAGGCGTCTAAAGCCAGGGAGCCAAGTGGTCTAGCTCAGCGTATCCCACCCCCACAGAGCCCAGCAAGCTAAGATCCACTGGCTTGAAATTCTCGCTGCCAGCCCAGCAGTCTGAAGTCAACCTGGCACACTCAAGCTTGGTGCGGGGAGGAGCATCTGCCATCACTGAGACTTGAGTAGGCCGTTTTCCCCTCACAGTGTAAATGAAGCCGCTAGGAAGTTCGAACTGGGCAGAACCCACTGCAGCTCCACAAAGCCTCTGTAGCCAGACTGCCTCTCTAGATTCCTCCTCTCTGGGCAGGGCATCTCTGAAAGAAAGGCAGCAGCCCCAGTCAGGGGCTTATAGATAAAACTCCCATCTCCCTGGAACAGAGCACCTGGGGGAAGGGGTGGCTGTGGGCCTCCTCCTGGCTCTGAAGAGAGCAGTGGATCTCTAGCACAGTGTTTGAGCTCTGCTAAGGGACAGACTGCCTCCTCAAGTGGGTCCCTGACCCCTATGCCTCTTGACTGGGCGACACCTTCCCGCAGGGGTCGACAAACACCTCATACAGAAGAGCTATGGCTGGCATCTGGCAGGTGCCCCTCTGGGACAAAGCTTCCAGAGAAAGGAACAGCCAGCAATCTTTGTTGTTCTGCAGCCTCTGCTGGTGATACGCAGGCAAACAGGGTCTGGAGCGGACCTCTAGCAAACTCCAGCAGACCTGCAGCAGAGGGGCCTGACTGTTGGAAGGAAAACTAACAAAGAGAAAGGAATAACATCAACATGAACAAAAAGGATGTCCACACCAAAACCCCATCCAACAGTCACCAGCATCAAAGACCAAAGGTAGATAAATCCATGAAGATTAGGCAAACCAGCACAAAAAGGCTGAAAATTCCAAAAACCAGAATGCCTCTTCTCCTCCAAAAGATCACAACTCCTCACCAGCAAGGGAACAAAACTGGATAGAGAATGAGTTTGACGAATTGACAGAAGTAGGTTTCAGAAGGTGGGAAATAACAAACTACTCCAAGATAAAGGGGCATGTTCTAACCCAATGCAAGGAAGCTAAGAACCTTGAAAAAAGGTTAGATGAATTGCTAACTAGAATAAACAGTGTAGAGAAGAATGTAAATGACCTGATGGAGCTGAAAAACACAACACGAGAACTTCGCGAAGCATACACAAGTATCAATAGCTGAATCAATCAAGTGGAAGAAAGGATATCAGAGACTGAAGATCAACTTAATGAAATAAAGCATGAAGACAAGATTAGAGAAAAAAGAATGAAAAGGAATGAACAAAGCCTCCAAGAAATATGGGACTATGTGAAAAGACCAAACCTACATTTGATTGGTGTACCTGAAAGTGACGGGGAGAATGGAACCAACTTGGAAAACACTCTTCAGGATATTATCCAGGAGAACTTCCCCAACCTAGCAAGACAGGCCAACATTCACATTCAGGAAATATAGAAAATGCCACAAAGATACTCCCTGAGAAGAGCAACCCCAAGACACATAATCATCAGATTCACCAAGGTTGAAATGAAGGAAAAAATGTTAAGGGCAGCCAGAGAGAAAGGTCGGGTTACCCTCAAAGGGAAGCCCATCAGACTAACAGTGGATCTCTCTGCAGAAACTCTACAAGCCAGAAGAGAGTGGGGGCCAATATTCAACATTCTTAAAGAAAAGAATTTTCAACGCAGAATCTCATATCCACACAAACTAAGCTTCATAAGTGAAGGAGAAATAAAATCCTTTACAGACAAGCAAATGCTGAGAGATTTTGTCACCACCAGGCCTGACTTACAAGAGCTCCTGGAAAGGAAAAACCAGTACCAGCCACTGCAAAAATATACCAAATTGTAAAGACCATCGACACTATGAAGAAACTGCATAAACTAATGGGCAAAATAACCAGCTAGCATCATAATGGCAGGATCAAATTCACAATAACAATATTAACCTTACATGTAAACGGGCTAAATGCCCCAATTAAAAGATACACACTGGCAAACTGGATAAAGAGTCAAGACTCATTGGTGTGCTGTATTCAGGAGACCCATCTCACATGCAAAGACACACATAGACTCAAAATAAAGGGATGGAGGAATATTTACAAAGCAAATGGAAAGCATAAAAAAGCAGGGCTTGCAATCCTAGTCTCTGATAAAACAGACTTGCAACCAACAAAGATCAAAAAAGACAAAGAAAGACATTACATAATGGTAAAGGGATCAATGCAACAAGAAGATCTAAATCGTAAATACATATGCACCAAATACAGGAGCACCCAGATTCATAAAGCAAGTTCTTAGAGACCTACAAAGAGACTTAGATTCCCACACAATAATACTGGGAGACTTTAACACCCCACTGTCAATATTAGACCGATCAACGAGACAGAAAATGAACAAGGGTATTCAGGACTTGAACTCAGCTCTGGACCAAGCAGACCTAATAGACATCTACAGAACTCTCCACCCCAAATCAACAGAATATACATTCTTCTCAGCACCACATCACACTTATTCTAAAATTGACCACATAATTAGAAGTAAAACACTCCTCACCAAATGCAAAATAATGGAAATCATAACAAACGGTCTCTTGGACCACAGTGCAATCAAATTAGAACTCAGGATTAAGAAAGTCACTCAAAACCGCACAACTACATGGAAACTGAACAACTTGCTCCTGAATGACTACTGGGTAAATAAAAAAATGAAGGCAGAAATAAATAAGTTCTTCGAAACCAATAAGAACAAAGACATAACATACCAGAATGTCTGGGACACAGCTAAAGCAATGTTAAGAGGAAAATTTATAGCACTAAATGCCCACATCAGAAAGGAGGAAAGATCTAATATTGACACCATAACATCACAATTAAAAGAACTAGAAAAGCAAGAGTAAACAAATTAAAAAGCTAGCTGAAGACAAGTCACAACAAAGATCAGAGGAGAACTGAAGGAGATACAGACACACACAAAAAAAACCTTCAAAAAATCAATGAATCCAGGAGGTAGTTTTTTGAAAAGATTAACAAAATAGATAGCCCACTAGCCAGACTAATAAAGAAGAAAAAGAGAAGAATCAAACAGACACAATAAAAATGATAAAGGGGATATCACCACTGATACCACAGAAATACAAACTACCATCAGAGAATACTATAAATACTTCTATGCAAACAAACTAGAAGAAATGGATAAATTCCTGGACACATACACCCTCCCAAGACTAAACCAGGAAGAAGTCAAATCCCTGAATAGACCAATAACAAGTTCTGAAATTGAGGCAGTAATTAATAAGCTACCAATCAAAACAAAAGCCCAGGACCAGTTGGATTCACAGCCAAATTCTACCAGAGGTACAAAGAGGAGCTGGTACCATTCCTTCTGAAACTATTTCAAACAATAGAAAAAGAGGGAATCCTCCCTATCTCATTTTATAAGGCCAGTGTCATCCTGATACCAAAGCCTGGCAGAGACACAACAAAAAAAGAAAATTTCAGGCCAATATCCCTGATGAACATCGATATGAAAATCCTCAATAAAATACTGGCAAACTGAATCCAGCAGCACATCAAAAAGCTTATCCACCATGATCAAGTCAGCTTCATCCTAGGGATGCAAGGCTGGTTCAACATATGCAAGTCAATAAATGTAATCCATCACATAAACAGAACCAATGACAAAAACCACACGATTATCTCAACAGATGCAGAAAAGGCCTTCAATAAAATTGAACACCCCTTCATGCTAAAAACTCTCAATAAACTAGGTATTGATGGAATGTATCTCAAAATAATAAGAGCAATTTATGACAAACCCACAGCCAATATCATACTGAATGGGCAAAAGCTGGAAGCATTCCCTTTGAAAATCAGCACAAGACAAGGAGGCCCTCTCTCACCACTCCTATTCAACATAGTATTGGAAGCTCTGGCCAGGGCAATCATGCAAGAGAAAGAAATAAAGCGTATTCAAATAGGAAGAGAGGAAGTTGAATTGTCTCTGTTTGCAGATGACATAATTGTATATTTAGAAAACCCCATCATCTCAGTCCAAAATCTCCTTAAGCTAATAAGCAACTTCAGCAAAGTCTCAGCATACAAAATCAATGTTCTAAAATCACAAGCATTCCTATACACAAATAATAGACAGAGAGCCAAATCATGAGTAAACTCCCATTCACAATTGCTACTAAGAGAATAAAATACCTAGGAATACAACTTACAAGGGATATGAAGGACCTCTTCAAGGAGAACTACAAACCACTGCTCAAGGAAATAAGACAGGACACAAACAAATGGAAAAACATTCCATGCTCATGGATAGGAAGAATCAATATTGTGAAAATGGCCATACTGCCCAAAGTAATTTATAGATTCAATGCTATCCCCATCAAGCTAACATTGACTTTCTTCACAGAATTAGAAAAACCTGCTATAAATTTCATATGGAAGCAAAAAAGAGCCTTTATAGCCAAGACAATCCTAAGCCAAAAGAACAAAGCTGGAGGCATCACACTACCTGACTTCAAACTATACTACAAGGCTACAGTAAAAAAAAAACAGCATGGTACCAGTACCAAAACAGAGATATAGACCAATGGAACAGAACAGAGCCCTCAGAAATAATGCTACACATCTACAACCATCTGATCTTTGAGAAACCTGAGAAAAACAAACAATGGGGAAAGGACTCCCTATTTAATAAATGGTGTTGGGAAAACTGGCTAGCCATATGAAGAAAACTGAAACTGGACCCCTTTCTTATACCTTGTACAAAAATCAACTCGAGATGGATTAAAGGCTTAAACATAAGACCTAAAATCATAAACACCCTAGAGGAAAACCTAGGCAATAGCATTCAGGACATAGACATGGGCAAAGACTTCATGACTAAAACACCAAAAGCAATGGCAACAAAAGCCAAAATTGACAAATGGGATCTAACTAAACTAAAGAGCTTCTGCACAGCAAAAGAAAATATCATCAGAGTGAACAGGCAACCTACAGAATGGGAGAAAATGTTTGCAATCTACCCATCTGACAAAGGGCTAATATCCAGAATCTACAAAGAACTTAAACAAATTTACAAGAAAAAACAAACAACCCCATCAAAAAGTGGGCGAAGGATATGAACAGACACTTCTCAAAAGACATTTATGTGGCCAACAAACATATGAAAAAAAGCTCATCATCACTAGTCATTAGAGAAATGCAAATCAAAACTACAATGAGATACCATCTCATGCCAGTTAGAATGGCAATCATTAAAAAGTCAGGAAACAACAGATGCTGGAGAGAATGTGGAGAAATGGGAACACTTTTACACTGTTGGTGGGAGGGTAAATTAGTTCAACCATTGTGGAAGACAGTGTGGCAACTCCTCAAGGATCTAGAACCAGAAATACCATTTGGCGCAGCAATCCCATTACTGGGTATATACCCAACGGATTATAAATCATTCTACTATAAAGACACATGCACATGTATGTTTACTGCAGCACTGTTCACAATAGTAAAGACTTGGAACCAACCCGAATGCCCATCAATGATAGACTGGATAAAGAAAACGTGGCACATATACACCACGGAATACTATGCAGCCATAAAAAAGGATGAGTTCATGTCCTTTGCAGGGATATGGATGAAGCTGGAAACCATCATTCTCAGCCAACTAACACAGGAATGGAAAACCAAACACCGCATGTTCTCACTCATAAGTGGGAGTTGAACGATGAGAACACATGGATACAGGGAGGGGAACATCACACACTGGGGCCTGTCTGGGGGTGGGAGCTAGGGGAGGGATAGCATTAGGAGAAATACCTAATGTAGATGACGGGTTGATGGGTGCAGCAAACCACCGTGGCACTTGTATACCTATATTACAAACCTGCACGTTCTGCACATGTATCCCAGAACTTAAAGTATAATGATTTTTTTAAAAGCACGAATATTATCCTCATTAGCTACCTTATAAGAATGTTATATTAAATGATGTATTTTGTGAAAAAAAAAAAAAGTTTGTTCTTGAGGTCAGAGGTGCCTCATATAACACCAGGCAGACTAATCACATGGCCGATGATTAAAAGAGACATAGACAAACTTCTCATTTTTTAGATGTTTGGAAAAGACTTATTGCTCAGGTAGGAGTAGCCAGAAAACCTCAAAAAAGAGCTCGAGGGGGCCCAGAAGCAGAATCAGATGCAAGTGAAGTGCAGAGTACTCAGAAAGTCCAAGAGAAAAACACTCGCTGGGCATATGTAGGCCTCTTTCTTTAGAAAACTCAGCAAGACTCATGTATTGAATGAATTAATAACCTTGGTTTCAACCATTTGTATATATGTGGACTGTAGGTGTGCAGATGTGTGTAACTGCCTACATGTGCACTTAGTATTATGCATATATGTATATTTACATATAAATATAATGATGCATTTACATAAAGGCATCCATTTGGCATACATACCTATGCATATGCAGTATAAGGCTGGATTATTCCCCTGCCACACACAAAGATTTTGCTGTCCAAAGACTCAGTGCAATGAATGGCATGGAAGGGGCTCTATTTTCAAGGGTGAAGCAATAGAGAAATACCGAAGGCCTCGGATAACCTGTGATGGGGATCCCACGAAAGCCACCGGGGACAGTGCCAGTAAGCTTATCACTCCTGCCATAGACAGCGGACTTCAAAGAAAAACTGAAACCCTTTCTCCGGAAATAATCAGGAAGGATCTTATTTTCTTCTTTGAGGTCAGCACATTTTGCTTTTCAAAATCAAATCCACAGCAGTTCATTAGTAATGTCCCACAGGTACTGCCTCAAGTTGGCAGCTGTGGAAGCTAAAGAAGCATAAGACCTGATTCTTGACCTCGGACAATTTACAGTTTAGCTGTGGAGGTAAGACAGGGACACAGAATATTATGTGGCAATTGAAAGTGTAAATATTATAGATTTAAGTAGGGTAAAGAGCTCATTCTGTAGTAGAGGGGTCAGTGAAAAGTAATTGTTCACCTGGTAATAAGAGAAGATCTCTGTGAACAAAGTCTAAGACTGCAAACTTAGGACTGTTGGGAGATAGTCAGATAGATTCATATATAGATACAAATCTTTACCATCCTCAGACATCCGCCAACTTGGTTGTTTAGGTTGTAGGGCTTACATGAGGAAGGGTGTATAATAGATAACTCTAAAAATGTTTGAGCCTTAGACCCAGTGAGTGAGAAAGAGTGTCATCATTTAATATTCTCCTGACATTCACCTGCCCCTTCTGCATCTGTGGCTGTGACTGAGGACTTGGTTCTTTATATCACCCAGTGTTCATGAGGATTCTCTGGAGAAATTTCTTGCTGGTCTCAGTATCAAGAAAGGGGGATCTTCTCTTGAGCAATTTTGTTTTTGGTCTTGCATGTGATAGGAATTGAACTTTAGACAAGGCCTCTCTTTAAACTTGACTGCTAGAAATGCAGGAGACAAATTTTGGTCCCACCTGTAGCAAGGGTATTTGACTCTATGAGATGCATTTATTTCAAATGATGTTCATTTTTGGCTCCATCTTGTGTGCCTCATTTTTCATTTCACACACTTCTTTTTGTAGGTTATGTGCTCTTGTAAGCTATCTCGAATTCTGTTTTAAGGACAAGGTAGCATATAAATATAAGGAAATATATAAATGAAACAGAGGAAGGCTTTAAAGTCCAGAACACTATGGCCAGGAAGACAACTATGACTGTGGCTAGAGTTATGGTCTGTGGCCGTGATAATGAGTGTGTTATTAGGGCAGTCCAGCAGTGATTACAGGGAGTCAGACAGACCTCAGTCCAAGTCAGAGGTCTCTCTGCTGTTTATTAGTTGTATGATCTAAGGCATAGCATTCTCTAAACCTTCATTTTCTCATCTTTACAACAGTGATCTCTTTGTATCAGGGAGAGTGGATTAAATGAGGTAATGTATAGAAAGCACTTAGCACAACCGCACTCAATCATTAGCTATTGAGATTATCAGCACTATCACCTGGACAAGCAGCGGATGGGCCGCCCCTCTTGGCCAGGTCTTCTGTGCGCACTGACGTTGTATGAAAGTTGTCCCCACATCTCCTACACCCACCGACGCCAGGCGGCCGCGTCTGGGCCAGATATGGATCACGCCTGTGGAGCGCACCTCCACACAGGCAGCCCTCGTCCAAGGTGCAGGGCGCAGGGCACAGGGCACATGTCTACGGCCCAGTCCTGCAGACGGCTACCTAGAGACCCCAGGGCACAGGTTAAGGCAACTTCACAACTGTCTTTCCGTTCCTTTCCCCTGCCGGACTCCGCGCTCTGATATATACAGGAGAGGCCCTGGAGGGGAGAAGGCGTCCTCACTGCAGTGCTCCGAGCAGCGGCCGCAGGAAGAGGCGTGGAAGCTGCGGGTCGGCTGCGGGAAAGGGGGTCCCATGGGAGCCGCTAGGCGCAGCCCGTTTCCCGAGCTGAGGTGGAGGTCGACGGGCACAGGTGCCCTGCAAGGCGCGGGCGTGGTAGCCGGGAGCCCGCTCCTCTCCAACTCCCCTGAGACTTAACCCTTTGGCCAAGAGAGGTCGAAGGCGGGCAGGGGTGAGAGAACCGCGCGAGGCGCAGGCCGGGGCACCCGCGGAAAGGGGGCAGGTTTCGGGGAAGAGCGGCGGGGCGCCGCACGTTTCCTGCAGCCGCCAGCATCAGCGTGTCAGGTGGTTGCCAGGCGGGTGTGAGCGCGCGCGCGAGGCAGAGGGGGCGCGCTCGCACAAAGTTTGTGCCTGCGGTGCACCTCGGTCGGGCTCGCCGGGCTCGAGGGCTGGCGGGCGCCGGGGCTACGAGGCCCGGGGGGGAGAGAGCCGGCAGGCGGCGGCGGTGGTGGCGGGGGCGATGCGCCGCGCCCGGCCGCGCTAGGTGAGCCGGCACCGGGAGCGCGGGCCGCGGCCATGGGCACCCTGGGCAAGGCGAGAGAGGCTCCGCGGTGAGTAGAGGCGGCCGTGGCCCTCGGGAGCGCCTGTGTCCTTTCTTGGGAAAGAGGCCCCTGCCCGTCGCCCCAACACCCCGAGGGAAGTTGAGGGCGGAGGGGGGCCGGGGTCGGCCGGAGTCCCGGGACACCAGCGCGACGGGCGGACGTGTCCAGAACGCCCGGCGCGCTGCGCCCGGGGTTTCGGGGAGGGAGCTGGGGCTGAGGGGTGGTAGAGGGGCGGCCGCGAGGCCAGAGCTCGTCCGGTGAGATCTGCTAGGGCCGAAGCTCTTCGCGGAGCCGGCGCCCGCCCGCCGACTTCCTCCCCCACATCTCCACGCCCGGCATCGGGACTCCCACTCGCGGACTTTCCGCGCTGCCCGCACCTGCTGGGGCGCTGGGCTCCGGCTGCGCCACCTGGTGGCCCCTCCCGGCCCTGCCCAGAACGGCCGAGGAGCTTGCAGGGAGCCCGCAGAGGTGGCACCCCTCGGTTGCCCCTGCCCCACGGAAGTTTCCAGATCCGTGGGTCAGGGAAACATATCGCCTTCCGTATGGGAAGCTGCACTCCTCTCCCCCTCACTATGATTCTATAGAGGGTCTTGGATAACAGAAGTTGAAGAAAGAGGGACAGTGAGTGAAAGGGCTCTTGGCCAGGCAGCTTTGAGTTTGTAGCCAAAGGACCAGAACTAGGCAACTGCATGAACAAAGGCCTGGCCTCGGCGTAGGGGCTGGACAAGTTGTGCACTTCACAACTCCATTCACATCGACACTGATGGGACTGTGCCTTGCACCACCATACCCAGTAGCGGCAGGAAGCTTGCGATGCTGGACTTCCCGTGCTTATAATCCCAGGAACGAAGGATTCTTGGCCCTGTATGCACGCCCTGCCTCTCCCCATCCAGGTATCCCCTGAGGGTCCACCACTGTACTTTGCACTAGATTCAGAAGGAGGAGTTCAGTACATTAAATTGAGTATTGTAAGGGGAAGAGGACGGGACTGGAAGGAATCCATACTAGAAGTCAAGAGAGTCACCTTCCACTGCAAAGAAAGTTGTGGAAGTTCCAGTTCCCTTGCTCCATTTCATCTCTTACTTTTCTAGGCGGATTTCATAAAAAGCTCAGCCTGAAACTGACCTCCACTGAGATACCTATGCCTGGAGAGGATTTCACCTAAACCAGTTTAGAGTTTTGACGGTCTCCTTCAGCAAACCTATGGGGCTTTGGTTACTTTTAGGCTTGGAAAACACCTTCAAGTTAATTTGTTTCTCTCGGGGTTTTGGTTTTTTCATTTACAGGAAAACATTTGGCTACTGTATTTTTTTAAAAAATATGCCTTTACAGACTCAGAGGCCATTCATTCTATGGATTGTTAAAACACCTTCGACCTGCCTATAATAGAGCATTTTATAAATCCTTGTCTACTCCCATTTCACCAGAAAAGGCAGAACGATTTGAGGATTTTTCACAAGGCAACCAGTTAAGAGACTGTACAGCAAGAAAGCCAGGTTTCCTAGTCTATGGTGCAGATAATCCCCATCTTCTTAGAACTCTGAGGCTGCACTTTGGCTTTTAGTACTTTCTCTTCTCCCTGTTCTCTCATGGCCTAGTCCTCTGAGTCTCTCTGGGCTCCATACTTCCCAGATTGCTTTTGTCACCCTTTCTTCCCTTTTACTACCCTATACTTTACCCTGATCCCTTCTAGTTCTGGTAAAAGCATCAACCTTCAAGAATCCACTTATGAAACAAAGCGGTTTCTCTTACTGGTGACACTAGGAAACTTTACCAGAATTAGAAAACAGGGCAGGATTAGGAGTCTTGAATGGTCAGTGTCACCAACCAAGAAAGAAAATGGAATTTTCCTTGGATCTGTAGCCACCTCCCCTCCACCCCTAGCAGGAAGAGCTCTGTCAGTAGATAGAGCCTCTAGTTGCAGTTGCCTCTTCTCCAAGGTCTAGGGAGAAGTATTGTGGAAGGCCTGAGAGAAGGAGACTTCTACAATGAATGACTTTATTTTTTTAAAACCTTTCCCCTACTCTGCCTTTGGTGGAGGTCTTAATGGTGACAAAGGCAGCAGCTGGGGCAGAAAGCTGAGTAATCCCAGCAGTGGCTATGTAGCCCCAGGTGTAGAGAGTTGTTAGTGCTTCCAGGAAGGGAAGGGCGCCCACCTGGGGCGCACTGCATGGGCCACAAGGGGCTGGCTTCTAGCCTGTCTCTGCAGTGGTGGCCAGGCACGTTGCTCTTCTGATTCTGGACCTCCACACTGTAGAAGGGGGCTTTGGAAAATGACCATAAAGAGTCTGTCCAGCTCTAGGGACCTGAGGACAGTTCTGAGGGCCTGCAAGAGGAATATGGGCTGAGATTCAGCCTTTACATTACCAGTTATGCTTTTGAAGGATTTTGCTTTCATTTTAAATTGAATTGACCTTTTCAGCCTCTCTGTGATTGTCTACTACTAATCCTGATGTTGTGAAATGTGCAGAGTTCCAGGCACAGTCAATATTTATTAAATGAATAAAGCCAGAGAGGTGCTGGGTACAAATCTCAGGTTGATTATATATGAGTTTTATAACCTTGGCTATGTCATTTACCCTTTTTTAGATTCAGTTTCAGTGTCATGAGATGGGGATAACATCCTTCTGGGCTGTAAGCCTCAAGACAGGGTCAGTCCCCAGCACGGTACCTGCCATAGCATAGGTACTCAATTCATGTCACCATTATTATTTTGCTTTTAGAGACTGATCCAATTCTGGGGCTATCACAGGGCCTGTTTGAAAATCAATTATGGCCAGAAACTTGAGTCCTGTACCACCGACTTGATCTTTCAGGAATTACTGCCTAGGGTTAGCAGATGCCCAATAACCAATTGTTGATTCAGTTTCACTGGACCTGCATCAGGTCAGAATAGAGCCGAGCGGCCACTGCAGACCAGCGCCCTGGAGCTAGTTTGAAACAACCTGAAGGGCCAGGGTGCCCCTGCACAGGTCTAGCTGTGTACTGAGTGGCCCCATAGTTCAGTTATACACCATCTCTTAGCAGGCTGGTTTCCCAAAACCCACATGTGCCTAGCATTTTATTTTGATCTAAGCACTTCTTCAGCCCCTTTGGTTGAGATTATATCCTGTCAGAGCAGCTTTCCCAGACACTGTCCCACAAACTGCCTCTTTCTTCTCTGGGAACATCATGCTTATTACTCTTGACACTCATAGAACACTTATTTAACATTTATGTAGCTTTCTTTTCATTATCTCAGTCTGATTCCTCAGCTATATTTTTGTATTAAGGAACTTCTAGACTGCCATTATGTAACAACAGCAGCTAGTATGTAATGAGTATATAAAGTACCCTCACCTAGACTATCTCGCTGTGGTCTTCTCTGGCCAATCACAATGCCTTACTCATAGAATAAACACTTAGAGATTAATTGATGCCATTATGCATTTATCATATATAGTGAGTAAAGTTACACTTCAGAGGTACGTTTTTTTCCTTTTTCTCTTTGCTGCTTTGGTAGTAAACTACAAAATAACCAAAGCCACAGTAGAGAGAGGAGAATTAACTAAATGCTCAAGAGAGTTACCAGCAACACTCATCACTATTAAACCATAAAAGATTATAGATATGGATCTGTGTGTGTATGTGTATTTTTTAATGGAGAAGACAATCAACTTCCCAAATCATTTCGCAAAATGACTTGTACTGATGAGGTCATGACCAGAGATAGAGCTGCGTGTGAGTAGATGAAAGTCCATTGGACTCTTAAGCCATTTCTAGATCCAAACTTGCCCTTTTACACTGAGTGCTGGAACAACGCTCTCACAGCTCTGCTTTCTGTTTCAATCAGGACCCAAGTAAGGATTTGAAAAAACGATGTTTAGTAACAAAAATGACTCATAATGGTTACCTGTATTATCAACCATGAAAAACAATATCTTAAAACCAACCAAGATTTGTAAGAAAGGCAGGACTCGCTTAAAATCTAAACACCACCATCATCACCCCTCACTTCCTGCACTTGAGTCCTCAGTCTTTGACTTCTCCCCCAAGGTCCTTAACGATGATTCTGAGGCTGCCTGACCTTGTGTAGTATCTCAGGTATTGCTCAAGATTAATGAAGTTAGCCAAAGATGATCTCGAACTCCCGACCTCAGGTGATACACCCGCCTTGGCCTCCCAAGGTGCTGGGATTACAGACGTGAGCCACCATGCCCTGCCAAAGTTAGCCAAAGAAACCAATGTAAATAATTTTTAAGATTCAAGTCAGTGGCTTAGTAGCTGAAAAAATGTATACATTGCTGGGAGCTAAGGACTGCCAAGATAGTCTTGCCTCTGCCATTCCCCTTCAGGAAGTGGGAGACAGTAGGACAGAGCAATCCTAATGCCAGGATGAAGAGCACTAGTTGCAACCCTGAAATCTCACCTTTGCTGGGGAGATGTCTCTTTAACAGCCAACCAGTCATTTGGTGCATTTGCCAAGTGGGAGGGGTATGGCTTCTATCAGCCCAGCTCCTGAGATTAATTGTCTTATCTCCATTCCCTTCCTCTCCAATCTGCCTTCAGAGCGTGGAGCTGCCCGTTTGTCCCCTCACTGCCTTCTCTCTTTCCCCAGGAAACCTTCCCATGGCTGCAGAGCTGCCTCTAAAGCAAGACTAGAGGCAAAGCCAGCCAACAGCCCCTTCCCCTCCCATCCCAGCTTGGCCCACATCACCCAGTTCCGAATGATGGTGTCTCTGGGACATTTAGCCAAAGGAGCCAGCCTGGACGATCTCATTGACAGCTGCATTCAATCTTTTGGTAAGTTGGCTAACTGCCCACAGGCATAAAAATCACTCTATTACTTTGTTCGTCCTTTAAAAGTGCTTTACGGAACAGCAATCTAGATTGTATTTTGGCTTTAAAAATAGCTTTTGAGCCTTTGAAATGTTGGAGACAGTCTGCAGAGCCTATGGCACATGACTATGTGGGTGTAATAGGTCGTGATGAGAAGTGCAATTTTAAAGTGAGAAAAGTTAGGAGAGTTTGCATTTCCATTTTTCTTAGGATGGAGGTTTTTCTTGTGATGAAAAATATCATAAAATGATATTGTGCATCTGGTGCTTTGAGACTTTTCTGTCCTTGCCTTCTTGGGGCACATAAAGACTGTTACATGAGCAAACTTTGTTATCAAACAGAAATTGGAATCATTTGGAGGAATAAAGTCCCAATAATTCCCCTTGCAATCTGGAGGGCAGATGTGGTGGAATAGGAAAGGACTGGGTAAAGCCAGGAGGTTTGTGACGAGAAGACACTGGTTAATAAATGTTGCAATGCAGGGTCAAGGGGCTGGGAAATAAATGTGGACACGCACATTTCAGACGCTGCACTCTGTCAGCACCTTTGCCCACCATGAGGGAGGCACAGCTTAGTGCAGCCATCAAGCAATTATCTGAAAAGATTTTTTAAAATGTTATAAGCGTGGTGTATTTTTGGATTTTTATTTGTGAAATAGTGATTGAAAAGTACTAAATATTTCCTCCCAAAAAATGATTAAAATTGATGGATTTCAATGAAATCATTGAATTCAAAGATTTCCAGCTTCCTGTTCCTCCTGTGGACCCCTTTTTGTATCCCTCCATCTCCCACGGTGAAGCAGAGGAGCCTGTGTGGCACAGCTCAGACATACCAACCCCCCCAAGCCTACCCCAACCCTGGGAGCCTCCTGGGAACCTAAGGGAGGCTTAGTCAGATCCTAGGCAGCTCATGATCCATGAGATCTCAGAATGACGGACTAGTGGCTGTGTGTGTTAAGTGCTTGCTCAGACCTTATGTATAGAATTGGGAAATACTTGACATGTTAGGGATATTCATTTAGTACAATGTAGTACAGCATTGAACAGTTTCAACTATTTCAACGTTGGTTTAAAGTACTGGTTCTCAAACATTAGAGTGTCAGAATCACACATGGAGGCTGTTTTTTGTTTGTTTCTTTGTTTTGTTTTTTAGCACACATTGCTGGGCCCCAACCCCAGAGTTTCTACTCCAGTAGGTCTGGGGTGGGGCACAAGAATTTGCATTTCTAACAAGTTCCCAGGCCATGCTGTTGCATCTGACCCAAGAAGCGCACTTCGCGAATCATTGCTTTAAAGTGCTGTTTGTTGTAGACTTTTTAACTTGGAAAAGAGGAAGAATTTTTAGTATTACTAGTTTAGCATTAAATTTTCATTAGATTTCTCTTTATTTTATACTTCAATCTTATTTCACACTTTAATCATTCAGTTAAGATGAATCTGGGAGCAGAATGAATGGCTTTCTATTTCAAAATAATCTCCTTAGAAAATATACTGCGAGGAGATAAACTAGAGGATGGTGGAGACCGGGGAGGCGCGGCTGACGTGGGGCCATTGTTCATCATGTACTCCACTCTCACTTCCTTCCCAACCTGAATAAACTGCAAAGTTCCTTACACCATTTCAGCAGTCAGATTTACTCGGCTTTAGCAGGCCACCATGACTATTTCCTGAATAAGGATTTTTCTTCTTTCTGTTTCACTATTGAAAAAAGAGGGACGAGAAACATGTTTATCACACCACCTTCCTTCCTTCCATACCTGTTGTGCAACTGCCGGCCGAGTTCAAGACTGTTTTTCTAATCTTCAAAGAATCATGTTATCAACCTGAAAAATACATGACTGATTCTGAAGTCCTTCCCGCCAAATAACCAAGCCTAATTCAATCCCCTTAACAGACCTTCCAAAGGCAACGACAATATATTGTGTTCTGGAATATGTTGAACTGAAAACAATGGCTTAAAATCCCAAAGCTGTAAAAGTCCCGTTGAGTCTAATAGTCTTTTATCCATTATCAAGCAGCATTGGTTAAGCCCTTAATTGTATCTGACACTGTGCTAGGCAGTGCTCAAGAAGAATTACAGCGACCAAACTCTCCCTTCCATTAGAGCTTACAACACCTGAGAAACATACTGTTCAGGAAATATATATATATATATACACACACACACACACACACACACACACATATATATACAAAGGACAGGGTGATAAATACCGAAGGCATGCAGGAAGAGTAAGTTTTTATACCATGTAGAGTTTGAGTAAGTGCACCTCATGGGTGAGGACATAGGTCAAGGAGAACAGCCACCATTTGTTCAAGTCCCTCACGGGCCAAGGGAATGCTGCGGGAAGTCAGTAAGGTAAGATCTCAGGGTTTTGTGTATTATGTACTGCAGAGTTTCTCATCACAGTACATGAAAGAGGCAAAAAAGAAAAGACGCTCTGTGTCTGGAAGGAACAGAAGCCAGCACCTTTTGTCTGTCTCTCTTCTTGCTCTTTGGTTATCAGTTGACCCATCTATGGGGCTGGGACATGGAAATTGGGCTACAGAGGAAATGGAGCCAGGAATCAGCAGCAGACTTTATGAGGGAGAAAAGCCCATAGCAAAATATATGCCTGTGCTTCCGTAGGTCTCTTTAAGAGGTCATCTGACAGTAGAACAGAGTGAGGCTAATGCTTCTCCTGAAGTTTACCTTACTGGTTAGTTTCTCAGGTTTGTAGAGAAAAGTGGTGCTTTAGATTAAAGCAGTCTAGCTAGCTTTTTGTTAATGAGTTTAGATGTCTTCTCATTTTAAACCCACGAAAAACTGTACAGAAGTGTGGAGGGGAAATTATTATCATTATTATTATTGGGACTCTTTTGCCTCAGACCGTAATTTCAGCTACTCCACCCAGCAACTTGAATAAAAGAGGGAAAGAAACTGTTTTAAAGAGAAAGACTGAATAATTGTTAATTTAGTTTCTACTGCCTCTCAACCTCACCTTCTTGCTTTCAGGAGGTTTGAATTGGCTACAGCTGTGCTG
This sequence comes from Homo sapiens, assembly GCF_000001405.40. Classification (NCBI taxonomy): domain Eukaryota; kingdom Metazoa; phylum Chordata; class Mammalia; order Primates; family Hominidae; genus Homo; species Homo sapiens. The sequence goes on along the minus strand of NC_000015.10, from coordinate 38,556,762 downwards.
TCCAATGCACTGGCCACATGTGGCTATTTTCGTATACATTTCAATTAAAGTTAAATGTAAGATTTCATTTCTAAGCCTCACCAACCATAGGCGAAGTGTGCAATAGCCACAAATGGCACCTACTGTTGGACAGAGGAGAGAGCACTTCCATTGTTGCAAAAAAGTCAGTTGGACAATGCTGGAGAGGGTAGATGTTTGTCGCAAAGGAAAAAAGAATAGATTTTCTACAAACTGTGGGATTTGCATTTTGCTAGCATTTCTAGATAAGAGTCTGAGTATTGCTTAAAGCATCGTGGGCATTCAGAAGTCTCACTGATGGCTATCTCTTTAGCATTATTAACCATTAATTACCACCCACACTGTTCTCAGAAGAAGGACTTATATTGCTTTTAAGGGCAGTGGCTAGTACATATAAATTAAGAGCACTTTCAAAGGCCTCTAGCAAGCCTCTCAGTGTCACATACAAGGTTACAGATCTGTGACTAGAAACTTACGGCCTTGAGTCATAGTTCATTGCTTTAACCATGAAACAACCCACTCCCGCCTTCTGTTCTAACCAGAGATCATGCTTTACATTCTCAGCATATTATTGCTAGTTAATCCTCTCTTCAGCTGAGCATAATAAGGCAAATCATCACAACCTGGTTACACTTATGTCAAATATATGTGAATCACACCATCTGTTTCAGAGGTAGAAAAGACCTATGAGATCATCTGGGCTTTTATTTTTTTTCCCTTTACAAGAGGGCTGCCAGCATTTGGGGCCAAATGGAAGGCTTCAAATGTCTGAATTCACAAAGCTCTTTCCTTATCTCCCTCTCAATGCAAGACAACTTCTGACAGCATCGGAAAGAAAACTGCACACCTGCCTCAGAACGGGCCCCCCCAACACACATACACAACTCCACCCCAGCAAGCAGACCTCCTACTCCCAGTGAGACGTGGGAAGAAACTCCATGTTTCATCTTACCTATTAGTGTGAAGGGAAATGCTTCCTAATATCTTCTATTTATGGACTGACTTATTTTTTCTTAGAGTTCCATTTTTATTGATTTTCTTTTATACTGAGAACAGCTCTGAAATAGGCAGGTCAGATATTACTCTCTCCATTGAACAAACAGGAAAATAAACCTTTGAGAACTGAAAGAATTTGCCTTGTGCCCCCAGTCTCAAGAGAGGATATGCTGCTCCTGTTCTCCTTCCCCTACCCCTAGCAGCCACTTGCAACCTGGGTTGGGGCAAGCCTGGATCTCTCTCCTAAGACAGGCCTTCCTACACTCAGGGGAGACCTGCATGCCACATAGGACAGGGCTGCACCTGGTGCCCACTCTTCTGCAATCCTGGTGTCTCCCCAGTTAGAAATGAAACTCCATTCAATGTAAGAAATATTGATTGCACCCAATCTATATACCAGGTGTCTGCCTGATATTCTCTATTGAGCAAAGTGTGAATCAGTGAATTCTTGTGTGAATTGTACTAATGCTATCCAAAGACCTTCCAAACTAGAAATACCCCAAAACTAATAAGTATGTTTTCTCCACCATGGAGCAGTTGGATATTAAAAGCATTTTATAGGCCTCAGCTTATTGAAAGTAAAACATTCCGTCTCTTTTCAAAATGGGAGCCGCAAAAGGCAAACACACACTCAGGGCCATAGCCCTCTCCGTAACAAAGGAAAGATTAGGTATTTCTTACCACTCTGCAACTTGGTCTGTGCACCAAAGCAAGGTGCCCAGAGGGCAACAGGAGCATAAGACCAGAAGCCAAGGGCCATGACATCATTGGGGATGCAGACCTAATAACAGGCAACACCAAGGAACAAAGTCAGTTGTAGTGTCAGGAAGGGGCCGAAGCCTTAGCCACTGTTGATGGCAGGCCCTGTGTGAAGAACACAGCTTTCCCAGAAGCCTCCTCAGTGGAACCTCCCAGTCGCTAGTAGTCGTGGCTACAAGATTTCACGTGTAAAGGATGGTCCTCGGGGGCACTTGCATCCTGAGGCTTCTAGTCATCAGAGCAGCTCCCAGGCCGCTCTTAGCCCTCTAGAATGAATTAGCATTATTATAAGACTGGACACTATTTATTCCAAGGAGGCCTTTGCTGCATCTTTGATGAGCAGGCATCACCAGTTCTCCACGCTGGTCTGCCTTCTCATGAGCATGGGTTTCAGTGACTGCCAGGCCTGAGAAAGGAGGAGATGGGAAATCCCCTTCATTCATATCTGTGCTCTCCTGCTTGGCAGTGTTTGTTGCAGGCCCCGCTGTAGAGAACAGAGGCAATGCTTATGCGTAAGTTAGACAGTGTCTCAGGAATTCTGAGCAGTTCAATTCAGTAAAGCCATCCAGAGAGATGAGTTTTACTTCTGAGAGAGCTGGAGACAGACAGTAGTTTAACACTTATTGTGGACTCTGTAGGATCCTGAGCCTTTACCTAACTTGACCCAATTAATCCTCCCAACAACCCTATGAGGTGGTTGTTATTTTGCTCCTTTAACTAATAGAGAATTGTAGCTCAGGGAAGTTAAATGACCTGTGGAAAGTGGTTCAGCTCATTAGTGAGAGAGCTGCTGAGATGTGAACTCTGGTCAGTCTTCCCCCGAGGTTCGCGTTCTTTCTGCTACTCCAGAGATTCTCCAACTTTGGCGTGAGGAATAATCAGGGAGTGTGTTGAACATTCAAATTCCTCACAGTCAACCCCAGAGATTGCCATTCAGCCAGCAGTCACTGGTTTGGATGGAGGTGACCCATGAATGGATGTTGAGAAATACTGTCGTATAGCACACTTGCTTCCTGAACATCCCAGATCATTTTTCTCAGACATCCTAGGAAAACCTGAAGGGCACAAATCTCCAGGGAAGCAATAGAGCATATAGGTTTTTCAGCTATGTGAACTAGAAAAGCACATGGTGAAGCCAGCCTCTTGGAGATCTCTAAAACAATCCAGCCAGATCTAATGAGATCCCTGCCTAAGAGCAGGTCTGAAACCCTGGGAGCACTTTTATCAGATTTTTCTGCATTCCTATCTCTTCTCAACTGCAGTAAGCCCCCTATAAAATGTACAGCACGCCTGTCTGTTGGCTGTGTAAATAGAATGTGGATGTCTGTTACAACTACAGTTTGATTCTTGCATTCAAAGGCCATATTCCTAGTGTACATTTCCACCTTTATTCAACACTCCAGTTTCCTATGGTGCTGGGAGGGTCTACTCCGTAACTTATGCCCGTCCCCATGGGTCAGAGGACTACAGTAGTGGCTTAGCTGGGGAGGAACTGGGGAGTGCTTCTCCTGAGTACTTACCCAAAAGTACTACTTTGGCAACAGATTATGTAAGGCAATATGTTGAACTGAAGTTTATGAAATCTGTGATGAAAACACATTGGGAAACTGTGTGAAAGCAAAAACAGTCTTTTCAGTAATTGACAGAAACAGCTGTGTTGGACCCTGAGACCCCTGGAGAAGGTCATCTACAGTTCGGGCCCCAGCCGCAGCCCACCTGCTGATGTTAGAACTTGTCCACTCCTGCCCGGAACAATTATAGCTGCTGTGTCTTGTTCTGGAGTTACAGTGAGCTTTGGCTACAACCTAGTTGGGCTTGCCCTAGAGTGGCTGGAAGGAAAAGAACGGGGAAAGAGTGAGAATGTAAGCAGAGCCAGCTTCCTGGGCATGCCACCTCTGAAGGCCCACAGGTTCCCATGCTTGGTTTAATGCTGTCACAGTCTTGAAATTTTTAATAATTTTTGAATAAGGGACCATCATTTTTAATTGCACTGAGTCCCACCAACTATGTAGTCAGAGGTCTGTGTAAGAGCCACAAGACCAGAGGGCAAAAATAATTTGCCATATATTGAAGACACATAGAACGATGTGGATTTATGTCTTAATTTCTTTCTTCATAGATGCAACTGTGAAACAAAAATTATTTCATTATCTCCTAGCAGTGGTGTGCTGGGCTGGCTCATACCAGCTCACAAGAGCAGATTGTTAAATTTTCAGGAATTTTGCAAGCTAGTTATTAAACACAGCCATGATTGAAAATTAAGTTATATATGCTTACAATTAAATTATATTAAAAACAAAGATAAGAAATACTCAAAACTCACCACTTCCTAATTCATGACTACATTTTACTATTATCTTTGCTTTTGAGGTTATGTCTGTTATGTCTACCTGGTACAAACGCTATATAATGGTATGCTAGCATGCATCTTTTCCCAGCTCCGTGTTCAGTGAAGTCATGTTAGTAGCTTGTTAGTAGTCTGTTGGGAGTATTTACACCGTGGAAATCAACAAACATCACTAATCAGGGCTTCCTTTTCAATCCCTCCCCTGGAGAGCCCATTGTTAAACATTTACCAGCACACCACTGTTTCCCAGATACAGAGGGTGCTTACATAACAAAATGTTGAGGTGGGAAGGGACCCTAAAAGCTGAGACTTCTATTTTTTATCTCTTAATTAAGAGAAAGTAATAATTCTGCTATTATTTTGCTTTCATCTATGTATCTTATAAAACAACCTCTCTGTGTGTTCTTCAAAGGAAAGGAACAATGGACCTTAGAGATAAGGAAATCATGTATCAGTGTGGTTGAGAAGTTTTCTTAAAGAAGTGACAATGGAACATGAAAACAGCATGAGAGATTCTCATTCTGAAGTCAAAGTTATTTCGTGTTTGTATTGTTTTAATTCACCTCTAAAATATCTCTTAAGATTAACCAGCCTCGTTTCTGACCAACCCTCAATTTTGTGAACTTTTGTTCTTCATGTATTATATGCTATCTCTATTTTGATTTCTGATTCCATCTGCTTAATCATTTGCCTTCATTACCCACTGCATGGTAACAGGCACTACTGGTGTCTATAACCAAGCTTTTGTTGAGTATGTTTTCATAAGTTTGTTTGCCTACTGTATTTCCAGTTTTATGAACGGTCTGTTCATATCCTTTGCCTATTTATCACTTGCTGCTCAATGCTTTTATTATTAGAGGCGTGCAAAAGCTTTTTATATAAAAAGCTGTTAACTCTTTGAATATCATTTACTATAGGCATTTTTTTTCCTGTTCTCATTTTCATTTTTATGTTGGTTTTGATATTGTCATGTATAGAAACTTCGGATTTTTGTGTTTAAATTTGCCCATTTCTATTTAGCTTTTTAAAATTCTAAACCTTAAAAAAATCCCTATTCCAAAGATTTAATTAATAGTCCATTGTCATTTTAATCAGTTTTACTTAACCCAGTGTATAATTCCATATCATACATTGTCGTGGATGATCAATACAAGCTTGTCAATAAGTTATTGCTGGCAAAAAAGAAGCCTTCAGTTTTGTTTCTGAGATTGTCATTTCCTTAAAACCACAGCGCTTGGACTGGTCGCTTTGTAACTCAGAGCCTCCGTTTCTCGCTGTGATACCATTAAAATGATTTCTGAGACTTAAAGTGTCTGGAAGAAGGTGTAATGGGGTATCTCCATCACGATATTAAACTTGAAGAAAGTCCTTCAGGAATTTGCATATTTTAAGAATGTGCTTTTGGATATATTTGAAGAGTCAATATTCTTAGGATGGAGTCTTAGAAACCCAACAAATTTTTAACTCAGTCTTTAAAAATTATTAATTTAGACTGTTTCTTGTTCTTACATAGACTTTGTGGTAAGATATACATAAGATCAACCACTAGCATAGACTTTTAAAATATTATTTTAGTAATAGCTAACTTTTGAGCATTTACTATGAATAACACAGTGTTTATGTTAATATTTTACATATGTAGTCTCATTTAGTTCCCACTATTTTATAAGTTCTTGTATTTGCAAAGATCTAACTGTCCCTCAGCATTTATACTTACTTTATAAATGTTAATAACTTTTAAAATTATTCATGTTCACCATAGAGAACGTAGAAAATACAGACTGGCAAAAAGAAAAAAATTACCGTCACTCATTTTACCATCAAGAGCAAGATAAGCACTATCAACTTTCATGGGTGTGCCTTTCTTGATTCTCTTCTATGGATATTTACATGTATTATAATCACAGTAACTTTTTGGTGATAAACTCACTATAACTTTTTGCTTCCCATAATTTATATCTTAAACAATTTTGATCTTGAAATCAATATTATTATTTATAAAGAGGTATGCTAGCACACAAGGTTGCTCTTCTATTTTAAAATTGATTTTTTAAAAATAATTCTGCTTAGTCCCTTCAAATATAGGACATAAAAGTGAAGGTTGCTTGGCAACTGAAATGATGGTAATGAGGAATTAAAGACATTACAAGAAAAGAAGAGTACTCAGTTCTTTTCAATGCTACATGCTAATTGCAGTAACTATGGCTGATTACAGTTGTAATAAATGAAGGAAACACAAAACTTCCATTAAAAATTCTTGATGTGAACTTTTTTTTATTTTGTATTACAGTGAAAGTGAGATGGGGTTTGCTGAAGAGAAACTTTACTTTCAGAAACAAGAAAAGATCTTTTGTCTGTATTAACTTTTTTTTCTTTTCTTTTCTTTTTTTTTTTTTTTTTGGCGACAGAGTCTCACCCAGGCTGGAGTATGGTGGCATGATCTGGGCTCACTGCAACCTCCACCTCCTGGGTTCAAGTGATTCTCGTGCCTCAGCCACCCGAGTAGCTGGGTGTGCACCACCAGAGCCAGCTAATTTTTCTATTTTTAGTAGAGATGGGGTTTCACCATGTTGCCCAGGCTGGCCTTGAACTCCTGAGCTCAAGAGATCCACCTGCCTCGTCCTCTCAAAGTGCTGGGATTACAGGCATGAGCCACTGTGCCCAGCCTATTAACCTTCTAAGGGAATATTAAGTTAGCAACTGGGTGAGATACGTAGCAGAAGCACAAAGATTTGGTACATCTGTGATTCTTCAGCAGCACAGAAGAGATGGTGGGCAGTGGTGTGAAGGAAGCCATGTTAACTACTTGTTTTTTTTTCCCCAAAGAGTAGTCAAGGGCCCTGGAGAGATTGCTGAGGTTCTCACTAGAGCCTTCAAGCAGAAGATGCTTCCTAGGATGGAGATGTACTTAGAAGGACACCAGTGATTCATTGAAATGGACAAAGGGAGTAGAGACTAGAGGGGGAAGAGGGAAGCAGAGGGGAAGAGGGAAGCAGGGATTGCCGGTTTTGTAACAAAGAATGCAGTCACCAGAAAAGTAAGGCAGTTTGGGATGAAGCCATCCAAGAACTTATCAAAGGTATATCTTTGCCAGAAAGTGAGGATTTCTAGTTGGAGGAGCAAATGGAGCTATGTCTGTCTCCTCTTCACTGATCTATCTGAATCATGGTATAGGACTTGGTTTTGTAATCTTGTGAACAGCCTCATTTTAAGGGGGAACCCACAATATTCAGGAAGCCAAGAAATGTCCCTGTTAATCATCTATGAGTCTATCTTGCTGGAATGTAGTTATAGACTATGGAACATCCTTAAATCTGATGAGCAATTAATCACTGGTTAATTTTGGATTCACTTATTAAATGCCAAATGCATAGGGGATTTTTCACACTCTCTGCCCTTCCTCCTTCCCAGTTCATGAGCACCACAATTGGATTCCATATTTACTTCATCCAAACCTACCTTGGTGGGTTCACCATTTACCTCCAGTCCTGGGGAGTTCAGTCCAGACTGTGAATTACTGCCATTTCTGAGGGGCTGCTTCCCAGATGGGAGCCATAGGACCCTCGCCTCTGGCCCTGGACTCAGTCTTCGTTTATTGCCAAGGATGAGCACTTGCTCTCGGGAATGGATGCTGGGGTCCACCTGACTGTTTGGCTTGCTTTAATCCCTAAAGGAAAAGCTCCCTACATTTATTGTGTCTGTGGTCCCCCCACCCTCTCTGTCCCAGTGCCTAAGAGTCTCATTACCTTGTCAGTAACTACCAGTGTCTACCTGAGATGGACTAAGCTTCATTTAACTGAGAAAGTGCACCCTCAAAATTGCAAGGAGAAATGTTGGAGGAGGACCCTCTGGATTAAAAGAGACTTAAAAGACATTTCAAACAGTCATAGTATGTGAACCTTTTTTCTAAAAATTATGTGTGTGTACACATACACACTCATAGGAGTATAGATGGATCCACATCTGCTGTATGCTGATCATTGTTGCAGCTGGCTGAGTGCATGGAGGTCCCTTACGTTGTTTTGCTCACTATGGTATACATGCTTATAATTTTCCATAATCTTTTTTTGAGACAGGGTCTTGCTGTGTCACACAGGATGGAACACAGTGATGCCATCTTGGCTCACTGCAGTCTCTGCCTTCCCAGCTCAAGTGATCCTTTCACCTCAGCCTTCTGAGTAGCTGGGACTATAAGCATGTGCCACCATGTCTGGCTAATTTGTGTGTGTATGCGTATTTTTTTGTAGAGACAGGGTCTCACTGTGTTGCTCAGGCTGGCCCCAAACTCCTGGGCTCAAGTGATCTGCTCACCTCAGCCTTCCAAAGTATTGGGATTACAGGCATGAGCCACTGCACCCGACCTCTAACAATATATTAAAATTAAAAGTGTCCTCAAACCTAGGACAAATAGATGATTTAGGATTACAAAAATTCAAACGGATTTTAGGAAATTTCTCTAAATTTTCTTAGGTGGCAAAATAGAGTGGCTGTGTCTGTTTTAAAGAAGGGAGAGGAAAATAAAGAATGAAAATGGTTACTTTGGTTACACATCATGAAAATAATTCACCCGTGTCATGTACTTGACATCTCGTGTCACAGCGCATTCCCCAATCAGCACTGAGATGCTCAATTCCTGGGTATCCAAAAAGACCAAAAAAAAAAAAAAAACCTGGAAACTTGTAATCTTTAATGCTACTGTCAGAGGCGGGAGTTGGAGTTGAGTAAGTAAGAGAATGTAATACTCTCCTCCACACCCCATCTCACACACACACACACGCGCGCGCGCACACACACACAGTTTTGAGCAGGGAAATGTCATGACTGTGCCACAGCTGATTTCAGCAAGCGGTGAAAAGATTATGGAGGCCACGTCACATGGCAGTCTTTGGAATCTGAAGCTGAGTCACTGAGTCTGCCATTTACCACATGTGGGGCTTGTTTGCCCGTTTTTAAAATGGAGAATAATGGTAAAAAATTTTAAAGGTGGTTTTACTTTGGGTGGAAATTTAACAAGATTGTCTTAGTTTGAGTTTTCCCAGGAGCAGATCCTGAGACAAGGATTTTTAAGTACAAATAGTTTACTTTGGAAGGTGGTCCTAGGAAAAACTGGTAGGGGAGTAGGGAAGGCAGCTCTTGGAGGGTGCATTGCCAAGTTACAACTCTGGGAGTCAGAGTGGAAGGCTCTTTTCAGACCTATCTTATCTGAGGGAAAGGAACTGGAGCATTGATGTACCAAGTCCCATCGGTCATTGGTTGAGGGCTGCTTTTAGAGGGTGTTAAGTTTGCAGCACATTTGGCCTGCCCTGCACACAGGTGGGGGTGTGAAGGGCTTCCAGAAACCTCTCAGGCTGGTGGAAGTTGAGTTGGCATGCATTACAATGGGAAGGTCTGAGAGTATGTGTGTGGGAACTTACAGGCTCTGCTACGAAGTCAAAAAGTAAATGTTAGATGGGCAAATATAGGCTACATGAAAATCCACATAAACAGTTTCAAAGCTAGTTTATAGTCGTACTCAAAGTGTATACATGTAGATATGAGTATTGAAGGATGTCCTTCTGCAGGTGAACCATTTATGAGTGGCTGTGGACATTTTCATCAGATTTAAACACAATCTGTGTTTTTGGTTAGACACACTGTGGGAAATAGCATAATTAGCAGAATTCAGGATGTGAATAACATAGCACAAAGAACTTAGACAAACAGGACTTCAATAAAACGTAAAGTCTCGCACTTAAGTTTAAAAATAGTGCTTCCTATATGTTCTGGATGGGGGGAAGCTGTATTAATTGTAGTTCTTATGACCAATACCAAGAGATTTTAGTAGATTGTAAATTCAACATGAGTCAGTAGTGTCGTGTGTCTTCCCCAGAATATTAACTTTCCAAAAGTTAAAATAATTAGAGATTGCCTCAACAGAAATAGCCTTTCCATGTTAAGGGAGTAATGCCTCCATTCTATCCTGAGGTCCAGTCCTAATGCTGACACATAGTAACTTTATTCCCTTAGCCGGTGTCTTAATGTTTCGGAGACTCAGTTTCTATCAACCTGAAAGTTAGTAGATACTTCCCCTGGATTGTCGTGAAGTAAGCATCTTACCAGAAAGTTAGAATTTATGGCCCAGCACGGTGGCTCACGCCTGTAATCCCAGCACTTTGGGAGGCCGAGGTGGCAGGCGAATCGTGAGGTCAAGAGATCGAAACCATCCTGGCCAACATGGTGAAACTCCGTCTCTACTAAAAATACAAAAATTAGCTGGGTGTGGTGGTGCACACCTGTAGCCCCAGCCGCAACAGAATACTCTGGAGGCTGAGGCAAGAGAATCACTTGAACCCAGGAGGCAGAGGTTGCAGTGAGCCAAGATTGCGCCACCGCACTCCAGCCTGGTGACAGAGCGGGACTCCATCTCAAAAATAAATAAATAAATAAATAAAGTTATAATTTATGTAAAATGTTATTAAAATTCCAATCTGCAGTACATACTCAAAAACAGTAGCAATCATTATTAGTATAGACTTGTTAAGTGTTAGTGTATGGCTTTTTCAGGTTAATAATGCAGCTTGCCAGAGGATCCAAAATCACATCATGGAGATACAAGATGGTTATAATGGCTATGCCAAAAAAATTACCAGGATGGTGTCATAATAGACACGAACAGCTATGAGACTAGAAGAGAGTGTTATAATTTAAATTTTCCCATGAATTTGAGCTGTATTAATGCAGTGTTTAGTAAGGAAGACCTGAAAAGTCTCTCATTTTTCAAAATATTAGGACAATGATGGAAATCCAACCAGAACTATCTTTGGGAATTTATTAGAAATAATATGGAGTATTTCATATATCTAAAACACAGGAAGAGTACAGGATGCCTGCAGGCCTTAGGAGTGCCTGAAATTAGGTACTATAATACTTTTAGGAGACTATTGCATATGTTCTGTGTATGTATGTGTCTCTTCTCTGTCTGACTTGCTTCTCTCTGCTTGTCAGCTCATCATTTTCTTTCACTGAAGATTTGTTTTCTACATGGCACTAACAGCTGTAAATCATGCATCTCTTACCATTAGAAATTTAATATTTTTTTCCCTCAAGTTCAGTGAAAAAAAAAAAACTGTCAGGGAAGAACTTTGGTTCAGATTTGGCCAGGTGGCTACTGCTTGAATGAATTGACTGTGGCCACAGGGTTGGAGTCATTTAATAATCCAGCATTTCTCTCTAAAACCACATGACGGAATCTGGGGAAGGAGCGTTTCCTAAAGGAAGGCTATTGTGCTGGGCATATGAAGCAGTATCTGTCATAACCAAGATCTGACCAAACACTAGAGTGCAGCATGCTATTAGATTCAAGTTTAGTTTCTGGATTTTAAGATGGGAATGGAAAGGCTAGAGAGAGTGCAGAGGAGATAAATAGTTAAGAAATTATACAGAAATAACATCTGTGAGGATATAAGATGGCAGAACCTGAAAAGAAGACAAATAAGTGGGTTTTCCCCTTTGTTTTCTTAATAATGTAAACATGTATGTCTCAATAGTAATAACCATAGAAGAGCTAGTATGAGTTATTTACCTCCAGTGGGACATATAAAGGGTAAACAAATTTAAATCTACCAAAGAACTGGGACTTCCCATAAAAAAATTAAACATCAAAAGGAGAACTTTCATATCTGACCATAGTGGAATACTGGATATTAGAATTATTTTCCTGCTACCAACAGCTATAAAACTGGACAAAATATCTGAAGCAACTATTTTTGGGTCTCAGAAAACAAGACAGACATGTGATTGTGGATAAAATAAAAAGATGTGAGGTTAACTCAAAACTCCTCTTGGCTTTCTGCCTGAGAGCACTTTACAAATCATGGTACAGGAAACTGGAGCCCAGTGAGCAGCATCTTGCCTTGCGGAGTATCTTAGTTCGTTTTCTGCTGCTGCAACAGAATACCAGACTGGGTAATTTATAAAGAGATTTATTTGGCTTATGATTCTGGAGGCTGGGAAGTGCAAAATGAAGGGACCACATCTTGTTATGTCATAACATGGCAGAAGGCATCACACAGACAGAGAGAGTGCTTGCAAGACAGAGAAGAAGGGGGCCAAACTCCCAAGATAACTAACCCTTTCCCAAGATATGGAGTTAATCCATTCATGAGGGTGAACCCCTCGTGACCCAGTCACCTCTTAAAGGCCTCACCTCCTAATACTGTTACAATGACAATATTAAATTTCAACAAATTTTGGAGGGACATTCAAACCACAGCACAGAGAGAACAGTTTGTGTTCAGGGATTCTGGGATGGCTGGCATTTGTGGAGTGGCATACAAGAGAGAAGGTATTTCCAAAGACTAAACTGTGCATGGATATGATGAGACTCTACGACCCCTAATAGTTCCTGGGGGTCTTTGAGTTAAAGGAGGTCTCATGGTCTGGGAAATAACGCAGTTCCAACCAGCCAAAATGGAGAGACATAACACTTTGGGCATTCAGGTGGGATGAGAAAAAGACTACAATGTAGGAGTTGGGCTACTTTAGCCCTAGAATATGAGCTAATCTTGACTCACCCTAATGAAGCCTAAATCTGAGCTTCAACAGGATTAATTTAAGGTCCCATGAATTAAATACCACCATAAAGGAACATATTAATAATTCAAATTATCAATATTGCACTTACAATGCCCAGCATGTAATAAAAATTATAAGACAGAAAAAGAAGCAGGAAAATGTGACTCATAACCAGAACAAAAAAGATCAATAGAAATGAACTCAGAGATGACACAAATGTTGGAATTAGTAGATAGAGAATTTAAAGCAGCTATTATAAATAAATATGTTGGAGGATTTAAAGTAAGATGAATAGATGTAAGTAAAGTAAGATGACCTTAGCAGATAAATTGCAACAATTAAAGGAACCAAATGGAATTCTAGAACTGAAAAATAAAATATACCAAAAAGAAAAATTAACTGGATGGGCTTAATACTATAGTGGATGCAAAAAAAAAAAAAGAAAAAAAGAAAAAAAGAAAGGTCAGTAAAGTCAATGACAGGTCAATATCTCAGAGAGAAAATGCTGAAAAAAAAAAAAAAAAAAAAGACTAGAGTTTCAGATGATGTAACCAGAGTTTAAATGGACATGAAAGGACCTGGAATAACCAGAATCTTGAAAAAGAATGAAGTGGAAAATTTACACTACCTGTTTTCAAGACTTAATATAAAGCTATAGTAATCAAGTCCATGTGATATACATATAAGGATAGACAAATATATCAGTGGTACAGAATAGCACGTTCTGGAAGAAATCTACATATACGGTCAGTTGATCCTCAGCAAAGGCACCAGGGCAGGTTAACGAAGAAAGGAGTATCCTCTCAACAAATGGTGATGGAACAAATGACAGTCATGAAAAAAAATGAACTGTGACCTGTGTCTCACACCATACACAAAAAATGAGATGAATCAAATGATGTAACTGTAAATAATGTTAACCTGAATGTAAAGTTAAAACGATAAGTCTTCTAGAAGGAAATTTAGGACAATGTTTTTGCAAACTTAGAGTATTTTTTAGACAGGACACAAAGGACTAACCATAAATAATATATTTAGCAAATTGGACTTTATAAAAATCAAAAACTTCTCATCAAAAGATACCATTAAAGAAATGAATGGAAGAAAAATACTTGGGGAATATATATATGTATGTGTGTATATATATATATACACACACATATATATACACACATATATATGTGTATATATATACACATATATGTGTATATATATACACATATATGTGTATATATATACACATATATATATATACACATATATATGTATATATCTGACAAGAACTTCATTTTATGCTAGTATACAAAGGAAAATTCCCTGTGGCCCAGATGAATTGCCATTATTGGGACCCTCTGGCTCACACCAGATTGATTTCTGATCATGCTTTTGAAATTAGAATTAACCAAGCCCCATCAAGGAGTCTGTAATATAGGCAGGCACCAAATCAGCTGTGTTAAGTACTTCCCTTGCATGTTGCCCTGAGAACAGGCGAAAGACTTCACTGCCGATTTCTGAAATTGGAAGAGGTCTTCATGGGGTCATCTAGTATAGCTTGTAGATCTACTCCAGGGCAAGGATGAACTCAATGGTCTAAATCAGTCTAATCAAACTTGATCTGATCCCTTGGGAGCTTTTTAAGAATGCAAATTCTCTGCTCCATCCCTGGATCTCTTGATGGAGTAGGTATTAGGTAAGGCCTTGGAATCTATTTTGAGTTCCGTTGGTGGTTTTTTGTTTGTTGTTTTGTTTAGGCCAGTCAATGAAGCAGTGAGAGTGGAGAAGAAACAAAGAAACCTGTAACTGGTTGTGATCAATTAGTTGTAAACACCACTTCAGTCAGACCAGTTTTTGTTCTGCTTTTGTTGTTATTTTTTAGTTTAGTGTGTTGTTTGTTTGAGACAGGGCCTTGCCTCTGTGTCACCCAAGCTGGATTGCAGTGACAGTATCAGCTTATTGAAGACTTGAACTCCTGGGTTCAAGTGATCCTCCCATCTCGGCCTCCCAGAGTGCTGGGATTATAGGCACCTAATGGGTAAGCTGCCACCCCAGGCCCAGCCTTAGTTTTGTTGGTAAGCTAATCAGGAGGTCTTGAAAAGTCTCACCTGCCTCTTAGTCTATCAGAATCTGACCCTTCCTTCAAGGTCCATCTCAAATGCTACCATCTTTATGAAGCTTTAGCCATTTCTTCCAGTCAAATCTGACTTTCCCCTTCCTCTGAACTGCCCGTGTTTACCTCCCTCTAGGCCCTGACTGTACCATGTACTGTAGTATTGCCTGTAGCTTCTTCAGGCTTGGGACAGGGTGCTTATTATATCTGCAATCCCACAGTACCTATCACAGTGCTCTTTGAGCAAAGAACTCTGGTCTTGTGATGAGAAAAGCCAAGTCTAGGATGCCAGCTCTGCCACTTGATGGTATTATCCGTGGGTTAGTGATTTATCCAGGGGTGACATTCAGAATATT
The DNA here is from genome assembly GCF_000001405.40 of Homo sapiens. Taxonomy (NCBI): domain Eukaryota; kingdom Metazoa; phylum Chordata; class Mammalia; order Primates; family Hominidae; genus Homo; species Homo sapiens. Next base: position 38,541,626 of record NC_000015.10, on the reverse strand, counting down.
TATGTGTGTGTGTATATATATATATGAATGAATAAATGACAGGGTCTTGCTCTATCACCCAGTCTGGAGTGCAGTGGCACAATCACGGCTCAGTGCAGCCTCCACTTCCCTGGCTCAAATGATCCTCTTACCTCAGCCTCCCAAATAGCTGGGACCATAGTCATGAGCCACCATGCCAGCTAATATTTTTTTATTCTCAGTAGAGATGAGGTCCTGCTGCGTTGCCCAGGCTGGTCTCAAACTCCTGAGCTCAGGTGATCCTCCCGCCCCAGACTCCCCAAGTGCTGTGATTACACGTCACCACACCTGGCCTTCAAAATATTTAACCAGCATGGCACATGTCCCTTCATTTAGACGCCCGCTGGCCAGGCTGGGGATTAGCCCTGTCTTTATGCTTTTATTGTCGGTAAAGTGGATACAGTCCCTACCCACCTCAAAAGGTTGTTGTGATGGTCAAATGAGATAATGCATGTGAAAGTACTCTGTAAAGTACAAAGTGCTATACAAATGTAAGTCAGGGTTGCCTGGTGGTATTTCTAGTGCCCGTGTGTGGGGTTGGTTGCCCAGCCCTCAACATGGTCTCATGGTCTGCTCTGCTCTGCTCAGAGCAGTCTCCCAGGAGCAAACCAAGGAGTTGTTGAGTAATTGAGCAGGACACTGCAAATCTGAGAAATCCTGGAATCAGCCTGTTAGGTCCTAAGGAAACTCAGAATATCAGCTCCTTCAAGGATGGCCCCTTTTTAGGCCTGAAAAATATCAATGTTTCAGTACATATATTTTGGAAAAGCTAAATAAAACAAAAACCTAAAAAGGCTTTTTGAATTTTAACCTAAGTTTTCCTTATTTGAGGACACCTTGTTCTATTGCACAATGACCTTAAAATTCAGGATCCTTAAAGATATCTGGGCATCTCAGACTCATCTGATTGTCACCATATGGCAAGGAGCTGCTCTGCCTAGATCTGTAAATGGAGTTAAATGCCAGAGACATTAACATAGATTAAAGGGACAGTCTAAATCTTAGTCACTGCTTTGTCTTTATAGTTTCTTGCCTCCTCTTTTTACCCTTTTACTTCCTTAAAAACTGTCTTAATTTCCTCACCATCGCCTTCCCACATGCCCTCAGGTCTGCAGATCCTGGGGATACAAATCCTTAGCCACTTTTCTCTTCCAAATGCATTTCACTCTTTCCTCATATTCAGTGCCCAGTTACTGTTTTGTGTTTATCATTAGTTGCCAGTCAATGTTAATGTTTGTTCTTATATGCTTTGATTTAAATGAAGGAAATGGCCCCAGTGTAGTGTGTACAGCAGAGAACTAGAGACTGTAGGGAACAGACAGAAAATAGACACAACCCTTTTACTTACTCTTGAAGGATTCCCATTTAAAAGGCAATGCAGGGATGGCCACAGTGACTCATGCCTATAATCCCAGAACTTTGGCCGGCCGAGGTGGGAGGATCGCTTGAGCCCAGGAGTTCAAGACCAGCCTGGGCAACACAGCAGGACCTCATCTCTACAAAATATAATAATAATAAAAAAGAATTAGCCTGGCATGGTGATGTGTGCCTATAGTCCCAGATACTTAGGAGGCTGAGGTGGGAAGGTTACTTGAGCCCAGGAAGTCAAGTGTGCAGTGAGCCATGATTATACCACTGCACTCCGGCCTGGGCAATAGAGTGAGACCTTGTCTCAAAAAATAAAAATAAAAACAAACGGCAAAGATGAGTTCATGTCCTTTGTAGGGACATGGATGAAATTGGAAATCATCATTCTCAGTAAACTATCGCAAGAACAAAAAACCAAACACCGCATATTCTCACTCATAGGTGGGAATTGAACAATGAGAACACATGGACACAGGAAGGGGAACATCACACTCTGGGGACTGTTGTGGGGTGGGAGGAGCGGGGAGGGATAGCATTGGGAGATATACCTAATGCTAGATGACGAGTTAGTGGGTGCGGCACACCAGCATGGCACATGTATACATATGTAACTAACCTGCACATTGTGCACATGTACCCTAAAACTTAAAGTATAATAATAATAAATAAATAAATAAAAACAAAAAAAAAAACGGCAATGCAGGACTGTGGTAGATATTAATAACTTTAAAACATAATGATAAAATAACCAGGGTGATAATTTGTAGCCCCTTCTTGCTACTTCCTAGCTGTGGGACATTGACTAGATATTTTTACCTCTCTTGACTCTGTTTCTTCATGTGTGAAACAGAGAAAACATCGATCATGCAGAATTGTAGTAAATATTGAGAGCATGTCTGTAACATGGCCTAGTTCACTCCTGGCACATGGTGGATGGTTCAGTATATGGTGGCATTTATTATATTCTCATTTAGCATGCAGGCCAGCTCTGGAAACCCTCAATACCCAGGTAGACTATGTGCTTTTTATCTTTACAGCTGTCAGGGTGAGAGGCAGTGGTATCTGGTGGAAAGGGCAGGGTTTACCTCAGAAGACTGGAACTCAAGTCACAGCACTGTCACTCATAAGATGGGTGACTTTAGGCAAGTCATACCACCTTACTCTCTGTTTCCTCACCTATAAAATAATGCAAATAATACCCATCTCTCAGAGTTGTGAGGCTCAGATGAGGCAACGTGTGAGGAGAGTGGTCATTCATAAAACGCTAATAAATAGAGGTTATTAGTACTTCAGCACCAGGGTGAGGGTTTCATGTGCCTACGTGACAACTGTCAGGCACCGTAACTATTTGGGACCCACAAGTTAACCAGACATCCGTGGTGTGAACTCAGTTCAGAACCTTGTTCTCCTCAAAAGATATTAACACTTTTTTCTTATCTTGAGTGCCATCTCTGGATTATCTCTCTGTTGGAAGGGGTGGGCGTAAGACATTATGAAGCTCTCATTCTGCAAAGAGCAAATTGAGGCTCAGAAACAATCAGGGCCATCCCAGAGCCAGGCAGCCTGGGTTTGAATCTCAGGTCTACTACTTACTAGCTGTGTAAACTTGGACAAATTACCTTACTTCCTTGCCTCAGTTTCTTCATCTGTCAGATGGCACCTGTCTCACAGGGTTAATATACGTAAAGGCTGTCTTGAAACAGTGTCTGGTACACAGGAAGTGCTCCAAGTATGTTAGCAAAAAGAGAAGACGGGGGTGGCTAAACCTTGAATGTAGTTCATTTCTTCTGGTTAGATGCTGCATTTCTTCCAACAATCTCAAATATTTCTCCTGGTCTCCCCCATCTTCCAATAAGTAACAACATTGTTAGTTTCAGTGTTGCATTTTGGCTATTTCTGTAGGACAGTGATACAACACATCAATTCATGACTTAGGATGTTCTGAAGCACATTCTTTTTTGTTTCATTTTGTTTATGGAGACAGAGTCTTGCTCTATCCCCCAGGCTAGAGTGCAGTGGTGCAATCTTGGCTCACTGCAACCTCCGCCTCCCAGGTTCAAGCTATTCTCATGCCTCAGCCTCCTGAGTAGCTGAGATTACAGGCGCCCACCACCACACCCAGCTAATTTTTGTATTTTTAGTAGAGACGAGGTTTTGTCATGTTGGCTAGGCTGGTCTTGAACTCCTGACCTCGGGTAATCTGCCTGCCTCAGCCTCCCAAAGTGCTGGGATTACAGGCATGAGCCACCGTGCCCAGCCCCTTGAAGCACATTCCTATTCAGCTCTTGACTACTGAATAGAGACCAGTTTCTTTCCTTTGAATAGTAAGAGATTCCTCACTCACCGGTGCAGTTCTCACTTCAGAGTGGCTCTCCAGGTCCTCCTGCTCACTTCTCTCTAGCACCTCTGTAAACTCTTGAGGGTTCTGGCGTTGGGGGAGTGCGCTTAAAACCTAGGATTGAAGGGAAGCTTGGAAGGCTACTAATATAGTTGGGATGTTGTTCCTGCCCAAATCTCATGTTGAAATGTAATGTTGGAGATGGGGCCTGGTGGGAGATGCCTGGATCATGGGGGTAGGTTTCTCATGAATGGTTTAGTACCCTCCTCTTGGTACTGTCCCCATGATAGTGAGTTCTCATGAGATATATGTCCCTCTGGGAAGCTAGGACAGGGCCCCACTGCTCCTGCTTCCCTTGCCTGGCTCATGTCTATAGTGCTGCATGGGAATGGTCAATGTCTATGAGCCATGGGGTTGCGTGCATGGCAGCTCATCAAAGAATCAAACTGTAGCATAACTACCCAGCCAGATGTGTGGCACTTCCTCCCTCTCCCTCTTGCTCCTGCTTTCACCATGTGACGTGCCTGCTTTTTCACCCTCTACCATGATTGTAAGCTTCCTGAGGGCTTCCCAGAAGCAAATGCTGCTATGTTTCTTATTCAGCCTGCAGAACCTTGAACCAATTAAATTTCTTTTCTTTATAAATTATATTTTCTTTATAGCAATGCAAGAATGGACTAACACAGCCACCAACTAACTGCCAAGGAGGACCCCATGCTTGAGGGGTCCAGTCTCGCTGGCACAGTGATGAACTACAGTGGACAGCCACTCCTTGAGTAGTGGTCATAGTTAAGGGACAAAAAAATCATGGTTCCAGTCTGGAATAGCCAAACAAAGAAAAAAAATAGCCAGAACAAAGGAAAAAAAAACAAAATAGTGCTTAAATCTAGCAAGAGAAATAAGAATAATTCATCACTGTTATAGTGCTTCACACTTTTCTAAGCATTTTTATGTATTTAATCAAACATCATCTAATCCTAACCACAACCAAAGAAGGGGTGAGGAAACTTTCAGAATAATTTCTATCTGATTTCAAAAGACTCTGTTCAGTTACTTTTTACCCTACATGGTGATGTGATGTTTTTTTGTACGAGACTGTTCATTGCAGAGAATTATAAGCAATTAAAGAACAGTTTCTGTGGTGAAAAGCATATTTTACAATAAGACTATGGTCAGTGGATTTCTATTTTATGTCAGCATACACTGTTTCCCACAATTCCATCATGCACTGGAATGAGGTTATCTATTATCTAGGCTTGTGGGTCTGATGGGACCAAGTCACTCATTGAGAAAAATTGTCTGAGGAAGGCTGAGGTCATGGCTAACCAGTAATTCTCAGATGGGCCTTATATTATTTTGTTGTGTAAGTATTTGGGAAGTTCTCCAAGTTGCTTCTTCGTGCCTATTGGGCATGTCTGAAAATATGCAAAAAAGGCCAAGAATTTAATAGATAAGAATGACGTGATACAAATATGCTCCAGTGAGCAAGGTAAGAGCCTGACCCAGATTTTCTTCCCAGTTTGTTTATTTCTTTTTCTTTGGGTCCACTGGCCCTTTGCCAGCCCTCCTCCCAGCAAGCTGCTGGCAGCTCTCTGTGTCCTTCTGGGAAGCTAGGACAGGGCCCCGCTGCTCCTTCTTCCCTTGCCTGGCTCATGTCTATAGTGCTGCATGGGAATGGTCAATGTCTATGAGCCATGGGGTTGCGTGCATGGCAGCTCATCAAAGAATCAAACTGTAGCATAACTACCCAGCCAGATAATTCAATTGTTCCTAGAGAGTTTGATGGGACCCAGAAGAAGTAGCCACCAGGTATATTCAGTCGGCACTGACTTCAACAAATGCTCTTAGAGTTTGAAGTCATAGCGTTGTCCCAGAGTCAGCTCACTGGGTCTGCTCGGGACTTGCAGTACCTCTTCCCTGCTCTTCTGTTTATTTCCTAGCCCCAGTCCCCAAACCCCACCCACAGACTTGTGTCCAATTTCCAGAACTGAAGAGGACCAACTTCCCTCCTGACTTCTGAGACTCATGATTCTTCAGACATGACAAGTCCAGATCGAGACTGCAATCCCCAAGGAAGGCCAGCTGTCTTGCTCAGCAGAGACAATACAGCTAAAAGCTCTTTCTCACTTTAGGCAATTCATGCACTTGGTTAGACATTTATAGACTTCAACTGCTCATCCAAAAAATCTAGGTCATTCTTTACATAGAGCTTCACACTTTGGAAGGAAAGCCAGGCCCAGGGAGGAGCGTTTCTGTTGATGTCTGGTTTGGCTGAGGCAGTAGAGAGTGCTTCTGCTGTGGGAAGAGGGAGAGATGGACCAGCGCAGGCACTGTGGGCCCTTAGGGGACGTGAATTTTCACCCCCTGGCCACTGACTCACAGAGTCTCTGAGTAAATGGTGCCAATAATAGCTGCCTTGTGTTGATGTCATGAAAAGTGGTGGGTTTAAGGATTAGGCTTTCTAAGGACATTTTTAAAGTATGTACCATAATTCCAGTGAGAAGGGCTGGGTGGGTCTGTTGGGGGTGTAGGGCTTCCTGGGGAGGAAGAAAGAATAGAGGTGTGGGTGAGAGGTTTAGCCATGTAACATGGATGGCCAAAATGGTAGAGCTCTTCCAAGTATATTCCTACCTGCCTCCTAAGCCCCGAGGAGAAGGACATGCCAAAGAAAGAGCCTTGGGCTGGGAGTGAGAGGGCCCTTCTTGTGGAGGTTCCTCTACTCACCATGGCTGAGGCATGTTGCTTCAGTTTTCTCATTTTTAAATTTCAGCTCATGGTTCTGCTGCTGCATTGAGCTGCTGTACAATGCAAATGTTCAACACAAGTGAAGCTGTTTGTTGAACCTAAGTGCCACAAAAACGTAACATATCATTATCAGGTGTTCTCACCCAGAGAGAATAGTGTGGTTCTTCAGCCACTCGCTTGCTTCAGGGATGGTTTGTGTGGGCATGTGCTCATTTTGTACAGGTCTGTTCCTGTGTACCTAGATGCTGTGCAACTTGAAAGGCCTGCTCCTCCTTCCTGCTCTACTACTCTGGCCCCAGCAGGACAGTGAATATCAATAGAACAGAGGCAGGAAGCATGGGTTCTTTTCCTTCAAGTCTTTTCCACGTTGGCTTCTCTGCAACAGGAGTTGAGGGAGGCTTGGTTAGAACAAATCACCTTTGTCTGGGGGTGGGTTAACCAGATTTTTCCCTCTTCTGTGTCTGTGGCCTTGGTTGTGGCACCAGCTGTCATCACTGCCCCAGCAGTTGGGTGGGAGAGAAGAGATGAGCCTGGCCAGCCCCTCTCCTGCTTTAGTAAGACTCCGCTTAAAGGCCTGTTGTAAAAGTTTGAAATTGCAGGTCAGGGTTAATTTAAAGCTTGTGTATTGTCCATGTTATGGTGTCCCCCAGCCATTACAAGTAAATAATTAAAAGCCAATTGTAACCAAGATATTCAGAGCTCCATAAATTCCTGGACACCATAATATGACAAGAAATAGACACTAGTCTAACTATATGGCAGGCTGTCCTATGTGGGCCAGGGTATGACATACCAGGTTATCCCAGAAAGAAGAACAGGACAAGCTTTACAAGGAACTGAGCTTCCCTTCTCCCAAATTCTCACCTTATATTAACATTTTTGTTCTTGGTTTAGAGCACCAACCACTTCAAGAAACTGCTGTTGCAATGTGGATTTCTCTGAGAGGATTCACCCTTGAAGTCCTTGTCTCCTGCAGAGGAATTTGTTGATCTGGATTAACTGTCCAGTCATTGGGCAAGGCCCAGAGGGCATGAGATTAGGAGTGAGATGAGGAGTGGAATGGGTTCAGGAACACCTGGGGAGCAAGGAAACCAGACAGGAAGGAATACAAAAGGAAGCCCAGCAAGCACCAGCCCTCTTGAGGAGGCTTGCAGCTGCTGTGGGTGCATGCTGGAGGTGGCCCACACCTGTCCTGAGAGCTGACTGCAAGCATCTCTTCCTAGGTGCATGTTCAGTGACTTCATGTTGGTAGCTTGAAACTGGCCATAGTGGAAGTATTTACACCATGCAAATACGTGAACACTACAAACCAGGGTTCCTCTCACTTCTCTCCCAGGAGAGCTTTACATTAAACTCTTGCAAGCATCCTGCTGGTGGCAACCATAATGGATTCTCACTTTCCCTGAAAAGCAGGACTTAATCCTTAGCAGATCACTTGCTTTCTCCCGATTGTTCTCCTCCCCTGAGTCTTGAGGGGCTGGGGACTAACAGAGACCAAAGTGGCCTTGGTGATATGTATGAAGTGGCTCAGGTCATAGACGGTATACAAGTTCAAAGTTTGTATCACCACATTGTTTCTTCACATGCACTTCCTGCCTAAGTTGCTGCCGTCCGCTCTAAAAAACTAAACAAACAACGACCAGAAAACAAACTCTACTGATCTTATTTTCAGCTTGCCAATTTTTATACAGTCTCCAAACAGGATTTAATGAATGTAATAATCTTGCTGACAAATAGGTTTTACTTCTTTGGAATATTTATCACATAGTTATTTATTTAGAATTCTGTGTGTATACCTACCAGGTTCAACCTAGACCCAGCCTAACCATGTTTCTGGAGATACTGACCTCCATTATCAACCTCAGCCTTACCACAGGCTCTGCTCTAACCTTGCCCCTAGGTTTTCTGATCCTAGCTTTCCCATTACCACCCTCTGGCCTCTGGTTGTGGCACACCTGTTATTTCATGTTAGGCCCTCAATGCTGACAGCTTGCCTATCCTTCATATGCTGATCTGTCTCTGGTACACTCAAAATACCTTCACACATCAAGAGATTTCCTTGGAAACCAAAACAAAGGAGAAGAAGTGACTGTTCCGGAGTTGCTGCCTGGTGCTGGACGTTTGTTTTCATGTTTCATGTTCATCTTGCAGCAAGGCATTTCCATCTCATCCCCCAGACAAGCCTTCACTGTAGGAAAGCTGGCCCCCACCTCTTATCAGCAAGGAGCAGGGTCTGCATCACCACCCTTTGCCAGTTTTCTCTCACGAGACTCTGATCATCAGGGAGCAGGTCTTCTCTCTCAGAGGCAAGGAGCTTATTTCAGGCAATAACAGCAGTTTTCATATGGTTCTTCAGATCTCCTTTAGTACCTAGGACAGTGCTTTCCATAGGGTAGATTCATTATCAATGTTGGTTAGTGGTGTCAAAAATTATTTCTACTTGAAGTAGAATGAACAGTTGCTATATAGAATAGTTAGGAAGCCATATCCTGTCATTGGAGGGGTCCAAGTAGAGGCCAGACAACCACTTACCTGTGATGGTTTTAGGAGGGAATAATGCATTTGGATAGAAAGAAGAGGTAGAAGATGGCTAGCCTTTTCCACCCTGATTGTGATCTCATAAACTATGGGATGCCAGCACTGAGTCTAACGGTGGAAAATAGGCTGTTGGCCCAGAGACAGATGACTCTCCAGAATCCGCTTAGTTTTTCTGTTTTCTTGAGCAAGTGGTCTGCAGGTTGAGTGAGTCTTTAATTAATATGCTTCTCTAGCAGCTTACATTACTCCCCTAGTCAAATGGCAGAGTATGTAAGATCAACATTGTGTACCCCACTGAGGCTTCAACCCTTTAAAGAAGTCTTTTCCTGTAAGTGTAAGGAGAAGCAGATGGTAATGAAAAAATACGCACATTTTATTATGCGTTGCACATTTTACTTATTAGAATTTTTAGTATGACACCCTGCATTTTAAAAAGCCTAAAGATGAAAACAAAATGGAATTATTCTTTGAAATATTTAAATCAGCTTGCAGCAATTATCTCAAAATATGAAAATAAAATCTAGCAGCCTGGAAGGTAGATCTTCCTTGACCACCCACTTTGAAAATCTCGTCTTTCAAAGGGAGGCTCTTCCTCTCAAAAAGGAAGAAGAGCATGCTGTACAGAATGAGGGCAGGAAGGGACGTATCCCCGATGAGGTTGTTCAAAAAGGAAGAAGAGCATGCTGTACGGAATGAGGGCAGGAAGGGACATATCCCTGATGAGGTTGTATAGAGCTGGAGCTTATGTGTGGGAGAGCTGGTGGTGGGAATGAGGGCAAGTGACTACACTGAACCATTCTCTCGTTGAAAAGTAGAACCAGGACTGGAGAGGAGTTACCTCGGAGTTCTGGACTGGGTGTAGAGAGAGAGTGTTTCTGTCTGCTCTTTCCCTAACCACATCTCTGCCTCCCTTGGCTGAGTGAGTCATCCTCTGCCAGCCTTACCATTTGCCAGCACTCACTCCCACAGAGACCATGTGAGGATTAACAAGCCGTACTTTGGGAACGTCACTGAAACTGTGGAAAAGCAGTGCAAGGTAAAGGTGAAGTGTGAATATGATTGTGAATCTTAAGCACAGAACCCTGAGTTCTTAAAGGCAATTTTTAAGATTAGTATCCATCAACCAAAGTTCACAAGAGTTTTTCAGAAATCACCAGAGTACAAAAGCTATTTCACGAAATGTGCAGTGGCTGTGACCTTAGTGAGATTTCTTAGACTTGTAGCCATAAGGACTGGAAGAGTTCGTAAAGCTCAGCTCCCACTTTATTCTTGAATTCCTTATCCTGACGAATGGTGATTCAGCATGCAGCCAGGTATAGTGGAAAGAGAAGGGGCTCTGGAATCAGACAGACCTTGGGCCAGGTCCCAGCTCCTCCACCCATTGTCCCTTTGACCTAGAACAAATTACCTAATCTCTCTATGCTTTGATTTCCTCAGCTGTGAGTTGTGAACAATGCTTGTTGTTGAGAGTTAGAACATGGTTAAAGTGTTTAGCACAGCTCCTGGTATTTAGTAGGGCTTCAATAAATGATAGCTGCTATGCTAATTACAATAATGCTTATTAAGTGTTGCTCTTCAGGCTCTTTTTTAATATCTCTGTGATGGCAATGCTTCCATCATTAGACAGTGCTGATGGCTAGAATTTTCTGCCACATGTTGTGCCCAATCCTATTTCCTATAATTTCTATCCATCTACTCTGGTGCTGCCTTTTGTGGCCCCATAGAACAAGTCTAAACCAACTCCCACAAAGAACACTTCAGATATTTGAAGACAATTTTAATCTCTTCCCCAAGTTTTCTTCATGGTAAACCCTTTAGTTCCTGGAATCCTTCCATAGGTGACTTAGTTTTGATCTCACCCAGGACACGTCTAAGTCCCTTTTCCTCACATATGAGTATCTATGGGAAGATGCTAACCAGCCATAAAGGAAAGTTGAGATGGCAAGTTTTAGATGCCATCCATACTGAATAAGCTGGCTTTTGTCCATGGTTCTTGTGAACATTCTAATGCATACCCTACAAGTATATGTCACAGTTCCTTCTTTTCACTGTAGTTTCACCAGAGTGTTCAGGAATATGAACACTGCTACCTGTGAGGAAGGGTACACTGTAAAGACTGTATTGTCAAATGCTGCATTGAAAAGCCACCCCTTGTAATTGTGGTAGGTTTGATTGCATTATTGCCCCCTGACTTTTTACCTTCTCTATGTCAGTGCTATGTTCCATGTGACTTTGCAGTTCCTGCCCTTTGACTTTATATTCAGTAGTGTGACTTGCTTTGGCCAACAGAATGAGTCAGAAGAAACAGCACGCCAGCTCCAAACCTAGGCTTCAGAGGCCCTGGGTATTTCCAGTTACTCTTCAGTGTTCTGCCATCATCATGAGATAACCTACCCCCACTAGCCTACTGGCCCAAGGAAGCAGGGAGGCATGTAGGCTAGGGCCCCCAGCAGCACCCAGCCTGCACTAGCTGATTGTAACCAACTCACAGAAACTTGAGCAAAAGTAAGTGATTACTGTTTTAAGGCACTGAGTTTTGGGGTGGTTGGTTATGCAGAATTTTTGTGGCAAGAAATAATTATTATGGAAATTATGTGGGGCCAGAAAACATAAAGTAATACTAACCCTACCTGGACAGAGTACAAGTTTAGAAGAATTAATGAAAGATTTACAAAACTATAACCAAGCTAGATGAACACTTTTTAAAAATGATTTACCAAATTGTAACTTTGAATTTCTTTTGCAAACTGTGACCAGGAAGAAGATAAATGTGTATATTACATTTCACGAATGAAATAGGTAATGACGAAAGCAAACTCAATTTCTAAATATCTGTGAAAAGTTAACGTGTTTCCTATTCGATATAGTTCACTCATTTACTCAAGAAATGTTGAATGAATCATGTGTCAGTACCATTCTAGGCCCTGGAAATATAGTTGTGGAAAAAGTGGACAAGGCCCAGGTCTCATGAAACTTGTATTCTACTGGAGATTTAGAAAATAAAAAATTAAATAAATAAAGCAGATAACTTCAGATAATGGTAAGTACCATGAGAAAACTCAGGCAGGGTAAGGAATACCTTAGGTAGTTTAGAAAAGACTTCTCTGAGGATGTGACATTGAAACTAAGACCAAAATGACATCAGTAATTCAAGGGAAGAAAGACTACATTGAAGAAAATAGCAAATGCAAAGGCCCTGAGGTAGGAATAAGCTGGGAGTGTTTGAGGTACAATTAGAGGTGTGGAGAGGAGCAATGTGGTATGAAATGAAGTGGATGATATTTAAAGAGGCCAGGACATGTAGTGCTTTTTTGGCCACAGTAAGGAGTCCGTTTTATTCCAAGTGGAATGGAATCCACTGAAGTGTACTAAGTGCATGACTTGATTTATAGGTTTTAGGAGTTTGTCCTGACTTCTGTATAGGGAATAGATTGTAGGTGGACAAGAGTGGAAGCAAGGAGGTCGATTAAGTCATTGCATCATGGTGGCTACAACTAGGGTGAGGCCAAGGATGGAGAGAAATGAACAGGTTTGAGATATATATTGGAGGTAGAATCAAGACTTCCTGATGGATTGGATGTGAAGGAACATGAGAAATAAAGGATAATGGCTAGGTTTTTAGTTGGGGTAACTGAGAGGATGGTTGGTGGTGCCATTTCTGGAGATGAGGCAGATGCGAGGAACAATGAACTCAGGGGAGGGAGAGATCAGGAGTTTTGTTTGAATGAGTTAAGTCTGAACTTAGACGTTGAATTGGATTTGCCAGGTAGGCTGCTGGACATACTAATTGGGTAGCGAAGGCTGAAGATACCAGTTGGGCAGTCATCAGCATATAGATGGTATTTTAGCCAAGAGACTAAATGAGTTCATCTAGAAAATAGTAGTGAAAGTGTTTTATTTTTAATTTAAAATTTAAGAAGTTTTAAATTTTAAAAACTGTCAAAAAATAAATAAAAGAAAAAGCGGGAGGACTCAACCACAGAGCATGCTGACATTTAAAAGCTTAGCAGAAAAAGAGGAGACAGAAGAAGAGCCTGAGAGAGAGGCTGAGAGAGTGTGATGCTATGGAAGCCAAGAGAAGAAAGTGTTCCAGGAAAGAGAGTCATCAACTTGGGTTGTGTTGGGTTGAATGCTACTGAGTCATAAAGTAAGATAAGGATCAAGGAGTAACTGCTGGATTTGGCAGTGTGGAGCTGATTGGTAACTTTGAAAAATAAAAGATTTAGTGGAATAATGGACACAGAAGTCAAATGGAATGATTGAAAAGTAAATGGGAGAAAAGAAACTGATAACAGTGAGGTTTTGCTAAAAATGGGAATAGAGAAATAAGTAGCTAGAGAGGATGAGAGTTTAAGGTTTTGTTTTATTTGGTTTTGAATTGGAGATGCAGAGGCATATTTCAATGACAATGGAAATAAACCCACAGAGAGAAAAGTTGATATTGTGGGAGAGAAAATGGACAAATGCAGGATCAACGTCCTTGAGAAAGGGGGAGACCCAGAGCACAGTGAAGTGTTGGCCTTCCATGCTAACAGGAGAGGGCAGGGGATAAGGGCAACAGAGTACCAGTGAAATGGTGGATTTGGGGATGGGAAGATGAAAGACACTGTCAGTTTACATATACATATATATATACATTTTAATATATACACTTTAATTATTGAGATGGGCTCATGCTCTGTCACCCAGACAGAGTGCAGTGATGTTATCATAGCTCACTGCAGCCTCAAACTCCTGACCTCAAGCGATCCTCCCACCTTGACCTCCCAAAGCACTGGGATTACAAGCATGAGCCACTGTGCCCAGCCACTTATATTTTCTCAATGAGATATGACTTTAGATCGTCGTTTGAGGAGCCAAGACTTCTGAATCCTGAGCCCAAAAGCACTGTGTCCTTCATTTACCATTTGGTACATTTGAAGCAGAGTGAACATGATAACCCCTTTAATATAAAGAGCAATACAGATGACAAAACAATTCATGTATATTCTTTCATTTGATACTCTTGCCTTGAATAATTGAAGTTCCCAGTCTGGAACAGAATTCAGTTCGTATAAATGAAGACATTGTAATGAAGGGACTATTTACAGAGATGAGAGTGGAATTAAGAGATGTATCCAGAAACTATCAACACTCAGGAGTCATTACCACCCTTGGGGCCAGGGGGCCAAAGGAGATTAATAGTATTAGATCCAACGAGAGCTGGTGCCATGAAGGGAGGACCAACCAGCATGATCATTCATTGAAAAGATATGTAGTCACTGTCAGGGGAGTGGTGTCAATGCAGAGAGGGAATGAAAAACAAATATCCTGACTTCCCTCCACTCCCAGTCTCTTGCTGGTGCTTCCCAATGGCTAAACCCAACTGGAAGCCAGCTGGCAAGTGAGTGGGCTGATATTTTTCATGGTGAAAGAATAGATCTGGCAGAGAATAACCAGCAGAGCTCCTAACACTTCATGCCATAAATGTTGAAAAGATTTTGAAAACCACTCCAAGGGGAATCTTTTTACCCAATGCCAGTGTATAAATGCATCTTATTATTTTGTGCCAGCTGGGATTTAGAAAACCTAGCTAACCATGTTCTTTAATACAAATCATCATGAGTACTTGTAATCCACTTGCAATCTTAAAATGTAATGTTTGCCCATAGTCTTCTTTTATTTCCATCCAGAGGCATATTAACCATAAAACTGGAGAAGCATATATTTCAGGGCTCCTCACTTGCATGAGCCCCTTCCAAGGCCATGGGACGGCCCTAGAAATGTATTCATATGGTCATTTGTTTTTGTAAAATTTGTAAAGGTAAGATATTTTAACTGCAATCTATTAAAAACCAACTTTTCTCACTCTGACCCCAGAGAATTCTCTCCCTGCCCACCCCCCAACCAGTTATATGAACTTTAGGCCCCACAAAACCTGGATCTGCTTCTGCTTTCAGTGAGACTCAAGTGTGCTGATGCAGATTTTATCCCTTTCCCGATTTTACCACTGTGGAGAGGAAAAGGGGTAGTTAATGAGCATCAAAATGGACATTCTGCAAGGGAAGAATGTAGCAGGAGGATGAGAAAAACAGAGGGGGGCTGTGCTAGGGGCAGTGGAAGAAAATCACTGTGCCTGAAGGATTGCACCTGAGTCACAGAGGGTTTGCAGGTGTCTACCAGGTGACTAGTTTCCCTCCAGGGCCTAACTCAGGTGCTGCTCTTTATATTTTCAGATGCAGATGGAAACCTGTGTCGAAGTAACCAACTGTTGCAAGTCATGCTGACCATGCACCGAATTGTCATCTCCTCTGCAGAACTGCTCCAAAAAGTTATCACCCTATATCCTTTAACATAGTGACTGGCAATCCCAAAATGGGATCCACCCAAAAAGTAGCTTGAAATTTGAAGTATGCTTTTATTTTTATTGGTTTGGAATAACCCTGAGTGGCAAATAGGTTCATATGTCCTTTCAGGGGTATGGGTGCATGTGTTGGGGGTGTGTTCATGTATCCTCTGTTGGGTGGGGCAATGTTATTGATGCTGATTGCTCTGGGGGGTGGTCAAAGAAATCAATATGCAAGCACAATCTTCAGGCTCTTAATAGTAAAAAATATTTTTTCTGTAGAGTGTGCAAAATAGATATTCATCCTGTGCAAATTGACAAAGGTGCAAGCATGACTCAAGGATAAATTTCTTTCTGGCCTTCCTGTCCAATTCTTCAACTTTCTCCAGGTTCTGAAGAAAGATTCCCAGTGCCACAGCATCTGGAGAATCTGCTGGTGCCTTATTGCTTCAGGCAGGAGGACTGACTATGTGCCAAGCAAAACCTGCTGGACTTTAACCTTATTACGGGATATGAATCAAGTAGGGAGGAGAAAGCTCCTGCTTGCTTTTTCTCACTGATGACACTGTAAGCAGCAGCCCCCACAAAAGAAGAGTTGTAGGCGGAGTGAGACCGTTTAGCACCCAAGGCGCAGGTCCCTGGTACTGTGTCATGACTTGTAGCTGCTCTAACACTTTTCCACTCTCCTAATTCCCCGCGTTTCATCTTACAGCACACAGAAAAAATAAAAACCATCAGGACTGAATCCCTTCTCTATACCTACTCATGAGTCTTTACCTCTCATCTCAAAGGAGGTGTTTTCCAGTAGCACACAAAGTGGGGGAGCATTGCGAGAAGTGCACATAAATAAGAGGTGCAGGTAATAAGTGGGTGCCTCTTCTGCAGAGAATTTTAAACCATCATGAAACCAACTCAGTGTCTACTTTTTATTAATTTCATGTACCAGTGATTATAAACAATGTCAGTGATTAAATATTCCTCCCTAAAAACTTATTTGTTGGCCTAGGGACTAAATTGTTCCTGGGGTGTCTGGGCACAGTAGCTCACATCTGTAATCCCAGCACTTTGGAAGGCCAAAGTGGGCAGATCACTTAAGGTCAGGAGTTTGAGACCAGCCTGGCCAACATGGTGAAACCCCATCTCTACTAAAAATATGAAAATTAGCCGGGCATGGTGACATATGCCTGTAATTCCAGCTACTCATGAGGCTGAGGCAGGAGAATCACTTGAACCTGGGAAGTGGAGGTTGCAGTGAGCTGAGATCACACCACTGCACTCCAGCCTGGGCAATGAAGTGAGACTCTGTCTCAAAAAAAAAAAAAAAGAAAGAAAATTGTACCTCGGGGTTCCTGCCCTTAGTGCACTACTGGCTGCCTACATATTGGGGCAGACCCCCCCTCCCTTTCCCATGGTCCCTCGTACTTCTCACAGAATCTTACTCCACCAGCTATCACCCCTCCTATACTTTTAAACTCTACCTCTTCAATGGCACCTGCCCCTCAGCCTAAAACACATTCAAGTCTCCTCATCTAAAAATCAACTCTTAACCCTACCTCCCCTTCATTCCATTGTTAGGGTTAAAAATTTGATGTGAAAGCGTCTTAAAATAGTCTACACTCACTATCTCCAATCTCTTTACTACTCCTCACTTCGTAACTGTGTGAAGTTGGCCCCCAGTATTCGAACTTTCCTCTGATGTCACCAGTAACCTCCTGATTGCAAAGCCCAATGGCTTTTTCTCATCCTTGTTTCCATTGACCCCCAGAAGCATTAGGCATGACTGACAACCCCGTTCTCCTCCCAGCTCTCCCTCCAAGGCTCCCGGAACGACACCCTCCTGGCTTTCCTACCTCTTGGGTTGGGCCTTCTCCAGCTTTTCATCTAGAGGCTTCTTCGAGCTCTGCTTACATATGGTGTAATGTCCTGGTTTTCCTCTTACTCAGCTTCCTTTCTGTGGGTGATTTCTCACCAGAATTCCTACCACTGTTTCCACCATTCTTCTGTGCTGATGGTGACTTTCAAGTCTGGATTTCTCTAACTTAAACCTTTCCTTTTTTTTTTGGAAATTGGTGCGGGGAGAGGGGTCTCACTATATTGCCTAGTCTGGTCTCAAACTCCTGGCATCAAGTCATCCTCCCACCTCAGCCTCCCAAAGTACTGGGATTCCAGGCATGAGCCACGGCACCCAGCCATCTAACCTAAACCATTTTTCTTAGGTTTATACCAGTTTGTCCTGCTAACACTTAAGACTTTAATATATGCATTAGCCCACTGTCCCCACCCACAGCCACTACCTCATTAATTCTGCTTCGACACCAGTACAGCCTTGTTTTGCCTAAGACACATTCTGAGAAATACATCATTGGGCGACTCTGTCATTGTGTGAACACCATAGAGTGTACTTACACAAACCTAGATGGCATAGCCTGCTACACTTCTAGGCTAGACGGTACAGCCTGTTGCTCCTAGGCTACAAACCTGTACAGCAGGTTACTGTACTGAATACTGTAGGTGGTTGTAGCACATGGTAAGTATTTATATATCTAAACATAGAAAAAGTACAGTAAAAATATGGTATAAAAGATTAAAAAATGATATGTATAGGGGGGCACTTACCATGAATGGAGCTTGCAGGACTGGAAGTTGCTCTGGGTAGTCAGGGGTGAGTGGTGAGTGAATGTGAAGGCCTAGGACATTACTGTACATAACTGTAGGTTTTATAAACACTATATACTTAGGCTATACTAAATTGATAAAAAATATTTTTCTTTCTTCAATAATAATTTAGCTTACTGTGACTTTATGTTATAAACTTAATTTTTAAAACTTTGACTCTACACAGTGTACAGCTGTGTAAAAATATTTTCTTTATATTCTTCTGTAAGCTTCTTTCTGTTTTAAAAATGTTTAATGTTTATTAACTTTTTAAACTTTGTTGTCAAAATCTAAGACACAAGTATACACAGTAGCCTAGGCCTATATTGGGTCAGGATTATGAAGACAGGATGAGGCAATAGGAATTTTTCAACTTCATTGTAATCTCATGGGACCACTGTCATATATGTGGTCCGTCATGGACCAAAATGTTATGCAGCACATGACTGTATTTTCATGGTCAATTTCAGTTAATAGTGTTAGTATCTATTCTTGCCTAAACCAGTAACATCAGAAGCACTCTTGACTTCTCCCCTGCTTTCACCTCCTACAGTCTGTCACCTGATCCTAGGGTTTCTACTTCAGAAATGACTCTTATCTGGTCTCTGCTCTCCATTCCCATACCATGCCTTAGTTCATGTCTCCGTGGTCTCTCTCCTGAACCACTGTCCCACTCCAGTCTTTGTATCTACATGGTCCGCCTACCCCGTCTCATGGTAGCTACCCTTGAAATTCTTTCCTACAAAGCAAATTGGGCAGGCCATTGTTTCTGAGCCTCTGCAGACTACGGAGTTAATGTCAACTCCTTAGCTTGCCAGCAAAAGGGCCTCCTCAGTCTGTTCCCAGCGAGTTTTTCCTGCTTCATTCCGTAGCTCTCTGAGAAACCCTTTCCCTTCCTCACTGAACTTCTCAATATACTGGATGTAATGGGGCCTTTTATCATTCCTGTGCCTTGAAAGCCTTTCTACCCTCTTTGTTTAGAAGCTCTTTCAAGACCCTTCTGGGAAGCTTTTCTAGACTTTTCCAGCCCTTCTCCCCTTTTAAAAATACTTCTAATGTTTTAAAATAGTATTATTGATTGACAATCTATTTAATTCCTTTGATTTTAGTTTTGTACTGCTTAAGTCAAAGTGCGTTTCTCATATCTCTGGCCTGGATGTAATCTGCATTGAAAAACTCACAGAAAGTGTGAAGTGTTTTTATTCTGTTAGCTAAATAAATGTATCTACCTAAACTTCAGTCCGTTTTGCAATGTAGTGCCTATGTACTCTGGTCTTTATAGATGACCGTTTCAAGTAAAGTACAGAACGTTTGTGTCTAGCTGCTGTGATTTCAATTTGGTTAATAATATAAAAGATTGCAAGGGTACTGAAAAATTGATTGAATTACAAATTAAGAAAGATATATTTTTGTATTTTAAAAGTATGTACACTGTAACTTACCTATTTGTGTGTCGTCTCCCCCGCTAGACTCTGTCTTTCAAGGGCAGGGAGCAAGGCTTATTTATCTTTGTATCTAGAACTTAGTTTAGTGGCTGTTTCATGGTAGGACACAATAAATGTTGCATTACTATGGGTGCAAACATTGGGATACTTTTTATATTTACAAGAACTTTTACCTGTGATATCTGGGCTTTGCTCAGGTGAAGATGTAACCTGGGGTAGGGAAAGGGATTCTGAGAGTATGAAATAATACTCCTGTAATGAAAGCCAGGTTAAACATTGAAGGCAAAATTATTTTCTTTCTTTACGCTTAGTTTCCCTGTTCTCTGACCTGGAAGTAATAGAATTTTTAGTTAAATAAGCTCAGATGGTCTCCTGATTACCATTGTGAAAAGAAGAGAGGGATAAATTTGAAAATGTGCTTTGAATAGTTTAGGTGCCTGAAAAGTACAGTCAGAACTGTACTGGTACTTTATAGCCACAGTACTAGCTATGAAGAAAAGAAAAAGGTATGGGGTCTGAGGGTTCCAGCAAACACTGAAGTTTACCAAGATCAGCAGATGCCTGAGCCTCTTACTATTTAGCCTGCATGTGCTGGTGTTTGCTTCAGCTCCTGAATGAAGTGAGAAAGAGGGTGCCCTGCTCCCTGTGGGGGGCAGCCTTTGCCATGGCATAGGGGCTCTAAGGACCTCTGAATGATGCCCAGGCTCAGCACTCACGTGTAGACTGACTGGATTTACAACACTGACGCTGCACCACATGCAGCCAACGTGCACTGTCAGAATATACTTTTGAAGGGAAGGATAAGGAGCCACTGGGAGAAGGTGAATGACACGGTAAAAGTCACCATGTCGATTTAATGTATCTACTTAGCTTTAAAACAGAAGTGTGGTTTTTGTGCCTTCCCCTTTAAAATGGAAGAATAAAAATTTCAACAAGTAGAACAAATGATAAAAATATAGAATCTGAGAGGTATTTATCTATGTGCCTTTTGCCTGAATCTCTTTGCATTGAAGTGATGCATTTTCTTAGTGATGTGGCATAAAGAAACATAAAGCCATCTCATTCTCACTTCTACTTTTCCACCCAAAGAAAGGCAGGCATAAAAACTTTCTACTTCATGAAGTTTGCCAGTTCCCTGCACTTATTTTTATGTCAATTACCTTTGTTGATGTGTAGGGTTTTTTGGGTTTTTGTTTTGTTTTGGTGCTCTGATCTAAAGGGCAGATTTTATAGGCAGTATATGTATTAAAATTTAATTTTTAAAACTAGAAGTCATTTTATTAAAATTACAAATTTTATAACCATAGTTCTTGTTTAGGGTTTCAAGTTTAGCTTGCAAATCTTACTGTTTCCATAAGTCTAGCATGTTTCAGCAAGCATTTTTAAGGGACTTTGAAAAATGTTTCGTTAATTTGAATAATGTTAATTAAATATTCCCAATGATTTTAAACTACAGTTCTGCATTTTATATCTTAGATAATTTTTAAGTGCTTCAGATACCTCCCTGAATTCTAAATAGTTTTTTATAACTCTAATAGATTAAATTTATAAACAGTAAAGCTATCATTATCTTAGATGTTCCAAAGCTATGCATAAACTTAATAAGGTTTCAATTTAAAACCACAAGTGTAAAGCACTTAATTATATATTGCAAATTGAAGTTTCAAGGCTATCATTCTAATATGCTTTTAAACATTACAAGCATATACAATTTCAAAATGCACAGATCTCCTTCCTGACAAAAAAGATCAGTACTATGACTTTGACTCTCTTTTGCTTTTCTTTATTTAACTCTAAATTTTCCAAAGGTTAAAATATATACACCCACAGAAGGAAGACCAGTCCTGTCCCAGTTAATTAAAATGTTTGCTGGGTTGTTCACTGGATTCCTCTCATGGGCCCAGCTGGAATTCACTGAACCCTATATTGTAGTCATTATGCACAGCTTTTAGAAGGAAAACAAGGCATGGCCTTTACGGGCGGGCACAGAGCCCACATAGCCTGATGCCTCAGTCTGTTGATGGGAAATGGCAGGACCTATTCGGGCTCATCACTGCATTGGAGTTCTCATCTCTTTGACTCTTAAAATAGATGAATATTTTTTTCCATTTATCTTTAAAGACATGTGAACTTGATGAGATCTTGCTATTCTTTCATATTCTTGGAATGCTCAGAATGAAAAGGATCCTTAAGGTGACCTCCAGTTTTGTTTTCGATTATTCACACGGTTTATCTGACTTGCCGTTACAATCTATGAGGTCAGTCTACTGACATCCTCTAGGTGTATATATTGTAACTTTCATATTATTGTTCTTCATTATCATGACATATCTGAATATTGAATATGTATTTTTTCCTCTTCGAATTCACTGCATACATGTGTATCAGTTAAAAGAAACATTGTAAAAGATAAATGGGGCTGCTGTTTTTTCTTTTTTTTCTGCTTCATTTTTCCTTCATAGGGGCTGCTTTTTGAGCACAGGCAAGGAGTCATTTGCCCCTTCTTCACTTTTTATAAGTTACCTGTCTCAGGACCTCTTTACATGATTCATTTCTTAGTTCTGCAGTGCTGCTGCTTCCTTCCGTAAGCCAGGTCGACGTGGGCTGGAGAGAAAATTACCATCATCGCCTTTCTAGGCAATAATATGCATACAGCTGTACACATCAAGTTGGTTTTTATCCTTTGGCCAGAAAGATAAAGCATCACATTTTCATTTTTTAGAAAAAATATTTTGGGAGGTAGTTTCAGCAAATACTTCCAAAGATGAAAAGTCGTTTGGTTTCTGTAACAGAGGTCTCCATTTCCCTTAACCACAGCCCTACCTATAAGGATGCTTTGGCAAAGAATTCACCAGGACTTTGCCTGAAGATCTGTTATTTTGTAAGGTAATGTTTCTTTATGTATTTCAAGACTTTGTGGAGCAAGGTGAAATGAAAGGTGAAGCAAGGGACTTTCCCTGCCTTTCCTGACCTCTATAGAACACCTTTGGACAGATGGAAAAGGGTAGTCCTTCATAACAGTGAATTTTCTCTGGTGTACTTGAGCTTAATTATTTTATACCAACCTTTTTTCAGTCTTTGGTATCAAATGACATGAAGGAGGGAATACAGAAATAATTAAAGGTCTGTTATTTTCTTTATTTTTGTTCTTAATTATACAAGTAATATAGCTCATTATAGAACATTTTTAAAAATGTAGAAAAGAATATAACTATAATAATGATCACTCATATCCAGTTACCTATTTTGGTGTATTTCCTTTGTCTTGTTTTCATGTCAATTTTTTTGAGATGAAAATATATATACGGTTTTATATCTTATAGTTTTCACTTAGCTTTATAGCATGAGAATCTTCTCTAGTCATTAAAGACTTTTTGTAAACATTCTTTTTAATAGCCATGTAATATTCGAATATGATAAAGCATAATCTATGAATAGATTGTCTCATTTTGGACATTTGGTTTATCTATAGTTCTCTCCCTTATAATTATCTCCAACCCACATGATTGTGCCTGAATCTTTGTCATGGCTCCTTTGATTATGCTATGCCTTATCCTACCACAGCATTTGTGTGGAGGGACAGAAGATTTTCAGTGGATGGGTTTTCTTCCTTCCCTGCTCCCACCCCAGCTCCTTCAATATACTAATAGACGAATCAGACTTTGTCTTTTTCTGAGTTCTCTTTGTGGCAGTAAATTCCTTTTGGAACCCAACAAATTGTGAGTCCTTGGTATCAGTTTTGGATTGTGTTTTTTAACCCCCTCCTTGTAGGTATTGGATAACAGAATTCTGGGTCATGTTTAAAATGGACGCCAGCTTGACAGACACTATGGAGGAGTTTCAGGAACTGGTGAAAGCTAAGGGTGAGGAGTTACATTGCCGCCTGATTGACACAACTCAAATGTGAGTGTCAAGGTCTTGACTCATCTTTCGAAACCACCTCCCTCCTGTAATATAATCCCAGTTGCTTGTTGGGCTTCTGACCCCCAGCGGTGACTGCTGCTCTCTTTCTCCACTCTGAGAAGCCCCTCAAATACACAGGTTCAAACTGCCTCACCAAAGTGAAGGCTTGGCATTTAACAGAAAAGCAGAGAGGCCTCATGGTGATAAAGCAGTAGGTGACATATCCAGGAGCAGAAAAAGTAAGTCCCAGTCAAAAAGAAATCAGGTAGCAAGATATTGACTAAAATTAATCCAGATAATGAAAAACTGAAAGTGCAAATGACTGAACCCACGCTTAATGCCAGGAGGCACACCTGAACTTGTAAATGGGACAGGACTAAAAAATGTATTCAGGAGAAGGCTTATAACATATATGGATGTCTATGAAAGACACTTAGACTTCCAGAGCTGGATGGGATTCCAGGAATGTTTTAAATTATTCCTTGGAATTCTTATTTATAAGACTGACCCATTCTGGGAAAATGAGTGCCTTTCCTAATTAGGGGGAGGGGAATGTATGCTTTGTATGCCAGGGTTTTCACAGTGTGGCTGCTTTATTTTGAAATAGTACAAATCCCTAAGAAATAGAATTCTAGAACTGATATATATTCTAGAGATCATTTCATCCAACATCCTGATTTTTCTGACTGGGAAATTGAGGCTCAGCAAGAATGTGACTCATCTAGGGTCCAGCTAGTTAAGCTAGTGACAGAGCAGCAGCTAGCCTCTGAGGTCCTGTCCATGATGCACTGTAGCCACGTAGAAATGATTTCAAGATTACATTCCAGAGCCCCAAATAAGTCTGTTTATCAGTTTGGATTCTCTGTACTTCTCTGCTTAAAATTACACAACTTGAAAGATAAGAGATTATTCAAAGTAATAGTTTCTTCATTTTAAAGATGAAATTAGAGCCCAGGGCAATTCTCAACCCCAGCTCTCCTTGTCCCAGTATTTCCTAGCTGACTTTTCTTGACCAAAATTTTCCACATTATATTCTGTAGGAATTATTAGTCTGTGGGATATTACTTGGCCAGATATAACTGAGGAATAATGAGTTAAACTTTCCTTTTGCAGTGCTTTTCAGAGTGTGTAATATGCTCACTGGCCAAAGAGGCTACAGAATTTATAGCACTTCCCAAGCTCATTGACCACAGAACCCTTTTATCAAGAGACAAGGTTCCCAGGAATACCAGTTTGGAAGACAGGCAACCTGCTGTCTTTCAAAATGGGGCCGCTTCCCTTTGCTTGTTTAGTGAAGGAAACTGAATAAGAAATGCATGGGTTGATTACAAGAAAATAATGGGGGCAGGGCGCACTCTAGGGTCAGCTAGGCTTCCTTGGTCATTTCAGTAGCTGAGGACATTTGAGGAAAATGACACAACTCTGCCAAGAGTGACCATATGTTTCTACGCGTGATTCCCTCCCTTTATGACATCTTGCTGTGGTTCTTTGAGCTCTCTTTCTGGCATGAAAACTGTTTCACTGCCTTGGGATTTCCAACCAGATAGAGAGTCCCTATCATTCACACAAGAATGAAGGAACACACAAGCAGAATGGAGGGAGCAGACATACCAGATGATACACAAAGGAGCCAGGACCAAAGGCAAGGAAACTGACCGATACCTGAGACTCCTTCCTTCCCACTGCCTTAAAGTAAACTCATTTATCCTGTACCCAACTGCACACTTAAAAGGCTCACTGAAAACCAGCAAGACCTCCTGGAGGCTGCCATGGAAAAAAACTGATTTGGAGAAACTCTGTGAATGCACTGTTTTGGCATTCACAAGGAAAGTTAGCTAATGGTGTTTTGTATATTCTTGTGAGAAATGTTAATGGATTTACTTGCAAAAAGCGATTTATTCCTTTTCCCTGTCTTCTCCCTTTCACATTTACCCACAAAAGCAATGCCCGTGACTGGTCCAGGAAACTTACTCAAAGGATAAAATCAAATACCAGCAAGAAACGGAAAGTCTCCCTGCTCTTTGACCATCTGGAACCAGAAGAGCTATCCGAGCACCTCACCTACCTTGAGTTCAAGTCTTTCCGGAGGATATCGGTATGTATGCAAGGGGCAGGAGAAAAATCTTCCCTGGGATATTTCTGAAAATAAGATGATAATTCAACAGCCCATCCGCTTCATAACCTTAGAGGCCCCCTCAAGTCGTGGCAGGCTTTCCTGCCAGACATCATAGAGTCTGAAAAAATCAGTACCATCTGAATTCCTTTGATTGTGACTCCTGTGCTTCTCCCATCTCTCTTCTTCCATGCCCCCGCCCCATACCATCCCACCACTCACTCAAGTTACCATACTGTGGGCACACATCACACACACACACACACACTCTCTCTCTCTCTCTCTCTCTCTGTCTCTCTCATTCTACCCTCATACCCCTGATAATCCTCATACCCCTGATAATCATTAGGCTTCAACAACTCTTTTTAAAATCTTCCTCAAAAAAAAAAAGGGGGGGGGGTGCGGGGGCGGGGAGAGGATATGTCCTCTCAGAGTTTGAATTCATTCTGGGGTAAGCTTTGAATGGCTCTGGGAAATCCCAAAATAGATTCTACTGCCCTAGCCCAGAACATACCTAAATCCTTGAAGTGGTCCTGGCCCAGAAGTCACTGTGATTCTAGAGATAAGCTGTGCTGACCCAAAACCTTTCAACTGGGGCAACTAAGCAGAGTCAAAGGGAGAGAGATTTCAGTTGATCATCAGGTACAGAAAGAGTACAGGTTCATCCTTTCCTCACTGCAATCCATATGTGATCCCAAAGAATATTAGTTCTATGCAAGAGAACTTGTCAACATGTCAGATGCCAACAGACCCTCACTGGCTAATGTGCTTTCCTGAGAAATGAAACCCTTATTCCACTTAGCCCCTACCCCTACCAACAGATACAGTCTTCACCTCCGTGCTAAAAATAGTGACCACCTAGTTGCTGGGTCCATTTATTAAAATGACCAGTATTCTCCTGGTGAGGGGATGGAGGCCCAGAGGGCTGACTTGAACAAGGTCGACACAGCTGATTACAGTCAAAGCTGGGGCTAGGACTACATGCCTCTCTCAGTCACTCAGCACCAATTTGTTGAGCTCAGTTGTGTCTGGAAGGAGACCTGCAAATCAGGTTACAAAGGTTATTTTACATTTTCATTCATAATATTGACAGCCCTTCTGTTTTCACGCAGCTGTTTGGTCACTCAGCCAGGAAGCTCCCAGCTTCCATTTGGAAATAACTTCTCCAAGCATTAACTCTCCATTCTCTGCACCCCTCAGTACCCCAGACCCAAATTGAAAAGCTCTGCCTCAGGAGTTCCCATTTGGCAGTGCCTCCCCGTCACAGGGAAGGACAGCAGTCAGAGCTGAGCCACTGAAAAAAGCCATTTATCACACAGGAAATCTGAGCTCTGCAGGGGTCAAACTGGCAGGCTGCTTGGTCAGGCCTGCAGGATGTCTGCTTGATGCCAATGCTCACATCAGTGGAGGCAGAAGTGAAAAATCAGTGCAGAACGAGGAATCCCAGCCAGTGTCCCCAGGGGTTGAACAGTGTTCTATTTGCAAGTGAAAACATCAGTTTCAACCTTCATTTCTTTTGAGTGGCTTGGTCCCTTCATAGAAGACTATCTCAGGGTTTTTTTGTTTTTCCTGTACAGTGCTAAACAGTTTTACCAAACACAAGTTTTCTCTCCAACATGAGGTTGGAGGGAAATTTATCTGTGCTGTGAATTGAAAGGCATTTGATATCTTCTGTTTATTACAAAACTTTAGGGGTAGTGAGGATGTTACTGGGATAATTGTTTTAAAAAAACAAGTGGATTTAAAGTTATATTTATAGTGGGAGGGGGGTATTAAATGTATTCACTGGAATATATTAATTGAATGAATATATTCAAAATATATGCAATGAGTTGTGGCTACTTTCTTTTAGAACCAGTAAGATGTTTGCTTTATATATCTCTCTTAAGGAGCGATTTTGGTCCTACTCATAGGTTTTCCACCCATCAGCAGCCATATAGCACAGTAAAATGGGGCTCAGTTAATTTGCAGCTATTTTATTTGGGTTGTGACTTCTCATCTATATATTTACTACTTAGGCAGAACTAAGGTGTACTGTAGTAATAACCCCCCACCCACCCACCTCCTGTACAATCTCAGTGGCTTAATTAAGCAAAAGTTTATTTTTCACTCACACTGCATGTCTAACATGGGTCAGCAGAGGCTGATCAGAGTTCCCCAGGAACCCAGATGATGGAGGCTTCATCTTGCCAGGAATTTCCAAGATCTCTGCAGCAGTAGGAAGGCAACATGGCAGACCACTCACTGGCTCTTACATCTTTGCCTCCAAAGTTACATCGCTTCCACTCAACATTCTGCTGGCTGAACCATGTCATATGGTCACACCTTCTTTCAAAGGGAAGAGTTGAGAAGGGAAGAGTTGGAAATAATTGGGGAAAAGCACCAAAGACTTCCATAGGAAAGTTGAAGAGAAACAGACTGTGATTTGAGCAGAGGGATTCTTTGTGACAGGGACACAATAGCTACAAACATCACTTAGACTAGATCTTCAGGGACATTTCCAGTTTTACACATGTTGTTTCATTGCCAACTGTAGTCAATGCTATTGTCAACTTGGGAAACCATGATCAGCAAACATATAGCTAACCAAATTTTAAGTACTCCATTTGCCTCTGCTCCAGTTGGTGAGTAGAAGGAAATACAAACAGGCTTGTATTAGCATAAGGTTCATAACTACTCCATTAGCGCAACCTTACATATATGTAACACTTTAAAAAGTTAAAGCTTTCACACATTATCTTCTTTGATCTTCATAACAATTCTATGTCCTAGATAGGGCAGATTTTATGATCACATTTTTAAGGTAAGAAAACAGCTGGGGAGAGAGAGATTTGTTTTTGTCAGGGGAATTACCTTTTATTCCCTTAACCTTAGCAGCAATACTGATCTTTATTCTGTACTGTATTCTTTAGAATTTAGAATAGTCAGTAACAATATCTACTGAAATACAGCATTTGGATTAACTAATGTGTCTACACATCCACTTATTCCTAATAACTTTCGATGTAGAGAAATCATGCTGTGGGTAGAATAAGGAAGATTTCCCTCCCATCATGCTTGTTGGCAAGTGGCCAAGATGCAGAAGAGCACCAGGAGCTCCTCTGTTCCATGGCAGTTCCCAGCCATCAACTGAGCAGACTGGACTTGTCCCTTAAATCTTCTGGAATACCAGAGTACAGTACTGATAGGTTTTTTTTGTTGTTGTTGTTTCTTTTCCTGCAGTTCTCTGATTATCAGAATTACCTTGTAAATAGCTGTGTGAAGGAAAACCCCACCATGGAGCGATCTATTGCTCTGTGCAACGGCATCTCCCAGTGGGTACAACTGATGGTTCTCAGCCGCCCCACGCCGCAGCTCCGAGCAGAAGTCTTCATCAAGTTCATCCAGGTGGCTCAGGTGAATAACTGGTTTAAGACATTTGGCTTGGGCTATAAGGTAAACTTTCTATCCCCTTTTCCTCCAGCTTAGTCTATTAATTAGAGCTGTTTTTTCCCTCCTGAACCATGGCGAGGGGGTGGAGAGGTTTGTGTGCCTTCAACCAGATCTAGATATGGTGACTTGTCTCTTCTTCCATACAAGGACAGTGTGGAGGGGAGGGGGCCATACAGGCCATATCAGGGGTCAGGATCCAGTTTTAGATCTGTTTAGACCTTTAACATTTTTCAAAAGATGCTTACCAGCCTACATTATTTTCCCGAGTCTGGCCCACATGGCAAAGGAAAGGGCAATTCTAAGATTTACTGGAGCTGGACCATCCTGGATTGTCTTAGGTCTTTAAGCCCATGCAGTGCTGAATGGCTGCATTTAATGTTTGAGGGGCATTTTATAAGAGGAAAACAAGTACTATGAACCCATATTTGAAGTTCCCCAGAGATTCTAGCTTCTCTGTCCCAGTTACTGTCCTATATAGGCACTGGCATTGCATGGGAAAATAAGACAAAGTCCTTACCCTCAAAAATAAAAGTCTGGTAAATTTGGAATAAATAAAAGATTACACTTAATAATATCTTTCTCCAACTCTGGATGGTCTAGACCAGTGTTTCTCAAAGTCAACAGCTCTGACTTTGGATCACCTGCTCTGATATTAACTAAAGGTATATTAAAAGTACAGATCTCCAAGCCTAACCCCAGATCCAGGCAATCAGAATGTCTGGGTTAGGTCCAGAAACCATTGTGTTAAACAAATACTTGAGGTGATTCTAAGAAAGCACTGATCTAGAAGGTGGTCCACAGATCAGCAACAACAAAAGGAGAGAGATGTAATGCCTCCCAGATGTGGAATCCACCAGTCTGAATAAAGCAGAAGGGGAGACATGGACAGGAAATTGCAATGCCTCGTAACTAGTCTTTAACCAGCGTAAGGGAGACTCACGGCACAGAGACAAGAGGCAGCCTCTAAGCTCCCCATATAACTGACATGTACAGTGACTCTGCTGTCATCTGTCTTCTGTGTCACAGAAGCTCCACCAACTACAGAACTTCAATACACTGATGGCTGTGATAGGTGGGCTGTGTCACAGCTCAATCTCGAGGCTCAAGGAGACAAGTTCGCATGTCCCACATGAAATCAATAAGGTCAGTGCTACTGTCTTCTCTGGGGCCCTTAGCAGCATTCTCAAGATGTGTGCCAACATTTTCTCCTTGGTGGGCAGCCCAGAGAGCATTTCCAACCACACCATCCCTTGTCAACCAGGCTAAGTGGCAGGGAGGCAAACCTTAAGGAAATCCATAGGATGGAGAAGTCACATTTTTTAGAGTAACTGTGATTTTGTCTGGCCTCAGACAGTGTCACTGCAAACATTCCTGCTGGACCAGTTGAAACAATGTGTGCCTCTTCCCATGTTCATAGGCCATGGAATATTCAGTTACCATCTTTGACACTGATTCCCTCGCTCCAGCTCCTTGCTCTAAAATGTGTTCTCAAAAGGAATTGTGGTTCGGTTGACCATAGGTCAGTTTGCACATTGAGTGTAGTTATATAGTGATATATTAAAAACTTAGCTATCCAGAACCCTTGAAGAATGACATTCCGGATAGTTGAATTTTACCAGATAATTGGATATGAGTTCTTCAGATACCATTTTGTAATACATAATGTTTTATTAATGAATATTTTTCTTAAATGTCCTGTACATTTTCCTACATTATTAGATTTTACAGAATATACTTTTATCTTTTATGACATAGGGCTGTTTTGCTTGTTTCTCTTTTTTATAGAAACAGGGTCTTCCTCTGTCATCAAGGCTGGAGCACAGGCTGGCACGATCATAGCTCACTGCAGTCTCAAACTCCTGGGCTCAAGCAATCCTCCCACCTCAGCCTACCAAGTAGCTAGGACCATGGGTGCACACCATTATGCCCAGCTATTTTTTAAAATTTTTGTAGAGATAAGGGTCTCCCTATGTTGTCCAGACTGGTCTCCAACTCTTGGCCTCAAGCGATCCTCCCATCTCGGCCTCCTAAAGTATTGGAATTACAGGCATGAGCCACTGAGTCCAGCTGGAGCTGTTGTTATAAATATAAACCACTGTAATATACCGAGGATATAAATGTATGGCATGGGTTAGATAATGACTGCTCTTTGAGCACTTTCATGTAAGAGGACCTTACTATACTCAAGCCCCAATCCTTCCAAACTAGCATGGAGAGGAACTCTCTTTTTAGGGAGAGATACCTAAGCTCATTACCCCATCTGTTTTTCCCAGGTGTTCAGCTCCCTTTTGGGGAGTCTTTTATTATCTCTGTTATCACAATGCTGGGCCTCTGGGGAGGCCCCCCACTTCCCAGTGGTCTGATCAAAAGGGCATCATCTTTAGTCACCTCTTCATTCCTTAACGGTTCTGCTGAAACCAGGTGGAACAGTTGAAAAGATTGCCCACATCTCAGAGGTGACAGAGAGAAATAGTCACAGAGATTAAGAAGCCTTCATGTCATTTAGCTTATAAGAGAGAGCTTGCTCCTCTTCAGCTTGGGGTCCCCCCACAGCAGTGCTTCCTGTCGGTAGCTACTTGACCCTCAGGGTGGTCTGCATAGTGAATTAGTAAGTCCAGGGTTGAAGCAAAAGTCCCCAAGTTGTTGATTTCACCTTCGGAGGGGAATAAAAATATCTTTATCATTTTTGCTGTTACACTCTTGTCTTGTGAGCCCCTTCCATGCCTAGGGCTCACCTGCACCATTGGTAGAGGTTTATGAAGAAGAAGCTCTCTTGCCATCTCCCAGTGATTTGAAGGGGTCTGACTCCAAGAACTCCAAGTTCTTCATTGTGGAGAAATGGTACTTCGTAGGCCACAATTTTATTAAGTTTGGGCACAGTGTCTAAAAGGGTTACAGTAGTCCCCCTTATCTGAGGTTTTGTCTCCTGTAGTTTCAGTTATCTGAGGTCAACTGCAGTCCAAAAAAAATTTAATGGAAAATCCCAGAAATAATTCATAAATTTTATTATTTATTTATTGATTGAGACAGTCTCACTCTGTCACCCAGGCTGGAGTGCAGTGGCTCAGTCTCAGCTCACTGGAATCTCCGCCTCCCAGGTTCAAGTAATCCTCCTGCCTCAGGCTCCCAAGTAGCTGGGACTACAGGCGTGTGCCACCACGCCGGGTTAATTTTGTATTTTTAGTAGAGACGGGGTTTCACCATGTTAGCCAGGCTGGTCTTGAACTTTGGACCTCAGGTGATCCGTCCACCTCGGTCTCCCAAAGTGCTGGGATTACAGGCATGAACCACCACGCCTGGCCAATTCATAAGTTTTAAAATGCATGCTGTGCTGAGTAGCATGATGAAATCTTAAGCCATCCCATTCCATTCTTTCTGGGACTCCTTCATATCAGTCACTAAGTAGCCGTCTTGGTCATCAGATTGACTGTCATGGTATTGCAGTGCTTGTGTTCAAGTAACTCTCACTTTGTTTAATAATGGCCTCACAGTGCAAGAGTAATGATGTTGGCAATTTGGATATGCCAAAGAGCAGCCCTAAAGTGTTTCCTCTAAGTTCTTTACTTAATAAGGAAGGAAAAAAATCATATGCTGAGGTTGCTAAGATCTAAGTAAGAAGGAATTTCATCTATGAAATTGTGAAAAAGAAAAGAAGTTCATTCTAGTTTCTCTTTTGTACTTCATACTGCAAAAAGTTATGGCCACAGTGCATGATGGGAATGGCATTACATTTGTGGGTGGGAAACATGAACAGAAATGTGTTCCACTTGACAGCAATCGGGTTTGTTACTATGCACAGTTTCAGGCATCAATTAGGCGTCTTGGACTGTATCCCCCTAAGGATAAGAGAGGACTCCTTATGTTGTATGATAACATGATTGGCAGACAGTCACTTCATGTCTTTGCTTCTGAGAAAGCTGGTTATCACTCATGGGGAATGGATTCTGTGAACTGCTTGCTGACTTGAATGACAAGTGATTGAAAAGAAAACTAGATCTGGCTGCTCCCTTTCTGTGCTGGTGAGCAGCCGTTCCCACTTCCAGGTTTGAAGCAGGGTGTAACCTCTAATGTCCTCTCTCCTGTCCTTTGCTCAGAATTGATCTAGTCTATTCAGTCTTTTTAGTTCAAGGTTTTAGTCTGTGAATGGAATGTCACTTGCTTTCTAGTCATAGGCCCATTCTGAGAATCTTGAAAGGCCCATCAAGCACCTCATAGAGAATAACACACAATAGACTACTGAAGCTCCACTCTTAAAATACATGCTCTTCCCCATGCCAGCAACATAGTCAGCATTTCCTGACATCACATTTCAACTGTTAATCAATGCAGTGTCTCTGGAAGCATTCAGAAGACACCAAGGAAGGGAATCACATGGCTTGGGGACAGGAGTTAGAGGGATAGTGTTCACTATATATTCTTGTACCTTTTTAATTTTTGTATCAGGTCCTTGTTTTTGAAAAGAAGGAAATTTTAACATAAAAATGATAAAACCCCGATTTATAATGTTTAAGTTATATAACAGATTCAAGCATATCTTGTGTTTATAAATATATTCTGTGATATTTGACATAGCTGAGGTTTTAACTGGGGAGTCATAATCTGTACCTTTTACATGAATTACCCCCTGCTCAACAAATTCTGGATGGGGTGAGATCATGGCACAGGATGCAAACATGCAAGGTCCTCATTACAGACAATGCACACTGCCTAGCGGGTACCTGTGATTGGTCTGTTCTGCTTTGTAGGTTCTCGGTGAGATGACTGAGCTGCTGTCCTCCTCCAGAAACTACGACAATTACCGGCGAGCCTATGGAGAGTGCACCGACTTCAAGATCCCCATTCTGGGTGTGCATCTCAAGGACCTCATCTCCCTGTATGAAGCCATGCCTGACTATCTGGAGGACGGGAAAGTGAACGTCCATAAGCTACTGGCCCTATACAATCATATCAGTGAATTGGTCCAGCTGCAAGAGGTGGCCCCACCCTTGGAGGCTAACAAGGACTTGGTACACTTGCTGACGGTGAGGCTCACACTGGAGGACAATTACTAAGCACTTTCTGTGTGCCAGGTGCCATTCTATACCCCTTACCAAATATTAGCTGTTAGTCCTCATAAAGGCTCTATGAAGCAGATCCTATTACTATCTCCAACATATAGCTAGGGATACTAAAGCACAAAGATATACCTTGCCAGGAGACCACACATTATTAAGTAGCAGAGCCTTGATTCAGACCCAGGTGGTGGGACTCTAGAGACTGTGCCCTTCAGACTTCTAGGACTGTTTCACTACCTCTACAAAAGCAGTCCTAAGCTCTCTGGGAGGAGCTGATGGCAAATCAGGATACAAGTCTTGGTAACAGATGGAGAGAATGAATGTGCTCTCATAAAAAGGGCAGGCAGTAATTTAAAAAACAAACAAAAAACACCCAGGGTTATTATTTGGTTCCTGGCTTAGATCTTTGCTCTTGGAGATATTCAAGTGAAGATGAACACTTGTCAATGGTGTGGGAGACCAGGATTTGCATTTTGCATATGGGGTGAGATCAGATGATGAACTCCCTTCCAGACCTGCAATTCCGTAGTTTACCAGCTGTGTGACTATGGACATATAACCGTCCAAGAT
The DNA here is from genome assembly GCF_000001405.40 of Homo sapiens. NCBI lineage: Eukaryota > Metazoa > Chordata > Mammalia > Primates > Hominidae > Homo > Homo sapiens. Next base: position 38,507,122 of record NC_000015.10, on the reverse strand, counting down.
TCCTCTCCTCAAACGAATTAGTCTCTGGGATGACTTCGAACTTCTCTTCCAGTTCTAAAGTTACACAGTTTTTAACCTGCTGTTTTTGGAGAGTAGAATAATGATCATAACCTCTTTCTGCCTCACAGCAGCATTTTGATAGAACCCTGGGCTTCACATCAGCTGGTGTGTGATCCTAGCCCTTTCACTTATTAGCCAGGTGACCTTGGCAGGTCTGTGTCTCAGACATCATTTGTAAAAACATGGAGTGAATCTTAACATTCTTTGGATTATAAATCTTGTGATGAAAGCTGTGAACCTTCTTCCCAGAAAAATGTACATAAGCCATTTATTTTTAAATATGCATGTAATTTCAAGTTCTGAAATCCTTGAAGCCTATCCATAGACTCAAGGTTAAGAATAATATTATTCCTAAGGACTTCTCTCCTAAAATTTTATAGTTCTAAGATACATGAAACTCACTATTTTTTTTTTTTTTTTTTTTTTTGGAGACAAGGTCTGGCTCTATGACCTAGACTGGAGTGCAGTAGTGCAATCTCAGCTCACTGCAACCTCTATCTTCCAGGTCCAAGCCATCCTCCCACCTCAGCCTCCTGAGTAGCTGGGACCACGGGCACACGCCACCACGCCCGGTTAACTTTTGTATTTTTTGTAGAGACAGGGTTTTGCTATGTTGCCCAGGCTGGTCTCAAACTCCTGAGCTCAAGCAATCAACCTGCCCTGGCCTCCCAAAATGCTGGGAATACAGGCATGAGCCACCATGCACCCAGACTCATTAACTCTTAATAGCAATTAATATGTCTTACCATTTAAACTGGATTTTATTGCTGGACTCAAATTTAATAGTCTCAGACTATACACACCATCCTTTCAGATCATCTGTCTGCTTTGAGAGAGAACAAGTGATGTATTAGTCATCTGTCCAGACAAGGCCTTTGGCCTAAGCTCTATATAGAGGCTTAGATTTAAATCATAGTTAAAAAGAGGGCATCCTATGTCCAAAATTAAAAACATTTCAATGAGAATTAATGCTTGCCCTATTGCAATAGTAGGTGTTATACCTGTTTTGTGACTTTTAAAAACAAACTGTTTAGAACCTAAAAGAGTAAACTACTGGCAAGGAAAATCCAAGAAAGAACCATCAGCTGTGGGAGAGGCAAACAGCATCTTAGCAATGAACCCTGTTCTGCTTTGATCTGCAGTTATCCCTGGATCTTTACTACACTGAGGATGAAATCTATGAGCTTTCCTATGCCCGGGAACCAAGGAACCACAGAGCTCCAGTGAGTTTTTCATATTAAGACTCCACATGTAACAGGTGCTTTACAAGCTTCTCCTCGAGTTCATTCATCCTCAGGAACAGACTTTCAGTTCAGTTTAATACATGTACTGTTTTTCTTAGTGCTCAACCTTATGCTAGGAACAGAGAAAGCTTTTCAACATATGTCTGAGGAATAGTTCCTGTCCATTAAAAAGCTGTGATATAGTTGAAGGGATAAGCCTAATGTGTGACCAGTGAATAACTAGTGAACAGTAAATAACTATATCATCAGAATGCCAGGTGTGGTGGAATCAGTCAGTGGTTTACAAAGTAGAGAAGGAAGATACTATTGTGCACCAGAGTGACATCCCCCCCGCATTAAGAAGAGTCCCCACATAAATTTCTTTTCTATGATTCATTGATGATAATGAGAGTAATATGCGTACTAATCAGAAGCTAAATTTCTGAAGATTTCCAGGTTGGTAGATAGAAAAGCCCCATTTTCCTGTAATGTTCTGGGTGAAAAGAACAGTCTGCTGAGTCTTTTGACCTCCTATGCTGAGAAGTCCTCAAAATAGTACACAGTCCTGGCACTGCCTGCAGTAGGAACTTCACAGGTTATCTGCCCTACCCTCCCACAGGCAAGTAAAATCACTTCAGTCTCCTGGGACGTTTCCAAACCCCAAAACAAGTGATACTCAAGGGAAGAGAGTTGCCCACACTTAAGAAATCCAGCTCATCTATTGGGGTGGCTAAATTGCACTCCTCCACACAGAAAGATCAAGTTCTAGCTTTCTATTGTAATGAAAGATTCCACTGAAAATATTTGGTAGATTCCATTTTCAGGTTAGAGGCATTTCAATGGAAAGGGTACATTCTGTTTTTTCAGAGAGATTTTAATTTGGGCTGAGTTTCAAATACAGTCATGCACCACATAATGACATTTTGGTCAGTGATAGACCTCATATACCACAGTGGTCCCTTAAGATTATAATGGAGCAGAAAAATTACTACTGCCTAGTGACAGAACAATTGTAACATTGTAGCACAACACATTACTCACTATGTCTGTGATTATACTGGTGTAAACAAACCTACTGAGCTGTAAAAAGTCTAGGTTATACACTTACGTACAGTACATAATACTTGATAGTAAGTATTACCGGTTTATGCACTTACTATACAATACTTTTTATCATTATTTTAGAGTGCATTCCTTCTACTTAGAAAAATTAACTGTAAAACAGCCTCAGGCAAGTCCTCCAGAAGGTGACAGCTCCATGCATGTTATTGCCCCTAAAGACCTTCCAATAGGATAAGATGTGGAGTGGAAGACAGTGATATTGATGATCTTGACTCTATATAGACATAGGCCAATGAGTGTAATTGTACCTTAGTTTATAACAAAGATTTAAAAAATTAAACATTTTTAAAATAGAAAAAAGTTTATAGAATATGGCTATAAAGGAAATAACTGGTACAGCTATAAGCTATACAATGTGTGCTTTAAGCTAAGTGTCATAACAAAAGAGTAAAAGTTAAAAAAATTAAAAGCTTTTACAGTAAAATAAGGTAATTTATCATTGAAGAAAAAATTTAAGAAACTTAGTGTAGTCTAAGTGTACAGTATTTATAAAGTATATAGGAGTATACAGTAATGTTAGGCCTCCACATTCACTCACCACTCACGACTTGCCACAGTAATTTCTAATCTTGAAAGCTCTATTCATGGTTAAGTGCCCTATACAGGTGTAACATTAAAAAAAAATTTCTATACCATATTTTTACCTTTTCTATGTTTAGATATGTTAAGATACACAAATACCATCATTACAATTGCCTACAGTACTGAGTATAATAACCTGCTGTATAGGTATGTAGCCTAGGAGCAGTAGGCTATACCAAATAGCCTAGGTGTGTAGCAGGCTATACCATCTAGGTTTGTGTAAGTACACACTGTGGTGCTCATACAATGACAAAATCACCTCATGACACATTTCTCAGAACATATCCCAGTCATTAAGTGATGCATGACTGTATTTAGAAAAGAGCTTGTCCAGGCTTCCGATGATTTTTCTTGTGCCTTCCTGCCTTTTAGCTAAGCTTTTCCTTATTCACATTTCTACTGCAAAATGTGACTGGAGAATAGAGAGGAATCATAAATGATCCACTTTACTCTTTGTTGATAGCTCTGACAAAGGGTTTAATGGAGAGGGAATTGCAACTCAGGCAGATTGAGAATTTCAAATTATCTGTAGCTGCAGATAATGTATGTGAAGAGCACTCTGGAAACCGTAAGCACAATGCCTTGTTAGCCAAAATTATTAGTAGAGATTTCAATTGCCTGTGGGTTCTCTGCTCCTTGCCACTGAACATAATTGAAGATTGTCCATAAATGTAACCGTCAGGTAGTGGGAAAAGAAAGAGCTATAGGTTATAATATTGCATTGTAGTCATGAGGATTTCTCTAAATATTTCATTTTAGCCACTAACACCTTCAAAGCCACCAGTAGTAGTGGACTGGGCTTCTGGAGTGTCTCCCAAACCTGATCCAAAAACCATTAGCAAACACGTCCAGAGGATGGTGGATGTAAGTACAGCTGTGTTCAGCACACAAAAACTAGGCATTGCCTGGCTCAGTTTTGTATGTGGGGTAAAGGGAGAGGAAAGCACAATGGTGGAAATGTAAAGGCACGAAACTTGAACCACTTACTTCTCTTACTGTGGCTTTAGAACAATTCAAAAGTTACATTTTGACAACACACACTGGACTCATATGAAGGCAGTTGTGCCTCCTCTTCAAGACCTAGCAAAAGAGCATATGCTTAAAGGTTGTCAGTTGATTTAGGAGTACAGAAGTATTGGGATGCATTTGAGTATAGTAAGGGGTAATCAGGTAAACCTAAAACTGAAAACCTTTGTACTGCTTAATTCAATTCTCTGTGCTAATTGCTGAGGAAGGGGTATATATTCTCATACTTATGCATGTATCCTCGTGGACAACTCACATGTAACAATGGAAAACTAAGAGCGTAACGGTGAGAAACAAGAGGATTAACAGTGGGGACAGAGCACTTCCAACTGGGCTGTTTGTAGAAGCTTCTCAAAGAAGGTACAACTGGAGCTGAGTGATGAAAAAAAGGGTAGAGTGAAAGGAGAACATCCCTCTGCGCAGTGAACTAGGAGTAGCCAGCGTGATAGTATAATTGACGTGCTAATGATTCAAAGTACATGGCCACCCCCCACATGCTGCTACCAGCAAAGGCCTGAGATGTGACCTGCCACATCTTTGCCACAGCTAAAGGAGCAGGTTTCCCTGTTCCTCTCGTTCAGGTTGTTAAAAGGCTTTTATCCAACTGCCCCAGCTCTTTGTCATTTGACTAAAGGGAGAGAAGACCGGTTTCTCTTTAGTAATCACCAAAAAAACTCCTTTTTCACAGTCTGTCTTCAAGAACTATGATCACGACCAGGATGGATACATTTCTCAGGAAGAATTTGAAAAGATTGCTGCGAGTTTTCCATTTTCCTTCTGTGTGATGGACAAAGACAGGTGAGGGTTTGTACTTAGGAATATGTGGTTATGAGCCCATTGGTGAGAATAGGTTTATAGGTATGTCACTAGAAGAATTTGAAAACTCAGATATGTTGCTGCTGTGATCACTTAAAGAACAGACCATGAAATATGCATTCTTTTAAAAATATTCTGGGCCTGGGCACAGTGGCTCACGCCTGTAATCCCAACACTTTGGGAGGCCGAGGTGGGCAGATCACCTGAGCTCAGGAGTTCGAGACCAACCTGGCCAACATGGTGAAACCCTGTCTCTACTAAAAATACAAAAATTAGCCAGGTGTGGTGGTGGGCACCTGTAATCCCAGCTACTCGGGAGGCTGAGGCAGGAGAGTTGTTTGAACCCAGGAGGCGGAGGTTGCAGTGAGCCGAGATCATGCCACTGCACTCCAGCCTGGGCCACAAGAGCAAAAACCTGTCTCAAAAAAAAAAAAAACAAAAACTGAATTGAACATTCCATAAATCTGCCACTTTATAAATAGTCAACTATAAATAAGAAAAAGTTTAGTCTTCCTTCTTGCTTTGTCATTACAGATTTTGGGAAACAACTAATACTTATTCATACTTTGCATTTTTACTTTTCTCAAGGTTAAATAAATTCTATCTTGGTTCTCTATAGGAAACTAATCATATGGTTAGTGGGTTCCAGTTAGGTACTGTCTAAAGTCAGAAACTGTAGCATAAGACATTTCCCTCCCTATACACATGTACATGTTACATTGTTTCTTTTTCAAGTCTTATAGATAGTGGTCAAGTTAGTTAGGGAAACCTAGTTTGGCCAAAGAACACCTCTGTGGAAATGAGTAATGCTGCCTTACCTACTTACCACATGTCATCTTGTATCCTTGTTAAGAGTAGGGCCCATGGAAGTAATCATGAGGTAGCACATACCATATTACCACTGAGGATAAAAAGAAAGGTGAGTTTCTAAGGCTAGAAGCCCCCCCTTGCTACCTGCCTCCATGCCCCTTATACTCACATCCTTGCCTTGGTCATCTGCCGGCAGGGAAGGCCTCATCAGCAGGGATGAGATCACAGCCTACTTCATGAGAGCCAGCTCAATCTATTCCAAGCTGGGCCTGGGCTTTCCTCACAACTTCCAAGAGACCACCTACCTGAAGCCCACTTTTTGTGACAACTGTGCTGGATTTGTAAGTTGTTCTTAGGGTGCTCCAGGGCTGAATTTGGGGAAGAGTGTGGGATACTTTAAGACAGGCACAGACCTCACAATCCTTATGAACCCATCCCAGCTTGGAGCCCAGACAGACACCTAGAATAACCTAGAGCTCAAGCGTGTGGTTTTTACCTGCACTCATCATCTCTCGCTTCTTCCTGTTTTTTCTTTTCTATTGCAATGAGGCCTTAGATAAATGGTACCAGAAATGCTGAATTAGGATATACTTTTAAAGTATAATATTCATGTGCTGTTTCAAGTGTTATAACAAAGACATATGAGATACCTTCTGTCTTTAGGAGATAACCTTGGCTATGCCCCTCTTCCGTTCCACTCCTGACCAATCGTTTCCCCCTAAACTCGGGTCCTGATGCAAGGCTCTATATCCTTCTCAGTTTGGAGTCCTGAGGAACCTGTTTGCCCGATGATTCATCCATTTCTCGAGAATGTCTGGGTCATAAGGCTGCTAGTGAGAGCCAGGTGTGGTGGCTCATGCCTGTAATCCCAGCACTTTGGGAGGCCAAGGCAGGCAGATCACTTGAGGCCCCGAGTTCGAGACCAGCCCACCTAACATGGTGAAAACCCGTCTCTACTAAAAATACAAAAAAATTTAGCCAGGTGTGGTGGAACATGCCTGGTAGTCCCAGCTACTTGGGAAACTGAGACAGGAGAATTGCTTGAACCCAGGAGGTGGAGGTTGCAGTGAGCCGAGATCGCACCACTGCACTCCAGCCTGGGCAACTGGGCAAGACTGTCTCAAAAAAAACAAAACAAAAAAAACCTGCTTCTTGAGAAACTTTGATCAGCATAAACTCTTCTCATGGATTTAAGGTCAGAAGGGACAAGACATGAGAGATAAATGAGGTTTCCTTCCCACTTGAGCTAGAGAGTAAAATGAAGGAAAATAAAGGAATGTCACCTTGTAGCCTCACACCAGATGGATGAATGACATGTGGTGCATTCTGTCTCTTGTTTCATAGCTCTGGGGAGTGATCAAACAAGGATATCGATGTAAAGGTAAGACTCAATATTGTTGACATATTCCTGGTGTATCAGTCCATTCTCACGCTGCTATAGAGAACTGCCTGAGACTGGGTAATTTATAAAGGCAAGAGGTTTAATTGACTCACAGTTCCACAGGGCTGGTGAGGCCTAAGGAAACTCACAATCATGGCAGAAGGGGAAGCAAACACATCCTTCTTCACATGCTGGCAGGAAGGAGAAGTGCTGAGCAAAAGGGGGAAAAGCCCTTATGAAGCCAACAGATCTCATGAGCAGTCACTCACTATCATGAGAACAACATGAGGGTAACCGCCCCCAGGATTCATTTACCTCCCATTGGGTCCCTCCCATGACACATGGGGATTATGGGCACTACAAGGTGAGGTTTGGATGGGGACACAGAGCTAAACCATATCAGCTGGTCTTAGAGTCCCACCTCTAAAACATTTTTTACCCATAGTAGTTGTCCATTTAGTCCACAACTTCTCAGCATAGTTCAGAGTCTCATCCCCAAAGTGGTTTCCCTCGGACACCCCCGGTGAATGACCGCCACACCGAAGAGAGAAATGCCTGGTTGCACAGATAGGCATTTTCTCTGTATAAAATCCTCTTTCTGTCGTGGCTGGCCTAGAACAGGGATAGCAGGTAGGAGATGGTGCTCTCATATAGTCATGGAAGGGTGGGTCCCCAGTGAAAAAGATAGAATCTCTTCTGCAACAGAAGATAAATGATTACTAAAGGCCCTTGTCAGCTTTCCTTTATCACTCAGGACATAACTGTCCTTCCTTGTGACTAGGAGAATTCAGGAGTGAAAGAGAGGAAACCTTTTACTGCAAGAAAGAAAATAAGACCTAACAGCTGAGTGTTTCCGGAGGGTCTCCCTAGAGTAGGCAGAATGTATGGGATACCAGGACACCATCTCTTCCCTCCAAGATATCAGGATACTGCTTCTGATGCTGAGATTCACTGATAAGGGCTACATCAAGAGTGTGAGCTCTGGGCTTCACCAAGTGAGAAGAATGCTAGCTTCATTAGGAATGTTAAGTGTCTTAGCTCCAGAAGATAGAACAGACATGTGTGACAAGAAAGCACTGCATGAATTTGGTTGTGAGACACACTGGGGAAGAGAGAAAAGTGAAAGACTTCTTGACCCAGGATGTCTTGTCCACAGACTGCGGGATGAACTGTCACAAACAATGCAAAGATCTGGTTGTGTTTGAGTGTAAGAAGCGAGCCAAGAACCCAGTAGCTCCCACAGAGAACAACACTTCTGTGGGGCCAGTGTCCAACCTTTGCTCATTGGGAGCCAAAGATCTGCTCCATGGTAAGTAGGCACTGGGAACATTCATCTTGGAAAGTGAAGTAGGAAGGGAAAAGTTTTAGAGACGGAAAGATTACCTCATGACTCTGTGTTTGAGTTTAAATGTAACCTCAACAGCTAGGCCAGGGCTGACCCCTCCCACAGTTTTGGATTTTAGCTCCATGCCTATGTCTTAGACTTAAGGTGTGAGAATAGCAGAGTCCTAGTTAGGCATAAAAATCAGCAGGTACTTATTGAGCACCTACACCAAGCACAGATACTGACTTCTGGCCAAGATAGTGCCTCAAGTTAACAGTTAACTATCCCACCCTATCCCCAGCTCCAAACCCAAAACAGTGACTAGGGAAAATATGTATGTACATGCATATGTATATGTGTGTGTATATATAATGTAAATTAACATATATAATATATAAATCACATTAAAAGGCATAGTGCATTCAAAAACAGATATCTCAAGGTTACACATGTACTAGAAACATACTGCAAGGAGTAGATGCTAAAGCTACTGGTCTGCTTGGCTGCATGTCTAGAAGCAGGTAGAGGCAGCTGCGAATTTGATTTCTGCATAGTAACAGAGACCACCTATGCGTGAAAGGTGACCAGAACCAGACTTACTGCTTAAAATTGAGAAGGAAAAATCCAATGCTTAAAAAACTGTGACTGTCACTTAGCAGCAGGAAGCAGACTTAGCCACAGACAGAGTTCTACTAGCTGAGTGACTGTCTATGATAGCCCCAATTTTTCTCCAGGAGAGGAACCCCAAGCCATTAATTTAAGACCAGGTCCTAGTCTGAGGAACCCTGAGGGGCCAGGTAGCAGGTAATTGTCAAAATTCTAGAAACAGAAGGCTAAATGTAGAAAGGAAGGGCGGGGGGCAAACTCCCACTCAAGTGGAGCTTGCAGATTAAAATTCCAAATCATACAAGGAAAATCCTAGGACTGAGACAAAACATTCAACATTCAAGAAATAAACTAGCAAATTCACTTACATTAAAATGCAAACAACAGTACAATAAGGAAATGACTTTGAGTATGTTTGAGATGCCCCAGATCTAAAGTGCAAAGAAGCAGAATAGACTGTCTCTGTCTTCATGGAGTAGTTCTAGTTAGGGGGAAGATAATATACAAATATAGAGCAGTTTAGAAACAATGCAAGAGTATATGCTAAGAGCCAAATAGGTTGCAGTGACAGCAAATGACAGGAGGACATAGCAGAGAGATCGCTGTACTGGGGCTGTTGGGACTTTATGGAGAAGGTGGAATTTCAGCTAAGTCTTGAAGGAAGGGTAGAATTAAGTTATGGGAGGAGGACAGAGCACATTCCAGATAGGATGTACAGTAGGAGCAAAAGGCCAAGGGCAGAACAGCTTTAGTACTATTGGGATAGTGGGAAAAAAAAAAAGGTGTTAAGGCGATTTAGGTAAGAGATGAAGTAGAAAAATGAGACAGTCTAGAGAGTCTTAAATGACAGGTGCCTGTCTGTATGATAAAATGAGGAGCTATTTAAAAAAGGGTAACATGAAGGGCTTGTTGGGGACGGTTGGGGCACAAGGCTTCATAGTGCTATACTAGGCCCTGATCTCTGGGCTGGCTGGTTAGCCAGCATGTCAAAACACTGATCACCTTGACTAACTAAAGAACATATAGGTCTTCAGCAAAAATCCAGTGCTTATTAGGTTAGTGCCAGTTTAATATAAGAAGCTGTGTGACTTCTAAGTAGAACCAAAAAGGGAAATAAGAAATGAGTTTATTTATATAAAGCACTTAAAATCGGGCTTAACACGTATGTACCATATGTTAATATCATTACTCTTTTGAAATAAGCTCCCTAAAGTGGTAAGGCCACTATCGTTACAACAGATGCCTAGAGAAAAAGTCCATATAGTATACATTCTGCATTTAAAGCACTTCTAATGTTCAGTGGTAAATATCCACATGCATTTATTGATCAATTAGATCAAAGCTTAAGTGCTTCACTTCCATGTAAGAAATGCACATTCCTTTTTATCACATCAGCCAAGTAAAAATTTTCTGTCTTCCTAAATCTTTCCCCTTACTATCTATCTAAACACAGGCTGACTTCAAACTTTTGGGGTGTTTTGTTCTTAGGGGGAAAAAATCCTCTTAGGGTCTTTTCTAAGAAAGAATATGCTAATCAACTAAGAATTTGATGTTCAACTTTTAATAGAAATCACAAACACCATTGTGAAAAATAGGCCTGTACCCTGTATTTCATTCATGCACTCTGTATTTTCAGAGTTACACATAACCTTAGGGCACCACAATTCTGTCACATAAAATGCAGATTTTCAAGTGGAAAAGACAGCAGAGAACAGCCTGAATCTGAGGCCTCAAAAAGGAATCCCTGAAGGGGCAGTTGTTAGAGATTTCTCCTCTCCAGGCCATCTCTCCCCTTTTCCAAACCCTGCCCCACAGTGGTAAGATAAGTACTTGTCAGGAAGTAGACCAATAGGTAGGATAAACATACATGTATCATGGGCAACAAAATGAAAATTACTATATTATTATAAAGTTGCTAAAAGTCAAGGTCTATTTATAATGGCAAAAATGACTATTGGATATCATCCATTCTTAGTTATTTCTATCTCATTATTATCGGGGATGGTTTCTGCTTATCAAATCAAAATTTCCAGTGATTTCTTTTAGCCCATTACTATCTTTCTCAATCTCATCAACTTTCACTTTCTTGAAACTTGTACCTCTCCTAATTTCTGTTAACACTGTCATCTCTCAGGACTCTTCCTGCAATTTTAAGGGCTTTCTGTTGCTTTTTGTTCTTACTGCTTTCTTCCTTTTGCTCCTCAAAGTGTATAGTGCCTGAATTTCTGTCCCAAGCTCCCTGTATGTCTAGGAATTCAACCTAAATAATGGAGGGGATTATATTCATAATTTGACAATCTAGGTTGGTAAAAAGAATGTATAACTGTATTACAGAAAAGTTGGAAAATGGAGATATAAAAAATAATCACCCATAATACTCCTCCAAAAAAAAAATGTAATTATTTTAGGGTGACCATAACAATTTAAATATTTGAGCACTTAAATAACTATGTAATTACAATTTTGAGCTTTATTGGATAAATATTAAATGTTAATTTAAATTATGTTCTCTTTGGCAAGAATTAAACTAAGATCTTTGTAAGATTTCTAGTTTTACAACTGGTTGATTCTGGTCAAATACTAATTAGAAAACTTTTTTGTTGTTTTTTAAAGCCATCTTGACTATACTAATCCAATGTCTTCAAAGTCAGACTATCCAATGTTTTAATCACTGCTGAGTCTTTCCAAAAAGTAAACTGAGATGATCTTCAGTTTATCTTAAAGCCTATCTATCGCCCACCTCAAATACATCTGCTCTTACTTTACTTTTCCAGGAAATTACTCCTTATGGCTAACATTACTAGGCTGGATCCTGGGTAGTGGGTCTTAGTTAAAGAAAACCAGAGTAACTTACCTTTTTCCTCTCAGTATCAAACAGGGGCAATACATTTTAAGGTACATTTCCACAAAGCTAAAACTTCTTTCTCATGGTTAAGCTGTGCCCACTGTACAAACGGGTTCCCAGAGAGTACTTACCTGCTAGAGGGTGTCTGTATCAGGACTGAGACATGAATGTGGAGAGCTCCCAAATTCCAGGGTCCAAAAAAGTATTTATGGAGCATTTCTGTCTAGATATTGTTCTTGTTCTCTTTATTTTATGAAACTCTGTGGCACTGAGGCAGGGGCTTCAACTTACCTCCAAAAACAGAAACCCTCTAAGCAACCTTTGTGCAAACAGAAGATGCTCTTTCTCAGGGTGGATGTAGCTTGACACCAGTGGCCATGTCTTGGCCAAAGCCCCTGGATTTAGCCCTCACCCCCTAAACTGGGTGCCTGAAAATGGGTCCTCTTTGAACATATGGAACTCCAGTAACAATAAGAAAGGTCTCATTGAAACTAATGTCTCAGTCTTGAGTCTCTGCTTTCCTGAGCTAGAGTACTAGCATGTCCTGTATCTTCCTACAGCACCTGAGGAAGGACCTTTTACATTCCCTAATGGGGAGGCTGTGGAACATGGTGAGGAGAGTAAGGATCGGACCATCATGCTGATGGGAGTGTCCTCACAGAAGATTTCTCTTCGGCTGAAGAGGGCTGTTGCCCACAAGGCCACCCAGACTGAATCACAGCCTTGGATTGGCAGTGAGGGCCCTTCAGGTCCCTTTGTGCTGTCTTCCCCAAGGAAGACAGCCCAGGATACTCTATATGTGCTTCCCAGTCCCACCTCTCCATGTCCTAGCCCAGTCTTGGTCAGAAAGCGGGCTTTTGTCAAGTGGGAGAATAAAGACTCCCTCATAAAATCAAAGGAGGAGCTCCGTCACCTCAGACTGCCTACCTACCAAGAACTGGAACAGGTACCTTCCTTTTCATTTTCCTTTTTTTCAGACTATCTTAGAGAAGTGGGGCCAAACCAGGAAAGAGCATGTGGACTGAAGATTCAGATCAGGCTGATTACAAGCAGTCTAAAACAAAAAAGGAGGAGGGGAGAAACAGGGAGGGAGAAACAGGGAGGAAGAGAGGGAGGGAAGGAAGAAAGGATGATTGATTCCAGCTTTCTCACAACCCACTGGGGGCCTTGGTTCACATTACACAAGTAGCACAGGCTATACAGGGCTCCCTATCACCACACAGGTGGTGGCATTTCAGAGTGCTGGTGCCAGTGCCCAAAGCCCTGTTTAGTAGGCTCACAGAGAAAAACCACAGTATCTACTGGTTAGCTTTACTGTGCTGATACCACTCCTTTTCTAGATGGAACTAAAATGAACTTGCCTAAATCCTCCTTCCCTAGAGGTCTCTTTAACATGTTCATCAGGGTTATGGTTTAGGATCATCATGGTTACCTAAGCATCTTCCTAAGAGAAGTTAGTGATCTTAGTCCTATAGCAACAACAACAAGAGAAAGGTGAGTGTATTGTGGCTCACCATAGAAAACGCCTCCCTCCTAAATATAAACGAAGAGAATCTTTTCTAACACATCAGGGAATATGCTGATCTTTTACACATATTAGAATAGTGAAAGCAACAGTAGCAGGCAAACACACAGTGGAATATAATATAGAGCAATATAATCTATAAAATGTTAACAATCATGACAAGAGGAGCTGCTTTTCAATGTTAGGCTCACAATGTCCTAATTATCAGGTACCTAACAGAGACAATGGAAAAGACAAAATAAAGTTTACCAAGGAAAGGAGACCAAGAGTTTGGAAACATGGTGCCAAGGTTTGAGAGAAGGGAATAATGACATTAAAAACAGGAAAATAGGGCTGGGCGTGGTGGCTCATGCCCCCAGCACTTTGGGAGGCAGAGGTGGGTGGATCACTTGAGGTCAGGAGTTCGAGAGCAGCCTGGCCAACGTGGTGAAACCCCGTCTCTACTAAAAATACAAAAATTAGCTGGGCATGATGGCAGGTGCCTGTAATCCCAGCTACTCAGGAGGCTGAGGCAGGAGAATCACTTGAACCCGGGAGGTGGAGGTTGCAGTGAGCTGAGACCAAGCCACGGCACTCTAGCCTAGGCAACAGACTCCATCTTAAAAAAAAAAAAAAAAAAAAAAGGCCCGGCGTGGTGGCTCACGCCTGTTATCCTAGCACTTTGGGAGGCCAAGGTGGGCGGATCACGAGGTCACGAGATCAAGACCATCCTGGCTAACACGGTGAAACCCCATCTCTACTAAAAATATAAAAAATTAGCCAGGCGTGGTAATGGGCGCCTGTAGTCCCAGCTACTTGGGAGGCTGAGGCAGGAGGATGGCATGAACCTGGGAGGCGGAGCTTGCAGTGAGCCGAAATGGCACCACTGCACTCCAGCCTGGGCGACTGAGTGAGACTCCAACTCAAAAAAAAAAAAAGCGGGTGGGGAGGAGTAGGAGACGGGAACAGCAGAAGGAAAAAGAGCCAACAGCCAACTGTCAAGATACTCAATTCTGAAGGTTCAATCATTACTATACTTCTTTTTGTTTCGAGTACAGTACACAACTCACAGGGCTGGCTCAAGAGGTTACCTATAATTGGTAAGAACCTACAAATGGTAAGAAACTACTGTCCCATGGCATAGTAGTTTCTTAATTATAGATAACTAAGCCATTTTAGAGACAGGGAAGCAAGGATACGTTAATATCAACACTACTATTCACTTTATTACAGGAGGAGGAATGCCTTTCTGGCTTTTCCCAAAAACATCAAGGTTTGCACTGTGTTTTTGGAGACCTGTCAGTGCAAACACAAAACCAATATCCAGCTAGTAGAATTCCTTATATAATTCTACATTCTACAGACTGAAAAACTGTCCACGAGGGCTTCAGGATTCCCTGCATTGTCCTCAATGCTCTACCTTCCCTGTCAGACCCCCAGAAACTGAATTAGAGAAACATCTGAAGAAACAAGTTAGATAACGTATGTGGAACTCTTGATTTGGTGCTTGGTACAAAGAACATAATATTAAGAGAAACATACGAAAAAAGAACAACAGATTTTCTGGATGAATGGTACTCTCTTGCTCAGAGTTATTGTTAAGATGTGCTGTAAAAACCAAGTCAATGAGAAGGTGGCAAAACGTGGGTTAGACAAACCCCTTCCTCTTTAGGGATAGAAACTGCCAAATGCAACTTCTAAAAATGATGAAAGAAACCTCGAAAAATGAACTCGGTAGAATAGAAAGAACTTTGGTCTTGGAGGCAAAGATTTGTGTTTTCAGTCCCAGACATTTCTTACACCAGCTGTTAAACTCTACAGCCTATTTGGTCCTTGTGAAATACAGGGCTGGGATTCCATGTTCTGAAAGGTTTGCCTCAAATCTTGACATTTTACATGCCGATGAAAAGGAAAAATGTGGTTGGCAACAATGCTTTAAGAAGTGGCTCGCAGAAAGATTAGAATTCCTACTCAGCAACATCAGAGCCAGTAAACCCTCTCACCATTTTGACCACCGCCTCTCTTTACTTTTTAGGCTTGTCAGATAGACCTAAGGTCCAGAATTCACTGTGTGTATTTTAGAGGAACAATTATGTGTCCCACTTTCCCATTAAGTATAATCCTTACAATGACTAGTCTATGTGTAATTCAACAGTCCTATCCATAATAACTAGTCAAATTAAATCAGTATTTACAATATATAACGTATATTAATAAGAATAAATATTATGTATTATTTTAAGTATAATGTACCACTGAACCAGCATGGGACAAAAGAATAAGCAAATAAAAGCTTTTATGTTTAGATATACCAAGGCTCAACTCTGCAGTTTTATACTATACGGCAACATTTGCCTTTATAAGATTGAGGTATACAACCTATTTTCAGGGTGTTTGTGTAGGTTAAGGCAGTCCATTATGTCACACAGCGCAGGCACATAGCAAGTGCTCACTATTATATGGCAGCTGAGACAGCTATGTAGATAATTCAGATTGAGAAACAACCCAGTGTATCCCAAATTACCCAGACACTGTCTATATATAATATTCTCTTGGAGTAATCAGTATAGGATAACATAAGAACACTGGACTCAAAATCAGAAGACTGGAAATCAACTGTTGGCTCTATAATGATACCACTACAAATTAGACCACTAAATCTCAACTTAGGGGTGGGGTGAAATTCTTAACATCATCAAAAAGTTAAATTTGTTTTCAATAATTTGTGGGGGGGAAACTTAGATAAAATTAACTAACACCTTGCATTACAGAATTCTCAGTCATGCTTTCATGGCTCAGACCTGACCAGAGACTGTTTCTGCCAAGTTGAGATCTCCCGCGAGAAAACATCCAAAAGTTTTGTCATTATCTACCTATTGCTCGGAAATGGTTTATTCTGCCTGCTAACCACTCACAAACTTTGATATGATAACAAAGACTAACTGCTGCTTACAAATGCTCGTTTGATATTTAACTTGCTATTTTCTATTCAGGGCAAAATAACTATCTTGAAAATGGTTGTTAATTCTCAGCCACAGTGAATAGGAAATGCCAATCAAAAGTAGCTCTCAATTTGTAATTCATTTGCTATTCATTGCTGCTTTATTAACATACCTCATTCTCCTTTCCCTTTAGGAAATAAATACTCTGAAAGCAGATAATGATGCCCTAAAGATCCAACTGAAATATGCACAGAAGAAAATAGAATCCCTCCAGCTTGAAAAAAGCAATCATGTCTTAGCTCAAATGGAGCAGGGTGACTGTTCTTAGCCCAGAAACTAAGTAGCACAATCTGTAGATGAGTATAGTGATCTCATTTCCTAAACTGTAATGCACAGACCTGAGGAACTTTACACTGACCAGCTTTAAAACAGTACTTTAAAAGGAAAAGCCTGTTACTGTTTATTTACCTAAAAGATTCCTAATGTGCAGCACTGTTTTCTCTTTCAGTTAGTTGACTCAAAGGGGGAAAACTAAAGAATGCAAAACTTTTGCTATTCATACCACTGATGTTCATCAAAAGTATGCGATCTAAAACATGACTATCATTTCCTGACAATGGGGCATCTCGGTGGCCTGCCTGGCTGATTCTTCCTTAAAACTAAAATCTCTGGAAAATGGATTTGCTTCTTACCCTGTGTTTTCTGCAAACTGACTTACTTTGTTCCAGCCAAAGCTTGCTAATAATAGAAAACTACCCATATTCCAAAAGTAGATTTCCTCTGTATCCCAGCATACTTTGTGAACCTGGCTCCTTCTTCACTACCTCAGATCTAATCAATTAGTCCATGTACCCTCCTTCCTCACTACAGTCATAACACATGAGCATATCTACCTAGAAGCCAATTTCTACTGATGTAGCCACAACTTTTTAGAGGCCTATTAAACATGACGTTATCCAATTGCAGGTCAACTTATAGTTGTAGCCTTACAACTTACAGGCATCAGAAAATAAGTAATCAAATTAGGTACCTGGAAACATAGCTATTACCATCTCATATTACTGTCTAATTAAAATAAACATAACGCAAACATGTTTGTCCTTATATATTCTACAGTGGATAGAATTAGGAATTGATGGCTTAAAAAAAAAAGTCTATGAAGAGTCTGTTTAACTCTTCATGTTCCATCTTTCTCTTCTGAAGTAAACTATTTTGAAAGTTCTCTTTTTGAAATGAATTTGTGCTTAACTGTCTTCACTATTAATACTATTTAGAAATAAGCTAATTGGATCAGTGGCTTAAATAATAGCTGACTGTGTGTACATATGTATATAATATGTATATACAATATCAGGCATGCATGTGGCTTGGAATTTTGTTTCCTCCATAAAATGTGGAAGTGAATTAAACAAGTTTTAGTCATTTATACAAAGTCACAAATATAAAGTTCAGTTTGTCACAAGATTAAATTGCTCACAAGGTAAAATTGTATTGTTTGGCAAAATCACAAGTAACAATCCTGTGAGTTTTCTATTATGAAGGTTAATAATAAATGGGCTCATTTAGTTGCCTGGGCACCTATTCACAAATTCATTTGTCAGCCTCTTTTTAGTTCTCTTAAAAAAAAAAAAATCATATGATCATTTTCCTTTTTGGGGGTACTTAGCTTCCATGCCTATAAAGTCTGGTACCAGACTGACTTGAAATTCATAAACAAGTTGTCCAATTGCCAAGAATATGTTAACAATTAAAAGTTCCAAACTAAAGCCAATAGCACCAAGTCTTCATAAGAATACAAAGTATACATACAGTATTGCTTACCTGGAGGATTCAGATCATTTAGGAATTCTCTTTGATGAAAGATCAGTTCCCATTTGAGTTCCTCCTTGCACTGAGTTTTAGTGATATAGAACTAGCTTGTAGTTAGTGTTTCATTACATTATAAAGAATAGTTTTACACACGTATTTACCGTTTTCCAAATTTAAACTCAGAAATACCCAAAGCAGGCCTGCTTAAGCCCACTACCTGGCATATAAACTTATAGTAACACTTTGTTACTTTCTTTTTAATAGGACAAGCATGAGTTAGGACAAACTCTAAAAATTCATATTCTTCACTATTCTTGTTTTCCTTTGATTGATATAGACCAAAGATGGTGTACTCTAATTTTTTAAAACAGTAATGGAACACAATTTTTTTCATTCTTCCTCCTCTCCATTCGAAGTAAAGATCCCCAGTTAGTTTTTATATAAATAATCTATAGGGATTCAAAAGGTGTCACAGTCCACTTAATTAGTCAAATTAGCAATGGCTAAACAGTATCAAGTACTGCAGAATTTATCACTGAAATGGATAAGAGGAAATAGTTTAGTCACAGGTTTTTACAGTCCAGCAAGGGCCAAAGAGGTATAGTATACAAGTTAATAGTATTTGTGTTGAGCAACATGGGGCTAGTGGGATCACAGAAATCTGGAAAAAAAAAAAAAAGGCTTTGGCTTATCAAGCCTAGTGTAAATTTCTGCATCTCACACGACTTTAGTTTGGCCAGGTATTTATCTGCCAAAACAAGGACAAATCTTGTTGTATTAACAGCAGGGTCACTTCTCATTTTCTTTGCTGACTTACCTTTTTACTGACCGTTGTGAATTTCTGTCTCAAAATGTATAATATAGAAATGCAAGAAAAAAACAAATGTACAGATTGTAAAGTTTTTTGATACCTAATGTAAGTTTTCTTTGTGTAATATTTATATGATAAAAGACATTAGGATCCCTACAACACAAATGTCTTGTGTTTCTTCTGCTTCGTGACCCCGTAAACACTTTACCTGAATTTTTCCTATATTCCACAGCTAAGACCACTGCCCTATTCTATTAATCAAATTGAGTTTTCCTGGAAGGAAAGGCAAAGCAGCTATTCAGTTTAAAATTTTCTACATCTTTTTACAACACGAAGAAGTAACACTACAGAAATATTCAATCTCTTTCCATCTTATTCATAACTTACAGTGGTCCCCAAATATTAAGTCTATAAATACTTAACATTAAAGGAGACAGACTTGAGGTTGTCCCTTCTCTGTGGCTTTTAATTCCACAGTTTCATCTAAGCAAACTAGCATGTAAAGAAGAAATCCTTTGAAGCTATGGATAAAATTGGTAACGACAGCTCAATCCAGGTTACAGACCTACTCAGGGCAATTTATTTGTGGTCATGATTATTTAGAATGATCAGACATAGCCACAATTTTCCCTTAATCCCCAGCTAATTTTTGTTTAACCACACCAATGAAGAAAGAGGAAAAATTTCAGTCACTCAAATTCCTCTGTGGAATGCATTCTGGAACATTTAGATGGGGGTGTATTTATCATTTGGGCAATTCATAATACTTCATACAAAGTAATAAAGTCACACTGACAGCCTGATCCTGAAGGCAAGATTAAACTGCCTGCTCACCTTCCCCAATTTTCATCCCCACATTTCTCTAACCTGTGCTCCTTCCAAGGTATAGATAGTATCACTGCTCAGGACATTTTTCTGGTCACAAATTTTTTTTAGGTTGTCATGCCTCCTCTTGTCACAGATACAGGTAATAAGATGTTTTTTATTTAAAATGTTTTCCTTTTTCTGTTTAATGAGGCAAGGTTTCCCTGATCTGCAAAACAAAAGTAAGTTCAAAGAAAACCCTTGTTTCCCTTTTGATGTGTGCTTATGAGTAATAGTGTGGTGATTATGTTATAGACAGAATACATGCTCTTTATACGGTCGAGAGGAAAGATGACTACTTTAGGCAGAAACTCCCAGTAAGATCATGTCTATATTTGCTATTAGGTACCAGGCTGGACAAAAAGAGAAGAAAAAAGGGGAAGGACAATGAGGTAATTAAAAAATGAAATTGAGAACCAGGCAAAAAAGAATGAAAAGGAGGTATCAAAAAAAGTGTTGGATTTTAGGAAGCAGTGGAGTGCCATTCATCATACTCCATGTCGTATTGCACTCAATTTATAAAACATTTTCACACTATGGCCTTTCCCATTAAGGCCCCAAATTTCCTTCCTGCTATTCCAGATACTGCTCAGCAAACTGTTCTACAAAAGAAATTTTTACTGAACAAAGATTATCAGGAAAATCCCACCTTACAGGAAAGAGTAAAATATTAAGAGTCTACCTGATTCAGCTTTTCATTCAATTAAGGTTTATAGGAATGTGTACATAGGAGTGGTTTCAGCTCCAACACGATTCCAGGAGCAAGTGCTAAACTTTGATAGGAAATAAGTGATTGTAGTGAATAACCCAAGCAGCACTCCTATAAAGGTACAAAGAAATCTTATGGAAAATCTAATGAAACTGATAAACTATTGTTTCTGCCATATTTACCATAAACCTTTAGTGGTAAAAAAGTTGAAAGTAGTTGTAAATCTCCTTCATCAGCAACTAATGCTACCAAAAAAGAAGTGAGGCAGAAATGTAAAGGTTTTAAAGAAGATTTTTAAACAACTCTTGAAATATTTTACTCAAGTAGTTTTTTTCTTAAAAGTTTTTAAAAATTATTTTTCAGAGTTCATAGCTACTGATAAAGGTATTTTCTTAATTATGGAAAGCCTTTTTTTCAGCTATCACAAATGAAATTACATCTTTTCATTAAATATAAACACACAAAAAATAAATTTACAAATAACCAAAAAATTTTATATTTTCCTACCTTGAACACATTTCTTCAAAGGGTTAGCTTGAAAAATACATGTCTAAGATTACAGAATATTCAATAGTTACTTTTAGGGTTTTAACATTATTTTAGATTTTACCACAGAGTTTACCAAAAAAATAACAACAAAAAAACCTGCTAAACATCAAATACCACTTGTCCACTGGGAACAATTCAGCTTTCTATCAGTTGAGTTGGTTAGATCACATTAAGTTGTTATGTATAGGTATTGACCAGAAGCCTACAATGAGATACAGATTTTACACTAAGATTGAAAAAATTTATGGTACCAGCTCTTTTTCTCTTAACTTTCTACACTAAGAGAAAAATACATTACTTGGCCTACATCTTAAAGCATTCAAAATAGGCCCTCTGTAAGTTTTTAACAAATTGTATTTGTATTTAGGTCTTTAAGAAACAACCTGAGATGATGGTAAGTGTCTCATTCCTCATTTGACAAATGAGGACAAATCACTCCTTGAGAACTAAGGTCATTTCAATCCATAGCACCCCTGACCTAGTGCCATGATTCAAATTCACAACTCTTGATAGCTAAGACTTTGACTGCTCCAACTAGCAAATCACATATAGCCATTCCCTAACTTTGTGTTTCCCAAATCTAGCTGTGAATCAGAATTACCACAGGATGCCTTAGCCCTACCCTTGATCTACTGAAGCAGAAAATTACTGCCTTAATTCTGTGTGATACAGGTCAGCCTGCCTTTTAATATTTGGATATCTAAAGTGAGAGCATAAATGATGAAGAGACCAGTTTATAGGACTATTTCTCACACCGTCATGTAAAGTTGGTATGTGTCTTTGCTCCATTAAAGTATTTCTGACCTCAATCTTAAACTTTGCTTTGTCAAACAAAATCATGCTGATTTCAAATCCAATTAGAAAATAAGTATGTACAGTAAAAAGTAAACTTGGGCTTCAATTAATGAAACTTTAACAGAAACATGGCTAGAGAGGAATCTCCTCCTATAAGAGAAAAAAATGATTCACAACAACTGCCTACTAAATACAACTGGAAGTGCCTTTCCCTATTTTGTAAAATCGAATGAAAAACCCACAAAACACATCCACAGCAATACAGGTGAGGCAAGGGTCTATATTCCTTTCTATTACAGGTGGGGTCTTTTATATGTCTCAAACCTGAACAAAATACAGGTAACAATCTAAATTCAATCATGACAATAAAATACTTTCCATTTTCCAAGTCTGATGGTAATAAATATTTACATTTTAAAAAATAATTTTTGTTCTTTTTTTTGTTTTTTAAAAAGACACAACATGCTCAAGGGTACACAGAATATGGAAAAAGTCATCACTTCATTTGAGAGATCAACTGGTAATAAAAAACAATGTTCTTACATATTAACCAATTCAAGAGTGGTATCACCAGGGAGTCTAACATGGTGTTTACTTCAAAGATGATATTCAAGTATGTTATTTGGAACACTATTTCTAATGTATCTATAAAGAAGCAAGCACTGCTATCTAATTTTTATAGTTTTTAGTATCTTCTATATCCACCTCCTCCACCACCACCACCACCACCACCACCACCTCCTCCATATGGATCTCCATAGCCTCTTCCACCATAGCCCCCTCTTCCACCATAACCCCCTCTTCCACCATAATCTCCCCTGCCTTGGAAACCTCCTCTACCACCTCCTCCTCCTCCCCCCCACCCTCCTCCCCCTCCCCCACCACCTCCCCAACCTCCTCCTCCACCCCCCCAGCCACCTCTCCCACCCCCACCCCCACCACCTCCTCTACCACCACCTCCACCACCACCACCCCAACCACCCCTTCCACCGCCGCCTTCTTGTCTCTTTTGCCAAGGGGGCATTTCTGGAGGTGGTGGTTCAATTTCATTCGGCCGGCCTCCCCTGTCAGGCACCCTTCCCATCAGCACCTGTGTGAAGAAACATTTTCTTTTAGTTCCTAATATTTCAAAAAAGTTTACATAAAAGTTTCAAGTGATGTTGTTTCTAATAAACAGAAGCCAATATTTAAGGACATGAAAGTACCAGACATGGCAGAACAAATTAATATTAAAAATATTAAGTGTGGAAGGATAAGGAGAAATCTGTTAAAGGATACAAAATCACGGCTAGACAGAAGTAATAAATTCTAGTGTTCTATACCATTGTATGATGACTGTAGTTAATATATAGTTTCAAATAGCTACAAGGAGGATATTGAATGTTTCCAACACAAAGAGATGATAAATGTTTGAGAGGGATATGCCAATCACCCCGTCTGATCACTATACATTGTATGTATCAAAACATCACTATGTACCTCATACATATGTACAATTATGGTGTTTCAATTTAAAAAATAATTTTTTTACTTCCTGTTTACCAAGTCTGAAGAAAAAAGAAAAAAATGAATGGTTTTAAAAAGGAAATATGAAAAAATATAAAATGTGTGATACATGACAAATTCCTTAGTGTATATATATATATATATATATATATATTTTTTTTTTTTTTTTTTTTGAGATGGAGTCTTGCTCTGTTGCCCAGGCTGGAGTGCAGTGGCATGATCTCAGCTCACTGCAAGCTCTGCCTCCTGGGTTCACGCCATTCTCCTGCCTCAGCCCCCCGAGTAGTTGGGACTACAGGCACCCGCCACCACGCCCAGCTAATTTTTTGTATTTTTAGTGGAGACAGGGTTTCAACGTGTTAGCCAGGATGGTCTTGATCTCCTGACCTCGTGATCCGCCTGCCTCGGCCTCCCAGAGTGCTGGGATTACAGGCATGAGCCACCACACCCAGCCTAGAATATATTATTTTTAAACAATCTGAGAGAGTATTTCTGAAACTTAAAGGCTTAATTTTTTTCTCACTTAAATTTGTTTAGCAAATTCTGTAACAAATGTAGTACCCATTTCACTAAGAAGTTCTTTTAGGAAAACATTTTTTATATATATAACGACATACCTTACATTCATTAACTTAATATCCATTTATACAATAACAACTCTGGACTTTCCATTGCCATTGATTTGGTAATTGATTATCCAATAAAAGATTATATTCCTAAGCACATTTCATTTCAAAAATGTATGAAGTACATATAACATGGGACCTTAATGAGGTCAGAGATTGATATAAAAACTATAATTCCAGGTATCACTGCAAAGAGAGAGAAGGATTCTCAATGAACTGCTTCTTTTAAGAAACTTAAGCTCACTTACTTTCAGTGATGATACTAGTACCATATTATTAAAAGGAAAACACAGTTAATATAATTCCTTTACTATGCTTTATAATCCTTTCAAAAATAAACTAGGGAAGAGTTTAAGTATCCAACCTTCTATAAAAAGTAGCAGCTTTATATGCCATGAGCAGAGGAAAGATAGCAATAAGAAGGGTGTCATCTGCTCACCACAGACAAGGGGAAGCCAATAGCTTCCTGCTACTGCCTTTCAGGAAAGAAAGTAAAAAAGCAACTGCCTCAACCAAAATGACCAATTAATTATACACTTCCATTGATCCTCCAATCAAAACCAAGTTTAGGATTTATGTCACAAATGAAATATAAAAAGTGCAATATCCTCAAAGTGAGACAAGGTTCTAAGTATGCAACATTCTTTTAAAGATGGCAATGATGTCCTAACTACCAAATCCAAAAAACAGCCTTTCTTGGTTATTATTCTCACTGGTCTCTCTACCAAACATGGTATGTTGGTGGGCATATGGAGATGCCAGAACTGATCATAAGACTACCCTCAAATAATGAGACCATAAATTATAAACTCAGAAGAGATGGCCAATGTTACTTACAGAAATAGAACTCTTGATCCAGCAAGACTAAATTATCACCCAATGCAAGATGTTAGGTAATATATTTAAAGAGAGAACACTTTCAGAACATAGGATTGAGCCACAGTGGAAGCACAGAGGCAAACACTGGTGATGCCTAACTTAGCAATAGTTAGCAAAATGACTTTAAAAACAACCATCCCTCTGAAAAGGTATTTTATCTCAAGTTACACTGAGTGAGAAGCGATGCTTTAAAATTATCCAAATCCCTTATTTCTGATTTTTTGCTCTTTTGTAATAAAGTTTGCCATGGAGTGCTCTACCTAAATGAAGAGGACATGCCAGTTAAGCTGACATAAACATACTAAATTACTTTATTGTTATTGCTGTTGTAAAGTGAAAAATTCAGACTCCTTGAGCTTGTTTAAATAGACTACTGTCAGAGAAATGGATGTATACTCCAAATCAGGAAACAGAAGCTCAAAGAAGTTCAGTAGCTTGCTCAGGGTCATTTCTGTAAGTAAATGACAGAGCCAGGATGGGAACCCAGATTGGTCTGACTCTAAAGCACAAACTCTTCTTCCCTTTACACCAAGGATATAACGAATCTGTCAGTACTTGAAACAATTCCGAAAGATTCTTACTGACAAAAAATGATTACTTTTTAGAAAGATGGAACATAATTCTTGCTAAAGCTTTGACAAAAACAATTCATAATTCCTCTAATTCAGAAAATACTTTGATTTATGAATACACAAATTCAAGTGAACATACACACATACACAAAAATAACATAACTAAGCCTAGACTGAACCCCCCTGCCACTCTTTTTTCTAAACATTTACCAGGACATGAAAGAAAAATAGACTAAAATCTGTAAAAACATTAAGTAAGATATCATCAATTCATTTTCCACTGTACTGAAAGAAACACCAACCTTATTAATGGCACATGCGGTCTTCTCCCGGCTGGTGCCACTACTTGTCCTAATGATCTTGGATAGATCTTCACGAGCAGCAAGTAGATGTGCCATTGTAATCGTTGTCTTGGGTGACAAAGCATAACGCTTAGGCTGATAAATTCTTGCTATATCATCTGTTTTTACCTAAATGACAAGAGTTAAGGAAAAAAGGAACAAAAGTACATTTTAATGAAAGAGCAAAAACAATCATAATCTTTAGAAATAAAGAAAAGGAGATAATGCATAAGCAAGGAGTTAGAAAAGAGCAAAAACACCCAAATATCTGAGAATTTATGAATAATTTAGAACAAATAAAATAGACCAACAGGTGTTAAAAATATGTAACTACCAGCAACAACTCGCTAAAAAATAATAACAAAAAAATTTCTATACATATTAACAAAAAATACCTAAAAAATAGTTTTACCAAAACCACATACAGGACATTTAAAAGGGAAACATCAGTAAATCTTGCAAAAACAAAAGGAAAACTTGTATAAATGGTAAGAAATACCAAGTTTCTGTATGGGAACATTAAGTATTATTGTCAGTTTTCCCCCAAATTAACTTATAATCCTATATAAATAGTTTTTGAGAGAATGAAAAAAAAATCTAAAGTTAAATCCAGAAACTCAATATGTAAGAATAACTAAAAGCATTTTGAAATATAATCCTACCAAATACTAATATGCTATAATACAAAATTATCATCATCTTATCAGTTAACATTTAATGAGAACTTATTAAATGTGCCAGGATGCTGTTCACTTAGTAAGGCATTATTTCTTTAATCCTCAAAATATCCTTTTAGAGTGGTTGGTTTTTATTATCCCCTTTTGCAGATGGAAAAAAAAAATGAGGCATAGAAAGCTTAAGTTAGTTTCCCCAAAATATAGAGAGAATCCTAGCTCTGCCCACTTAGCAACAAAGGTCTACCTGACCCCCAAGCACAGGTCTAGTATAGATAACAGTTTGCTATCCTACCTCCATCTAATTAACTAGAACTTGGGAGAAAAAAACATAGATTGATGAAATAGTATATTGAGACTCAGAGCCTCATAAATCTATGAATGCAATAAATGATAAAGGAGACATCACAGATCAACGAGAAAAGGAAAGGATTATCTTTTAAATGGTGCTGGAATGACCTGGTGGCTATCTGTAATAATAACAATAATACAGCACACCATATAACAAAGGGAATTCCAAAGAGAACAAAAAGTTAACTGTTTGAGGTTTAATTTTCAATTTAAAAACAACTACATTATAAAAATTAAAATTTCTGTACTTTAAAAGATATAAAACAACATCTAATGACAACTGGGGAAAATATTTTCAACAAATAATTCAACCAGCAAACTTCCTTTCTATATAAAAACCTCAAACACAAAAAGAAAACAGAATTTTACAGGAAAAAAAAATGACAAGACATAAATAGAAGTTAAAAAGAGGAAATTCAAATGACTAATAAGCTTATGAAAACAGTTCAACTTTGTCAATAATAAGAACAGACAAAACAAGTTAGTCTTTTTAACATCAAGTTAGCAATAAAGAGGCTAAAGTGACACAACATTTCATTTACCTTACTGGAAGGAGTTTAAATTCATATAAACTTAAGTGGAAAACAATTTGGCCATGGGAAGCGAGAGCATTAAGAGACAAAACCTTTGACACAGTAAATTTCCTTTAAGGAATCCACCATAAAATTTTACTCTGAAATTTATATATAAAAATTAAACACAGAAACATGCCTGGTATTGTTAATATAGAAAAAAATGTATAAAATAAGAGAAGTAAACTATTGAATCACTAAATGATAAAATATAATGCAGCCATAAGAAGGATACTGAAAGAAATTTAGTACTGTTACATGCTATGACATGAATAAACCTTGGAAACATTATGCTAAATCAAAGCCAGATGCAGAAGCCACATATTGTATGATTCCATTTATATGAAATGTCCAGATAGGCAAATCCATGGAAATGTAAAGTATATTATAGTAATGGTTGCCAGGGCATGGAGGTAGGGAATATTGGGAATGACTGCTGAGAGGTAGCTATGTCATTTTGGGATGATGGAAGTGTTATGGAATTACATATAGGGTTACACAACACAGTGAACAGACTAAAAACCACTGAATTGTACACTTTAAAATGGTATATTTTGGCCAGGCACAGTGGCTCATTCCTGTAATCTCAGCACTTTGGGAGGCTGAAGTGGGAGCATTACTTGAGGCCAGGAGTTTGAGACCAGCCTGGGCAACATGGCAAAACCCTGTCTCTATAAAAAATAAAACAAAATTTTTAATTAGCCAGGTGTGGTGGCACACGTCTGTAGTCCCAGCTGCCTGAGCGAAGGCCACAGTGGGAGGATCACTTGACCCTCCAGTGAGTTGCAGTGAGCTATGATGATGGCACTGCACTCCAGCCTGGGCAACAACAAGACTACAACTCAAAAATAAAAATAAAATGGTAAATTTTATGTTAATTATATCTCAAAAAAATTAAGAGTTAATTTTAAAAAGGGTACTAAAATAGAGTTTTTAGAGATATTGGAAAATGGTTACAATATATTTAGTGAAAAAGCAAGCTATAAAATTACATTCACAATATTATCTCAATACTAGTAAAACAGTGAAGAAAAGAAACTACATAACCTTTCTAATAAATGACTATAATCTGTTTGAAGGGCAACTCTGGAGTATGCATCAACAGCCTTAAAATCATTTCCCTTAATCAAATAGTTCACTTTTAGGAATACATCATGGACATGAACAAAAATTTAGCTGTCAAGGATTTTATTACAGGGTCAAAGAGGCAAAATTAGAGAAAACCTCAGTGTCTATGAATACAGTATATATATGCATATAATAAAATACTGTGCAAAGATTTAAACTGCTGTAGAACAAAGTTGATGACAGTCACTCAACAATATCAGACGTATTTTTCTATCACGAAAATAGGGAGAAAATGATAAAGATATAATAAATTCAACAAGAAAACTTAGTATACAAATGCATATAATCATATAATCAATTGAAAAAGACCAAATGAAAGGCCAAAACTGATCCATGCATAGTCTAAGGAAAATATATTTTTAAAAACCTTCCCAAATAAGAAAAAAACAAAAACACAAACTCCTTGTCCTAAAACATGAAGAAAAAAGACCAACATGAGAAGATAAAATATCAAGATATTTCCTAAAGGAATATTTGCTCAAAGCTCCCATTTAAGTCCAGTTCAGGGGTCAAACATGCCCATGAATCTATGTCACTGAATGTTGAAAGAATATATCAAAACTCACTTATTTTGGATTTCTCTGTAATCTTAATGCCAACATTGAAAATATCAAAGTACGTTAAGACAATTTTAATGCAAATACCCTTCACAATTTGCCTAATATTCCTACGTTCCTTTTTCTCATTAAAATTCTGTTAGGTTAAACTGGAGACCCAACATAGATAAAACCTCTATTTAAGTTTCCAGAGCTCAGTAATGCTGGTGCTTCCCACACATCTGAACTCTATTCCATTTCTTGAGGTAAGCAATCATGTCATCTGCTTCGTTGGTAACTTACAGCTCTTAACAGCACTCGAGCTTCTTGCACAAAGCAGTTACTCCAATGAAATACACAGACATCCCTGGAGTTTATCCTGGCACACATGCAGAAGTGAATCAGGCTTTAACCACCCAAGAAGCTGATTAGATATTACACACACAAATCTTCTATACCTAATCATACGGAGTACTGAGATATTCATCCTGAACCAGGTACATAGTACCTGACATATACAAAGTGCTGAATGTTTATTAAAGAAAATGCATGAATGATGGTCTTCAATCCCTGTTCTAATCACTCTTCACTTTTCTGTATCTGTCAGGTGTTTGGAAAGGGACTCTATGTAAAACACACGAGGGAGGATTTCTAGGTAAATGAATCATACTGAAGACACTAAATTATAAAAGGTACATATATCCTATGACAAGAAGAATGAAAGAGAGACAGATAAAAAGGGAACCAACATTTCAAAACACTCAAAGTCTATTTGTAAAATAGGCCATCCCTCCAACCCCTGGTGACATGCTGCTACTCCTTTCCTGGACAAAGAAAAACACAGTATATAGGAAAAAAAAATGAGGTTTATCTTCCTGAGAAAATGAGCAGCTACAAAGACTACACGTTGGCATTAAGAATTGCCACAGCACATCGGCCAGCTCCAAAACCTGACATTAACCATCCCTAATAACGACTGTAGTTCCCAATAGGCTTTATAGTGCTTTACTCTTTTCTTTTTGTTTTAAGAGACTGTGACTCGCTATGTTGATCACGCTGGTTTTGAACTCCTGGCCTCAAGTAATCCTCCCAGCTCAACCTCCCAAAGTGTTGAGATTATAGGTGTGAGCACAGCACCTGCCCCCCAACCCCAACTGCCTTTATCATTAGAGACAGAGTCTTGCTCTGTCGCCCAAGCTGTAGTGCAGTGGCATGATTATAGCTCACTGCAGCCTCAAACTCCTGGGCTCAAGCAATCCACCCGCCCCAGCCTCCTGAGTAGCTGGGACTATAGGCACACAATACCATGGCCAGCCAGTGCTTTACTCTTAAATATGGACAACCAAAAACTACCATGCAGCTGAGGAAGCCACCGACATGGGAGAGACCAAGAAAAACAAATAAACAAAAAATTATGCTAGAGGAAACAGATAATTGAAAGCAAAAAAAAAAAAAAGCAAAGTTTCTATCTTTAATCAAGATGATAGCATACCAAAATATATTTTTAAAAAATCAAGAATCAAAAAGAATTTATGGAAATTTAAAAAATAATTGCAGAAACAAAAATTCAACACCAAGTATAAAATAGTTAAAAACATTTCTGAGAAACTGAATTAAAAAAGGAGAGAGAAAATGAGGGGAAAAAATAAAACAACTTAAGCGAGTCTATCTAGAATGTTTAATATCTGACTAAAGCATTTCAGAAAGAGAATACAGAAAAAAGGGAAAAAGTAATAAAGGAAAATATAAAAGCTAAAACAGTCTACATATTGAAAGGTCCATCTAGTAGGGCACAATGAATGAAAAAAAATTCAGACCAACACATATTGTGCAATTTCAGAACTCCAAGGATAAAGAGCCCAAAAGCTTACAGAGAAACATAACAGGTCACACAAAAACACAGAGAATGGAGTCAGTTTTCTTAATGGCAGCACTAAATACTTGAAAACAATGAAGCAATGCCTTCAATATTCTTAGAGAAATACATTTTCAACCTAGAATTTTATATTCAAATGTGAAAGCAGACTAAACATTTTCAAAATGCAAAGAGATTGACAAAAATCACCTCCTATGCACTCCTTGTTTGGAAATTACTTGTGGATTTCCTACAGCAGAACAAGGGGTAAATAAAGAGTGAGCCATGGGATCTAGAAGGTAGTAGAGCAGCCAAGGATAGCCATGCAAACAGCAAAACTGCAGTAAGTGGATGCAAGTTTCTGAGAGAAAAAGTATACAGAAAATGGAGAACTCATTAGAAGACCTAATTTTTTAAAGTATAGTTTTTTAAAAAAAAGCATTTTATCATATTGCAGAAATACAATGCAAGAAAAAATAAAATTCATTTAGAAGCCCCTTTGTAAGTTGACTAGCCCTCCAAAGAGGTCCACATCCTATTTCCTAGAACCTGTGAATGCTACCTTACAGATGCAGGTATGATTAAGTTAAACATCTTGAGATGGAGAGGTTATTCTGTATTATCTGTGTGGGCCTAATATAATCACAAGGGTTCTCATAAGGGAGAGACAGGAGTGTCAGAGACAGAAGGCGATGTGACAATGGAAGCAGAGAGAGAGAGAAAGGCTGGAAGATTCTACCGGGCTACTGGCTCTGAAGAGAGGAGATGAAGCCAACAGCTAAACTATGCAGGTGGCATTTAGAAGCTAGGAAATGCAAGGAAACAGATTCTCCCCTAAAGGATCCAGGAAGAATGCAACCCTGCCAATACCTTCACTTTAGGACTGCTAATCTCCAAATTTTAAGAGAATAAATCTGTATTACTTAAGCTACTAAATTTGTGGTAAACTTTCACAGCAGCCATAGGAAACTAATATATCACATGGAAAGAGATGTCATGTGAAAGACAAGAAGGTAACAGAAGCACCACACTTATGAGAAGCTAATGCCTGATGATCTGAGGTGGAACAGTTTCATGCCAAAACCATCGCCCTGCCCCCCAACCCTCCATGGAAAAACTGTTTTCCATGAAACCAGTCCCTGGTGCCAAAAAGGTTGGGAACTGCTGGCATAAGTGACCCCAACTGATCCAGCATGGGGCAGAAGAACTGCCCAGTTAATTCAAAAAATGTAAAAATAATAATACCTGAAATTCCACTTTCAGTCAAGATACAGTAATCGGCACCAGATTAACTCTCCCACCTGAAACAACTAAAAAACTGGATAACCCATGTGATGTGAACCAATGATGGTCAGACACTGGACATCAAGGAACACAGGACAATGATCCCTAAATGAGGAGAAGCCCTATAATTATCTCAGCTTACTGCCTGGAGAGTTTCCAGGCAATGATGCAGGGTAGGGAGAGCGGGGGTGAGGAGTGATCCCAGACTAAGCATGGGTACAGATTAAAGGCATAAAATGGGAATGATGGGAGACAGCTCTTTAGAAAGCTATCTGAAGAGATTCAAATTTGGAAATGCCCTCACCTCCCAACCCCCTCTTCAACTGAAACACATTCTATATTCATCCAGCCTTAAGATACTTTTAAGGCCTGTTGGCATCAGTACTACCTGCAACTATTCTTATATCCTGCTTTCTTCTTACACTGCTCACTGTATCTATCTCATTATCTCATATGATGCCCCTTCTTTTATGCATATCCTGGCATAAATCACAATATCTATGAGTTTAAAATAAATGTCAAAAATGTGGGGAGAAATTAAGTTATATGCAACAGGGATTTATACAAGACCAGGATCATCTTGTAAGACCAGTAGTTGGCCTGGGCATGTAGTTGAGATGGTGATGAAGTACAAATGTGGCATGGTTACATAACAGACAAGCAAGCCAGAAGAGCTGTTATAGGCTACCACCTACAGGACACATATGGGAAAACAGCCTTACCTTTGCTCTATCAGACCATCCAAAGGACTGTACAGTCACATCTAATCGTTTCATTAACATTCGTCGGCGGCACTCATATTCACAGGAAAGAGCATCATTGATTCTTTCCAGTTGTTCCTAAAAAATTTGGAAACAAAAATAATAAACTTTAGATTCTTTCATTCTGCAAAGAAAAGAAATCTGAAAATTGTGCTAAGTACTTCCTACTGAGTCAAAAGATGTACTTACTGACCATTTTCTGTTCCCATGAGACTTTATGGTAAATTATTTAAATACTAAAGCATAATTGAAAGAACATTTATGATATCCAGAAGACATTAAACATACAAATTAAACTCCACCCGTTGGTAGAGTATACTTTATCTATAATCAAATTTGTTAATTTAAGTAAAACATTTACCTGCTAAGCAGTCTGGACCAACAAGGAAAGAAAATACCAATAACTCATCTTGCTGGCTTTGAGCCTCTGTTCTTTTCAAATCACAACTGTGCTAGCACATTGAGCACTATCAATATCCTCAGCCAGGTATTTTTAAAAATTAATAATTTAACTAAAGAAATGTTAGGACATATTACTCCAGAATATCAATCAATTTTAATTCTACAAAATAATATATGCATGCTACATATTGCAAAATAGATGTTCATTTATAAAATTAAGTCATATTCACTAATGTAATTACATAAAACTAATAACAAAAAGGGGGATTTACCGCCTGTTCTGAATTTAAATCCATTTTCAGCAGTGGTTTTCCCACATGATTTTTCTGGACCTTTGAGAGAATATCTTTCACCTAAAAGTAAATATAAAAGATTGTGAAAAATGTATATTCC
Source organism: Homo sapiens (assembly GCF_000001405.40). NCBI lineage: Eukaryota > Metazoa > Chordata > Mammalia > Primates > Hominidae > Homo > Homo sapiens. Next base: position 38,473,464 of record NC_000015.10, on the reverse strand, counting down.
TAATTTAAAACAATCTTATGCTTGTTTAAAGTATCGCTCTGAACACTACAGAATAAAATATTAAAGTGACATAATTAAAATATACCATCATATACCAGAATACCACTACAATACAGAGTATCTTTTTCAAAAAAGCACATTATATTCATTCAAGCTATAGAGCACATTCTTTCCCAGCGTAAGAACGAACATACACAGACAGCTAAAGAAGTACCTAGGTTCTACTATGAGAATCTGTGTCTTAGTGAAATAACTTTGGAGTTCCTACTTAAGATAGCACTTTCTTACTTTCTAGTAAATTTTCAAAAGGGATACTAAAACCTTTAACCAGCACATTGATTTTTCTCAAATAAATGCTATGTACACATTCCAGTTGTAAGTACTCTTGTTTCATTGTTCAGCAAGACAACATAAGGGAGCAAGCCATCTCTCTCAATTACAGTCATCACATACATATTTTCATTACTTTTGCAAAGCCCCTAATTTAAATTACTTGAAACATTTTTATTTTGATAAACAAGATATTAGGCATTTACTTTTCCTTTAGCAATATCAGGGTCATTCAATAATTTATCCTCCTAACTAAAGGATTAATTTACCTTCCTGACTGGAGAATCCATCATTAGCTAAATAAAATATTTACAAAACCAAATGAAATACAGTTTTTTTTACAAGGTAACCAAAGGAAACAACCAAGGGCAGTTCAGATTTTAAGGAGCATGAAGCTTATTTAATGTTGGGGGCACTCTTTAAGGAAAGAATTCAAAATTAGCTTGGAAGCTGGGGTTGTAATGTGGAGTAACTGTAAATGGGCACAGTTGAGGTTTCTTCTGAGGGTGATGGAAAAGCTCTAAATTCAAGAGTTTGGTGATGGTTGTTTAACTCTGTAAATATACTAAAATTCACTGAACTATATATATATACTTAAAATGGGCAAACTTTATGGCATGATTACATTTCATAAATGGTGTTTTAAAAAAATTAGCTTAGAAAGAACCTGTGCAAATAAGAGACCCCAAAACTTCAGCTTTAGTAGCTTCACAGCAAATCTACATCTACAATGATACAATTTCTCTACTGATACAATTTGTACATATTTTAAAGAAATTATTAATTTATTTTCTTAAAATGGACCATTTCTGTAGATTCTCCAACTGTTGTAAATATATCCAATTTTAGGTTTTTTCATACATTATAAAAAGTATGAGTTGTAACTCCTCACTCCAGAGGAATTCTCAATGTATACTTGTAGTTTGTTACGTGTAATCACATTCAGCTCCATTCCTAGGATTCCAACATTACGTAATAGTTTTAATAAATCTGAAAATCACTTGTTATAGAGTAAGTTAAGGGCACAGGCTCTGGAGGTTGACTACCTGGGTTTAAACCTCAGGTCTACCACCATTTAGAAATTTGCTTGTTTAACTTATTAGATCTTTCAGTACCTCAGTTTCCTCACATGGTTGTCTAGGTAATACAACACAGGGGTGATGTATTACCCATAACCACGGGTGATGCGAGAACTGAGTTATTACATGTAAACATTTATAACCACCTCACATGGGTGATGTGAGAATTAAGTGAGTTATTACATGTAAACATTTAGAACAGTGAATGCTATATATTTGCTATTATACCATCACTATGTATCTGTTATAATTATACCACTATAAATACACATTTGAACAACTTGAAGTTAGAAAATAATACTTTCCTTCCCCAATGGTAACAAAGTGTCTTCTGGACACATCACATGCAGAAGAAAGAAAACATGAAAATGTTTACTTTTGGTTAAAAACTGAATAGAGTAGGAAGACCTTTTAAGTAAATATTTAGCCAAGATGGCCATAGTAACAACTACCTTATAATTAGTATGCCAGTATTTGAACCGAGGCATTACAGACTACTTCAAGTAGGGCAAAGAGGTAATTGAGAATGTTAATACTAAATAAAAACCATAAAATGGAATAGCCTCTTTGAATTATAATGAGCTCAGAAATCTGTCTCAATCTGAAATAGTCCCAGAAAATTTAGCCAACCCCAGATCAGTCTTCATCCAGAGGAAAACAGAAAAAAATTCTGAAGAGTAACTTGTTAACTCTATAAGAATGTTTTTGAGCTGATTTTCACAGACTTACTCTCTGGTTTGCAAGTTCTACCAAAAAAAATTTTTTTAATATTCTGTTTTTATCTTAATGATACTATAATTCTCTTACATTAAGACAAACCTTATTTTTCAGTTCATAAATTATCAACGCAAAAGAGATCTTTACTGAACAAGGATTTAATTTAAGGCACTGTGTCTAAAAATGGAGTTATGTACTTATTCTTGAAGATTAGGCAAGAATTTTATTTTCCTTTAAAATGAATCCTGTATTCTTCCCCTAGAGGACTGCATATTTAACAAATGAAACCCAGGAACTAGGCCAGAATTTGGTCTGTGAGAGTAGCATCCTCTCTAATATATGGCTTGACAGGGAACAAGAGTTGCTTAGTAACTGAAAAAAAAAAAAATGCCAAAGTACATAAGGTACATAGTTTGTAGTTGTTTTTAACTACCCCCATCAGGGTACTAATTAATACATTCTTCCATTCATTATATAATGCACTTACTCTTACTAAACATTTATCCACCAAAAACTGCATGCTCACTGCCAAAGAAACCACTCTGCAATTCTATTAACATCCATTTTTTAAAAAGTTTAGTTTCCTTTCACTTTGTAGGATAACTCTACTTCTACTTCTTTCTTTCTTTCTTATACTACATTAAAACCCTGGTTAAGAAAGTGATCCTTAAATTTGCTAAGTGATTTCTATCATGGTAAACTCTGGCAAAGCTGAAGGCCAGTAACTCATTAAGATTTGATTCCTGAATATCAGCTACTGACAGATTAGGTCACATGCCTGTTAAGTCTGAATCCAAAACTGGGTTTATATGAAGATAAACTCTTGAAATAAAATGTATACCTCATAATTATAGGGAATAGTTTCATTTTTAATATAGCACTTACATGTTACCATTCAGTTGAATTTTGGGGAAAATAAAACAAAGATAATACCTTTGATTCCACTTGGTTTAGCATATGCGGAATGTCAGAAGTTGTTGACTTGGGTATACCAAGTGTATCAAACATAGCTTGAACTTCCTGATAAACTTCACTATTTTTATCTAATTGAGAATTTTTATGTTTCTTGTTCTGTAATATCTGTGAAGCTTGAAGTTCTGTACTTAAAAATACTACAATAAAGAGAAAATAAATAATGTTAATACATGTATAAGAATCTCTTGAAATATTTCACTGAAATTATTCACTTAAAACAAGTATCAATTAATACCAATAATGCCAACTTACAAAGACCCAAAGAACAACAGTTGTAGAACACTGTACACTTATAAACGAAGTGATTCCCTAGTCCATAGCAAGTGTTACGTTTTTTTAAATGAAATGAGAAAAAACAACTAACTAAAGCTATATAAAATAGACACCCTATTAAATGCATTTACACTGTAAATGCCACTTTAAATGGTTGATTCTTTTCACACCGGAGGAGCCCTAGCAGCTCCTACTGGAGTTAAGCAGGCAAAGATACAGGCCCCCAGAAAACAGCAGCGTAACTTTCATCTACTTTACCTAGAGAGGTTTAACCTAAGACTTAGTTTGAAACAGATGAATGGGTACAAAAAAAAAAAGGGCACTACAAGCAAAAAACTAAAATGAATTTATTTAATACTACCAGGAAAAAGAGAAATGGTTTATTTTATTCTCTTCGATTTCACACTAGCTGGTTTCAGTTCAATTTTAATTAACATATTAAATGATCTAGATTGCTATTTCAGTAAGTACATGTCTACCAAGGACCTGTTCTGAGCCAGGAACGGTGTGAACAATGGGGATGCCAAGTCAAGGAAGATATGATGCCTACCCTCAAAGAGTATAAAATCCAGTAGTTGAGACCCACCACCAAATCAACAATTTAAGAACAGACAAGAATGTGTAAGACTCTGATAAATTATTCTCTGTCTTATATGTACAGAGCACACAGGTCAGGGGAGAACATATAGCTCTAACTGATATATAAGCACATAGAGCAATTTGAGTCAGGATAAATCACCCCAAACTGTTTACAAGTCCCTTTACTTTCACCGTTTCATCTAATCCTTTCAATAGCCATATTTAAGAAAATTACTCAAAAATCTTAAATGATTATAGTCTTGTTTTAAACAGACTCTTCACTACGGTAGGTAAGACTTTGTTTTTGGCTGGGAGTGGTGGCTCACACCTATAATCCCAGCACTTTGGGAAGCTGAAGCAGGCAGATTACCCGAGGTCAGAAGCTTAAGACCAGCTTGGCCAACATGGTGAAACCCCGACTCTACTAAAAGTACAAAAATTAGCCAGGCATGGCAGCATGCGCCTGTAGTCCCAGCTACTAGGGAGGCTGAGGCAGGAGAATTGCTTGAACCCAGAGGCGAAGGTTGCACTGAATCGAGATCGTGCCATTGCACTCCAGCCTGGGTGACAGATCAAGATTCCATCTCAAAAAATACATAAATAAATACTTTGTTTTTATTTGTTTAGTTAAAATTAGACACAAACGCCACAATTTAATATAGCAGTTTTAACTTCAGCTGAGCAAAAATACATCTGAAAAACAATTTAAAAGTACAGGTGCCAGGGTCCCATCCTCTGAGATTCTGAACAGTAGATCTACAAGTAGGAGTTGGGCATCTGTGTGTGGTTTGTTTTAGACCCAGTATGATTGCCAAGGTCAGGCAAGATTGAGGGTCACTGGTTTAAAGACTTTTCCATGCAGTCTACACATGACAGTTTAAAGAGTCAAGTACCAAAATATTAAGATCAATTATTAAACTTTAAGACCAATATTAAACTTTCCTTATGAGGACTATACTAAGGTCCTTCTGACTTAAAAACTTCATTAAGACCAGCTATGGTGGCTCAGGCCTGTAATCCCAGTATTTTGGGAGGCTAAGGTAGGAGGACAGCTTGGGCCCAGGAGTTTAAGACCTACCTGGGCAACACAGACCCATCTTTACAAAATATTTTTTAAAAATTTGCTAGGCATGGTGGTGTACGCCTGTAGTCCCAGTTATGCAGGCTGAGATGAGAGGATCGCTTGAGCTCCAGAGTTTGAGGGGCTACAATCGCACCATCACACTCCAGCCTGGGCAACACAGTGAGACCCCATCTCATAATAAAAACTTGATTAAACTTGATTAAAACAGATTGCCAGTTTTTCAAAAATTTATATTTTAGACAGAACCTTGGCTGAAGTCTACTTTTGCTCTATGGAAACATGCTTTCTCCATGTAATAGTACAAACAAGGGTTTAGCATTTACGATGCTAATCCATGCAGATAGTAAGCAGTAGAGGGAAAATTAAGCCTTCTTCCTTTTGCAGATCCTTAGATTCCCCCTTCCCAGAGGCAATCACCATTAATTTCTTGGGTATCCTTTTAGGCATGTGTGTGTGTATGTATTCAAGATACCTAGTAGCCATCTGTGTGCGTTTGTTCCTTTTATACAAACAAGAACATGCTATACATGTCCTGTATATTTATTTTGTATTTACCAACATATCTTAGAGATCATTCCACATCAGCACATTTGATTTATCTGCATTCTTCCTATTACCTATCTAGTGACATCACTGCATTAATGTACCACTTCTATTTATCTATATTTATGGACACTCAGGTTTCTGGTCTTTTTATTACTACAATGTCATAATGAACATGGTTTTCATTTATCTTTGTACACTTGGGGAAATAGATATATATTCATAGACAAACAATTGCCAAGTCAAAAGAATTGCCAAGTCCAAAAGCCAAGTGAATTTTAATGTGACATTGAAAATGTGTCCTCCTAAGAGGCTGTACAAGTTATTCTCCCACCACAGTCTAATGTCTGTAGTATACGAAAAGGCTTACTCCCCCAAACTTCTATTATGATTTTTTGAGTGAAAAATGGTATCCTGTCATAAGTGATATTGTGCATCTTGTCATGCTTAGAAGCAGTTAAAAAAAAATTTTCTGTAGAATGCGTGTTCATGTCTTATGTATTTTACACATTTTCCCAGTGGATTTTTATCTTTTTCCTGTTGATTTATAAAAGCTCTTTACATAGTACAGGATTTGGCCCTTTTAATTTTATACATGTTGCAAACACTTTCAAAAAGAACATGAAGAAGCTTATTATATCAATATGATTAAAACAGTCAAACTGAAGAAAGACTAGATGCTGGTAAGACTGTGAACTAGTATAACCTTTCTGGAGCAAAATATGGCAATATACATCTAGACCGGAGACTATTTTAAATGTTCCTAATCTTTGTCTAAGTAAGCAAAAATATAAACAAGGAAATCATTTTAAAATAGAAAAAAATCCAAATACCTCCAAATTTGAAATCTATTACACATAATGTTATGTCAATAGCAGAGCCAATTTAGTTTTTCAAAAAACAAGTGATAGGGAAATAAAGAGAAAAACGACACATCAAATGAAGAGGAGGAGGAGAAGGATCTGAAACAGGATCTTAATCTTATTTAAGAGTGAGTGCGAGTGTGAGAGTGTTGTGTGTATGTACACAGAAAACAGAGACACAATATTCTCTCTAGGGAGTGAGATTATAAATGCTTTTCTTCTTTATGTTTTATGTATTTTCTAAGATTTCTATGATAAGCATGTAATTTTTGCACATATAAAATTTACCATTTTAATCATTTTTAAGTATACAGTTCTATGACGTCACCATCCATCTTCAGAACTTTTTCGTCTTCCTCACTGAAACTCTGTACCCATTAAACACTAACTCCTCATCACCGCCCTCCTGAACATGTTATTTTTATAATCAGAAAAAAACTATATATTTCTGTTAAATTTCTTTTTTATTCCTACTTGTACCAGAAACCTGTATCACTACAATTGCTAAGCTTCTTAGCAGCTAAGGAGAAAGGGAACCATGATGGATTACATAATTCTCATTGACTGATATTAAGGATATGCAAGTTCCTCTAGCCGGTGTTTCCTAGGTTCCTTTCTGTCCCAATATACCTAAGAGTTACTGTGATCTCCCAATAACAGTGGTTCATTAAATCAGTGACTCACACCAAATGGGAGGAAGATGGAGAATGGTGTATTGGGATGGAGAGAGAGGGCATATAATTTTTATCCCCACTCAACACACACAAGGTAATTTCAATGCCAATACTTTTGTCACCACTAAACACACACACACACACACACACACACACACACACACAAATTTCATCTCTAATGAAACAAACTTTATTAAAACACTAGCGCCTAGGAGGAATATGTCACGTGTAATCTTTTTATAAATGGCATGATCTGAAATAGAAATCTTCAATAATAGAAGGTATTAGAAAAATTCTTTCAAATAGTCATTGTTTGTAGAACTTTAAAAACATTATAAAATTAGCCTAAAGTAAAAAAATGATGAAAGGAACCCAACACAAACATGGACCTACTATTTATGGTAATTGTTTGAATACAGTATGACCTATATTCCAAATCCCTCCCTGATGAAACTGGCCACATTTAAAGTGTCCTAAAGGCACAAATTTTATATTTTTTAAAAAAAAACAAAACAAGCAACCCTCATATATCCCTAGTATCCAGAGCAGTTCTTGGTGTTAGAGTAAGTGATCAACAAATTATCATCCAGTGCCTAGTTTCAGAGAGTTTTTAGATTAAATAGGACTTTGGAGATCATCAATGTTAGCCATATAGTCACGAACAATAACAGATAGAATGAGATAAAGGAAAAATTACTAAAGTACTATATAAATCACAAACACAGGACATTCTATATTGGCCAAATAAATCACAAGTGTTAGAAGGCATACTGGTAAAATTTATACTATATTATATAAACATTTCTGAGATAGCTTTGTATTTTAAGTAAAATATTAAAACCCTTTTAATATACAAAATGTCTAATGCTTCATTAATAAATCTTGACTTGAAAATAATAAAAACCATGTCAAACACATGCATTTAAATGTTCAAGATAACTTACATAGAAGTTTCAAACAGTCCTCCTTCTTTTTTAAACGATCTTTAATATCTCCTGATATGAGTACAGAATATGGACATGCCATTTCTTTTAAAAAGCCACTTATCTCAAGCTGGAAGCTCTCTAGATCATCTCTTCCTTTAAAAAAGAAAAATCATAAAACATTTACTGAGCATTTACCATATAATCCAATACTATAAAATCTACTCGTTTATTTCCATTTTACATTCAATTCTAAATTTTCACATTAAATCCTTAAATGTGTGATCACGAAGCTTACGTTAACAACTGAAATAGTAAAAGCATTATTATGGCTATAATTATTAATTCACTTCAGAGCAAATGATCCATTTCTACTATATTTCTATATATTCAGAAAATAAATGCAACCATCTAATTAACCCTCACTGCTTATCTTTATTTCATAATGTAATTATGTAGGCAGTCGTGTTATATGTTTAGAATTCAAATTAGTTTACTTTGCGTCAAGTGAACTGTTAGATCTGGCTGGGTGCGGTAGCCCACACCTGCAGTTTCAACTACTTGGGAGGGTGGGGTGAGAGGGTTGCTTGAGCCCAGGAGTTCAAGTCCAGTCTGTGCAACATAACAAGACCCCATCTCTTAAGAAAAAAAGGATACTTTTCAAAGAAAAAGCTACTTTTGTGAATGCACAATTTTTAATTTTTCTTTTTATTATACTATTAATATCCGAAATTCTACCAAAGACCCACAGGACTCCAGTTACTAAGATGGTAATGAACTAAAGAAGCTTTATGAGCTAGTACAGAAGTTTTTAATAGAAGTATTCCTATGTGAATCCATATCCTGAGCTACAAGCTTCAGAACACAAATTAGGAATTATATATATATAATATTTTAAGCCTTAATTCAACATGAGCACCATTCAAAAATTAAACTTTTAAATAATCAAATTCAGACCCTACTTTTTCTAAAAAACAATACTAAGGTTTAGACAGCAGATATCAGAGCCGTCAGGAAGAGAAAAAAATAGCAGATAAATAGTAATTGCTTATAGTTTTATAGCAAATTTAAATATCAATTCTGGATTAATATAAAATTTAATCCAAAAATGTTTACTACCACATACTGAAATTCTTTGGAATATGTGATTTTTCTTTGTACAGTGGGCACATTATTGATAAAACTATAAACCGTAAGTTATCAGTTTACTATTAAACAGAAAAGTAAATACAACATAATGGCAATACCAGCAGACGTGATACTTTCTTCCAAGTTGCATAATGATTTTATTTGAGAGCCTAACCAAATACAGAGCTCTGAAAATTCAGGTGAAGATAATCCACCCTCTGCCGCCTTTGTAAGGGCTTGCTCTTCTAACAATGGTCCTTTATACCTAGAAAGGAAGAAATACAAGTTAAAAACTAAATAAGCCAATCAAACAAAAAAACCTCCAACACTCTGTGTCAAGGTCTGCTGCTTGTTTTTGTAAATAAAATGTTATTGGAACACAGCCATTAAATGTATTAATCTACAAATTGGCTACGGCTGTTTCCACACTACAATGGAAGAGCTAAGTATTTGTAACCGAAAATGATGACTACATGGCCTTCTAAAGAAATGGTTTGCTGATTCCTGCTCTATATAATTAACATTTGGCTTTTTTCCTATGTTTTAACATTTTACAGTAAAATTATCTACCAATTTTCAGATAAATACCACAGGTATCACAAAGTCAAATACAGCATAAAGTCTAATAGCCTTATATTAATTACAATAAAAATATGGTGAAAAAAGCACAGACACAAATTACAAATTTAAAAAAGCTAAAGTTGAAAAGAATCTATTAGATCATTTTAATCTAAACCTATTTTATTTATTTTACTTTACTATTTTATTTTATTTTATTTTATTTTATTTTATTTTATTTTATTTTTGAGGCAGGGTCTCACTCTGTCACCCTGGCAGGAGTATAGTGACACAATCTTGGCTCACTGCAACCTCCACCTCCTGGGTTCAAGGGATTCTCATGCCTCAGCCACCAGAGTAGCTAGGATTACAGGTGCCTGCCACCACACCCAGCTAATGTTTGTATTTTTAGTAGAAAGGGGGTTTAGCCATGTTGGCCAGGCTGGTCTCCTGAGCTCAAGCAATCCACCCACCTCGGCCTCCCAAAGTACTGGGATTACAGGTGTGAGCCACCGTGCCTGGCCTCATTTATTTATAATTTTACACTTCTAAACATTTCTGCAAATTGTATTTCACAAGAATCTTAAATTTTCAAAACACTTTATATACTATCTTAACTGAATTAGATGATCAGTTTTCTACTTTTATGGTTCTTTTTGCAACTGAACTTTTGTTAACATTATAAAGTCACAGATAATATACTTGATGTGTTTTAATCCATCACAGTTATTCTTTTGATACTCAAATTCTTCTGTCTCTGGTTTATAGTAGCCCATTCAGGTAGGCCAGTCGAGCCCTTTGTCTTGTCCTCCGTACTCTCTGAATACTTTCCTTGCTTTCTACAACAACATCTTCCTGCCTTAGACTTGGAATCAGGCATTTCTCCAAGGAGCCCCGATTCTTTTAATGGTATTTAGAGTACATAATCTGCTACCAAAGGTTGGTCACTGTTTCTATGCCTTTTTCAGAGAAACTATATCAGTTTCATATTGCTATTTCCAACTGGAATTTAGAATTGTAGGGGTTTTACTTATTTTGTTTTACATTTTTATTTATCTTCTCTTACAATGACAATTCTTGTTTTAATAACATTTACAAATTCCTAATATATATTAAAATAGGTATAAATTACTTATGGCTTCAGAATAGGAAATCCAGCATTACTACTAACAATAAAATTACAGTTTAATTTTTTTATATTTACGACGTATTCCTGTAAGGATATACAGAAAAACAATTCCCATGTGATTAAACCACCTACTCAATATATCAATAGACATTTGTTTTGTTCAGCTTTAATTTGTAGGGATTTGTTTCTTTTTATTTCATTTTTGTCTTATAATTATGTAAAACATTAATGCAGTTTCAAAGTCTAACTTAAAAAACAAAATGCATCAGAAAAATCTAGTTTGCAATTTTAATCTTGTATCCTCTACTCTGTTCTCTCCCTCCCCTACAGGTGACCATATTTATTAGTTTGGGGTTGTCCTTCCATCATGTTTTTCAGTATAAATATATGCATTTTTGTCTCCTTTTCCAGATAAAAGGTAGCCTACTATGTACTGTTCTAGTCCTTGCTTTAAACACATACATGCTCACACACACATACATTTACATAGAGTAGAGATCAATATTTAGACATAGTATTCAACCATTTTTACAGTTATATACTACCTCACTGTCTGGATGCACCATATTTTATTTAATCGGCATCTACTAAAGGACACTTGGATTGTTTCCAGTGTTTTGTTAATATAGTTTGGCAAATTTTTGTCAGTTTTTATCTAGGATAGATTCCTAGAGGTGAGACTGTTGGGTCAAAGGGTAAATAGATACATAACTTTGCCAGATACTATTAAATTCTCCTGTAGAGGGGTTGTACCATCAAGGTATCCGAGTACCCATTCCCTCATAATTCATCAAAGTTGTCAAACTTTTGGATTTTTGACCATCTGGTAACTCAGTATAGTTTTATCTACATTTCTCTTACAAGCAAGACGTAGGGTATCTTTGCATATGTTTAAAGGCCACTTGCATTTCTTTTTCTTTGAATTCTCTGGTTATATCAGATGAAGGGTAAGTACAAGTATTTTCAAATCCTCATTTTGTAGGTAAAGAAACTAAGACTTCATGACATTAGGAAACCTGCCTTTATGTAGCAGGCCAGGCACAGTGCTAGGCATATATATATATATATATTTCATTTAATCTTTACAGCAATGCTTTAAGTTAGCATTATCCTAATTCTGTAGAATCAGAAAATGGCACTAGGATTTAAATCCACGTTTAACCCAAATGCTCCATCATTAACATAGGTCTTGTTAGACCTCTGTCTACAACTATAAGGAAACTAAGGAAATAATCTGGTCCAGTTGATACAGCCAAGTAAAGGCAGAGCTGAGACTAGAATATTATTTCTGCACCCCCCAGCTCAAGGCTGGTTCTTCTATGACTCAGCCTTCCTCTATGTCTTACAATGCCTCTCAATGAGATTTCATAGTAAACATCTTATATCCTCTTATTTGCTTTCATTTCTGCAATAAAGCAATACTCATAAACTCTTGAAGAAATTTAATTCATATTGATGTAAGTTTTTTTAACTGAAATGTCAATAATAAAAACCAACAAGAACTGATCAAATCACAAAAAATTCTGAATTTGGAAAAAAAAATCCAATCTTTAATGCCTTAGCTCATCAGATGAAGTAAAAATAAAAAGAGGAACAAATAAATGCATTTAACATACCTGACCATCTAGTAACAATCAAAATCGCAATAGTGGCTAACATTTAGAAAGTGCTAACTGTATGTTGGGTCAGTGCTAAACAATTTATATAAATTGTCTCATTTAGTTGCCACAATACCCTATAAGGTAGATACTATTATTAGCTTCATTTTACAGATGAGGAAGCTCAGGATGATAAAGGTAAATAATTCATCCGGGATGGCCATAATCATAGCTAACAACTGTCCCGGAACTGAGCCACACAACCTACCTCCATAGCCCCACACTCTTAGCCTGTATTGTTCTGTCACCATCCAGAAATGTATCTAATTGTCTTAGGCAATAGAAGTGTCTAAGTATATTCTGCTAGATAACCGAATAAGAATATGAAAGCACTTTTCTGGCTAGAACAGTACTTCTTAAACTTTTATGTGCATATGAATCTCCTGAGGGTCTTGTTAAAATAAAGATTCTAATTCAGTAGAGCTGGAATGATGTCTGGGATTCTGCATTTCTACTCCCCAGGTGATGATGACGCTGCTAGTCCACAGACCTCTCTTAAGCAGCATAGTACTTATTTTTTTACTTTCATTTAAAAAAAAAAACTCTCAATATTTATCATCACTCCTTCTCCTCTTGCAGTACATGAGAAATTACAGCAGGCATTTAAGAGTCTATTTATGCTACATTTAGCAACTGTTTAGTGTTTACCACATTTATTTCATACTGGCTTTGATTTCCAATGCCATTCTGCGTTTACAGAGAATAACCATGCTCCTAGTTTGTTCTATATATTCTTAGTTATTCATCAAAGTGCTACTGTTATTCCAAACACTGGGAACATCTCCCCTAGGCCTAGGCCCTCCCTCAAAGCCTCATACCCTGGAAGCATAGTTGCTGGTCAGACACTACTTCAAGCTGGGTGATCCAAATCTTCAGTCCATTAGGGCTGCTGGCAACTCTCCTCAACAATACAACCAGGGCCTAATTTACTTTCTATTTTCATCAGCCAAGAGATAAAACAGAAGACCCTTTCTTTTCCCATCATTTACCCAACCTATTGTCTTTGCCCCTCATCCAACTCTCTACCTCTCTCTGCTTCCTAAAAATGTCCACTATCTTTCATCTACAACACAGTGGATATTTTGCTATACTGTCCATTTCTTCTCAGAAAGATTATTCCTCTCTTGTTTTCACTCTGGATTCTCCATTTTGGACCCAAACTGAGAAGCCCAGAGCTGCTGCTAGGAGACTGGAGCCAGGGTACCCAAGGGAGCCCATCTCCGGGCGCCCACCCTTGGTACAGGCCACCTCGCTTCGCAGCCCAGGGAGGAAAGGAGAGGGGGTATGTAAACAGCTGTGGGAGTCGGGAGTCTCAGGAGTTGCAGCAAGCCCAAACCCAGGCCCCCCAGCCCAGCCCAGACCATGGGCTCACTGGTTCTTCCACCCAACCAGCCCGCACCTGTGGAATTAGATGGAGCACAGTTCCATCATCACCCAGGCACAGGGGAAGATGCCCTGGTGCTCACCAAGCAAGGCCTGGTCTCCAAGCCCTCCTTAAGAAGCCTCGTGGATATAACATCTTCAAGGCCCTTGTCTGCTATTTTCGCATCCAGCATGGCCAGTCAAGCTCTTCCACTGAGCTCATCCATATAAGGAGGAAGCCAACACCACTGCTAAGTCGGATCTGCTCCAGTGTCTCCAGTACCAGTTTTATCGGATCCCAGGGACGTGTCTGCCCCAAGGTGACAGAGGAAGATCAAAGGAGGATCTGTGTGGTCACTGACCTGGATGAAGCCCTTGTGCATCTTTAAGCCCAGCAACAATGCTAGCTTCACAGTGCCTACAGAGATTGAGGAGACCACTCAAGCAGGTTTCTGTCCTCAAAAGAGCTCACGTGGAAAGAGACGAATGAGAGAACTCTTTGAATGTGTTCCCTTCACTGCCAACCTGGCCAAGTATGCCAACCCTGTGACGGATCTGCTGGCCGGTGTGGGGTGTTCCGGGCTCACCTATTCCATGAGTCCTGTGGTTCCACCAGGGCTGCTAAGTCAGGAACCTCAGCCGCCTGGGGAGGAACCTGAGGAAAACCCTCATCCTGGACAACTTGTCTGCTTCTTACATCTTCCACCCAGAGAATGCAGTGCCTGTGCAGTCCTGGTTTGATGACATGGCAGATACTGAGTTGCTGAACCTGTTCCCAGTCTTTGAGAAGCAGAGCAGAGGACATCTATACCAGCCTTGGGTAGGGGCAGGCCTCTTAGCCTTCCCTGCTTCCAAGCAGTGGTCATCCCAGTAAGGGTCTTTCCTATGCTGTGCCTTTAGGATCACCTGACGGACAGAGTGAAAGCTGGAGGGCCTCACCACATGGGCCTGGAAATAGTGAGAAGTGATTGTAAGGAGCTTTAGGACAGCTTAGATGCCAAGTAGGCAAATGCCAGACCAACAATACCCAGAACTACCTGCTCCCGAGTTGTTGGGTTCCCGAGATGTGTGTGTGAGTGTGTGTTCTGCCATGAACTGTGGCCCCAGCATATAGCGTTTCAGTGGGGGAGAAGCTGAAAGACTCTTGGTCTTTCAAGTCGTCTCCTCTCCTGTCACCCTAAAAGCCACTGAACTCTACAGGGATGAAGACTATTGAAGACTCCATTGCCAAACCATGACCTTTCCTCAGTGTTATAAAGCCTATGCCAAGGAAAAAGGAAGGGTATGCCTTTGGGTGCTCCAGGTACACACCTTTCCAAAATCTTTCTCCAGCCAGCTGCTGCAGACAAAAATAAGACATTTCTGGGAAGATGAGGACTTGTTTCCAGGCCAGTACCCCAGTGGCCATCAGGTCTTGTGGCCCAAAAGCTACGCTTGCCTCTAGCTAAGTGCCTGGCATGGGCCCTTTCTGTGTCTCCCCAAGGTTGGGTACTGAGCTCCCTTCTTCACCATCTAGCCATAGTCTCGAACCTATGGGGAAGGAGGTTTTCTCCCCACCCTGGAAGAGAACAGATTACTGATTTCTGTTCTTTTGACTCTGAAAATTCTCTTTCTTAAAAAAAAAAAAAAAAAGTAAGATTGTTATTCCTACCATCTCTAGCTTTAATTATTTTTATTTTCACAAATGCCTTAAGGTCAGATAGTAGGAGTTTTGGCCTCCTTTCTTACCAAAATAGCATCATTATCACTGCTCTCCCATTATCTTATAAATATCTCCTATTTCCTTGAGGCACAGGCCACTCAGATTTGCCACCCATTCACTTGTGGTTTTCATCTATTACCTCTTGGACACTCCCCAACATCCCCTTTGCTCAGTTTTCCTCTCCACCTCTATTCTTGCCATTACACTGAGTTTCTTTAATGTCTGTATGTATACCCTATCTCACACCCTGAGCTCTCAATTCCAACCTGCACATGTCACTCAGCCCCCCTTGCACCCTTGCCATTACTTACAACCACTGCACCTCCAAAATCACTTATCCAAACATGTGGCTCCCTGACCACAACCTCTTATTTATCCTTCCACTTGCTTCTTCGACCACTCACCTATAACTATTCTTTGATATCATCATTACCTCCATTCATTGATTCCTCTGCATTCTCCATATTTACCAACTCTCTCCTATCTTCACATTCTTCTGTATCCAATTTAGATTCTAAGGTGTATCATTTCATTTTGGTGCTCAATAAATACCAACTGAAGAAATTAATCTGTTGGGGCGTGGTGGCTCACACCTGTAATCCCAACACTTTGAGAAGCCAAGGCAGGAGATCATTTGAGGCCAGGAGTTCAAGACTAGCCCGGGTATCATAACAAGACCCTGTATCTAAAAAATTTTTTAAAATAAAGAGAAATGAATCCTTGAATTTTAATATCCAATCAATCACTAAGTTCAGTAATGTAGTTCTTCCCATATCCACTGCCACTAAGCAACCATCATTTCTTTCACAGACTATTAACTAAATTCTCCAATCTATTTTCCATCTTGCTGACAGATGTAACTTTCAAACTAGACATCTAACCACTCCCTTTTTATTTAAAATTATTCGATCACATCCCATTGCTGTTATGATCAAGAATAAAATCCACAACACAGACTAAAAGGGGCTGCATGCCCTGATTTTCACCTAACTCTTGAATCCAATTTCCCACCACTCTGCCCCTCACACTCTGCCTTCCAACCACATTAGCCTCCTTCCAGTTCTTCTAATACAGCAAGCTCCTTCACATTTCAAAGTCTTCACATTTTCTTCTCACTGTAAGGATATCTTTGTCCCCCTTTTTCATCCATCCAACCTTAACTACTTAATTTCTATTCACCCTTCTTATTTCAACTCAAATGTCACTTCCTCAGGAATCTATCACTAACCCCTAAGACTTCTTAGATCCTCCTGTTACATCACCCTGTTCTTTTCCTTTGACACATTTATTATAGTTTATAATTGTTTTTGTGATCATGTCTGTTTCTCCACTAGATTATAAACTCCACAAGGGTAGGAACCAAGTCTATTTTGCTCACCACTGACTCCTCAGAACGAGGTCCAATATACAGTGTGTTCAATAAATATTTAAAGGAAACTTCTCTCCATAGTAGTGTTTCTCAACTGAGTCTGTGAATCTTTTTAAAAATATGCAGGTCTGTACTGTACCTCTGAAGATTATGATTCGGTCAGTCTATGGTATATACTAGACTGGAACAGTTTTTCACAAGTTCCACACGACTCTGATGTACTTCCAGTGTTGAGATCTACTATTCCACAAAATCAGAGACTATCAGAACTGAAAGAGACTTCTAAAATCATCTGCTCCAGCCCTCTCTTTTCACAGATGAGAAAACTGACTGACTCCTAGCCTATCCTGTTTTCACCTGTATCACTAAATTGTCCTTTCACATAGATTTTTCCCTTCAAATGCCTCCCATTAATTTATTTTACATGACAAACTGAAGTACCTTTGCTGATATCCTCAATACCTTACAACAGAAAATGCATTATTCACTATCTACATGGATATTTGAAAACACAGTGTTCCATTACAACACATATTGTAAATAACTACTTTTTTCACATCGTATTATCATAGGAGAATTCAAACTTCAAAATGTTGCCCTCATAGTTATTCCAGGAAAAACTAATTTTGGAGTGTGTAAACTGTTTTACTTTCCATGTTGAATAATCTGACTAATTTTCCTTGATAAAAATCAAGATTATAGCAATGAATTTTCTAAAACACTTATAATATGAACAATAAGTTCAAGAAATGAAGAAAGAAGAAAAGCACTGCCTTTTCCTTTTTCATAAACCATTTATGAGTTCCCAATATTCTTACCTGAAGTACTTGGGAGCTCAAACTGTTTGGAGCCTAAATAATTCTACTAAGTATTTTCAGTTCTTGTTTTGGTTCCTTCTTAACCAAGTTAAGTGAGAACTTCCAAGGGACTTCACAGAAGTAAAAATGCCCCCTAAATAATCAATGGCACTGTTCTTTCGTTTGACAAATATGTATTCACGATCTACTAAGTGCAAGACTCCGTAACCCTGGGTCACTGCAAAGTAGGTATTATCAGGGTTCAACTAAAGAAACAATTGATAGAGGGGCAAATGCAGTTTTAGAGAAGATAAAGTGGGGTGTGGGATTGGTTCAAGCTTCATAATAACGCTGCAAAGGCACAGCTTCCCCTATCAAGAAACAGCAGCACGTAGCAGGGCAAACAAATGTGCAGATGGCTCCAAGCTCTTTATTTAATGTGCACTGTATGACTCAACTATCTGGTCCTATGCTTACTGCTGTGGACTCTTCTCTAAGCTTTTCTTCATTCATTTACTCATTCATTCAACCACTATTTACTGTAAAAGACTCCGTTCTAGTGTGTTGCTGGGAAAACATCGGTGAATAAAATATGCAAAGCATCAGTTTTCCAGGAGCTGACTTGGGGAGGAGGAGGAATAAAACGAGGGAGAAGCAGAGTTCAAGAGACAAATGAATGGGCAGGACATGATAATTTGGGATGGGGACAAGAGCTGTGTGGAAAAAAACAGGATGAGGTTGAGGGGGAGATTACGAACCACCACACTTGTTAAGTATTAACATTACTCCCACCTCCACCCTGAGTTCTCACAGCACTTACCATTCTGCACTGTAAATACCAGCCGGCAGCAGACTTGCAGCCTGCGCGACTATGTAAGCCAAGAGTAATCTGAAAAACTATCCTTTTCCCTTGCCTAGGGGAAATTTACAAACGTAAATATGTGTAAATTAATATACAAGCTAATATACACGTTGACGAACGGACGAAATGGTTGAAAGAACGAACTCGCAATGAACTACAACACTTTCTCCGGTCAAAGTAAAAGCCATTCGCTCCAGAGCCCCAAGTAAGCCACAAGTTGTACATTGTAGGAGACAACAGTCCTCAACAGCAGCTCAGGTTCCAGCACCTCCCTCCGGGCGCCAGAACTACGTCAACACAAATATCACCTGCGGGCGCGAGCTAGCCCAGAAAACCGGTGCTAGAAGGGCCGCTCCGCGCCACCCGGCGGATTCCTGCAACAGAGTTTCGAGGCAAGAAGTTTCGAAGAGGGGGCCACGAACCCCAGCTCTCCGGCCCTGCTCCACCCCCCAAATAGATTTCTCTCCCGCCTCCCGCTTAACTCCGTCGGCGCCGGAGGGATCGAGGCAGGGAAGGAGGCCTACACATGGCCGCCCAGGCCCACAGAGGCCCAAGGGAAGTAGGCTAAGCAGCCAGGCCAAGGAGAGGTTGCGTTTTCAGGGAAAAGGCGTCTCCAAAAGCACTCACCCCAGCGCCTCCAGTGTGTCCAGCACGTCTCCCTCCATCGTCGGTTGGGGACCCGGCTCCGGCCCTCTCATGGTCCTTTGGCCCAGAGCTGTTCGGCGCTCTAAGTAGCCCGCCGGAAACTAGCGTCACCGCGCCAAGGTTCCGGTCCGGGTCTGGCCGGTAACTGCCTGAGAGCACAGCTGAAGAAGGGCGCAAAGGTTCCCAGCCCCGAGGCAATAAACACTTCATAGTGCCTAAAACCGCTGCGTGTAACGATAATAATTTTTTAAAAGAATAGTAGAAATAATAAATAATAGTAATAAAGAGTTCTCTGTGTTGGGACTTTTCTGTGTGTTCAAATAAATTTTAGCAAATATCGTGGTATCGGGTTGATCTCAACCTATCCGATTCCAGACCTTTTTAATAACAGAAATCTGAAATAAAATTATAATTATCTTCAGCTAAAATTAGTAACTAATATCACATGCCTACACATATAATTTTTAAATCAATATACACGACGATGCTTCAACTTGAAGGAAAAAATGAAGTAATTTATAACAAGGTAATATTTTTCTCCTTATGAAATGCGGAAGACCAATGAAGTGATCAGATGCTTGCATCTATCTATGTAGAATCCCCTCAACTGCATATTCAGATGATGTGCTTCATTGCTGACAAAGCATTAGTTGTATAAGCAACAAACATACCGCCAGCAAAGTAAGGTAGTTGATGTGGTTTTCCAAAATTGTGGCGAATTCTCTGTAAAGTTCCAAACAAACAAAACATAATATACCCTCTGTGTACTATCCATGAAGAATTCAATCTCTTATCTAAAGGATTTAAAAAATGTATTTTAGGGTTCATATGTAAAAGGTACTAAGAGTATAAGGTTAGATCATTATTAGCAGGCATGTCACCTACATGAATACTCTAGCAGAACTGTTGGAAATCCTGCATGAAGTATAACTATTGATCCCTTGTATGGACCTGTCCCTTCCATTGCAGACTACATAGCATTCGTAGCCCCAGTCCAATAAAGACCAGTAATGCTCTCGCCTTCCTAATTATGGTTACAAACAAAAAGCATACCCATAAATGTGTAAAACACTCAAAGGTAAGCTGTAGTAGTCCACTCTCATATTGCTATAAAGATATACCTGAGACTGGGTAATTTATAAAGAAAAGGGGTTTAATTGGCTCATGGTTCCACAGGCTGTACACGAAGCATGATGCTGGCATCTGCTCCACTCCTGGGGAGGCCTCAGGAAATGGACAGTTGTGGCAGAAGGGGAAGGGGGAGTGCAGCTATCACGTGGCCGGAGTAAGAGGAAGAGAGAGGGTGCAGGGAGGCAGGGAGGTGCCACACACTTTTTTTTTTTTTTTCAGTCTCGCACTGTCGCCCAGGCTAGAGTGCAGTGGCATGATCTCAGCTCACTGCAAACTCCGCCTCCCGGGTTCACGCGATTCTCCTGCCTCAGCCTCCCGAGTAGCTGGGATTACAGGCGCCCACCACCACACCCGGCTAATTTTTGTATTTTTAGTAGAGACGGGGTTTCACCAGGTTGGTCAGGCTGGTCTCGAACTCCTGACCTCGTGATCTGCCACACACTTTTAAAAAACCAGATCTCATGATAAACTCACTCACTATACAGTGCCAAGGCAGGAATGGTGTCAAACCATTCAAGAGAACTCTGCCCTCATGATCCAATCACCTCCCACCAGGTCCCTCCTCCAACATTGGGGATTATAATTTAACATGAGATTTGGGCACAGACACAGATCCTAACCATATCATAAACTCAACCATACATTTGTATAATGACTATTATTACTGTATATTTTAGTGTTGTACAAGGCTTAAGCGTAAAATTACTTGCAGTTTAATGTATCTGAATTCATCTCCAAATAAGGGAGAGGAGAATGTATATTAGTGGTTACTGCCTCTTGTCAGAGTTGGGGTGTCATAGAAGGTACTAGTCTTAGTACTCTTGGCAAAAAGTCTCTGTAAAAATCAAATAGAAATGAGGTAACTGTTCTTTATTATTATTGATCTTAAGTGTTCTGCTGCTGGTTTTCCTAAAAAATCTAAATAAATGAATAACAAAAGTTATGCACAGAAAAAGAACTAAAAACAAACAAAAAAGCATGACTGGCCTAGCATGGTGGCTCGCATCTGTAATCCCAGCACTTTGGGAGGCTGAGGTGGGAGGATCACTTGAGTCCAGGAGTTTGAGACCAGCCTGGGCAGCAAAGTGAGACCATATCTCTACAACAAATTTAAAAATTAGTCAGGTATGGTGGTATGCACTTGTAGTCCTAGCTATTGAGGAAGCTAGGGCAGGACGATCAGGATTGCTTGAGCCCAGGAGGCCGAGGCTGCAGTGAGCTGTAATCAAGCCACTGCACTCCAGCCTGGGCAACAGAGTGAGACCCTATCTCAAAAGAAAAAAAAAAGCATGACAGATATTTGAAAAAACTGAAAAGGTCTAACATAGTAAATGGAATAATTGGACTCCAACAAGACCCTTGAAAAAATGAGACAGAAGCAAGAAGAGACTCTGCTAAAAATTTCCTGACAAAACACTGATCCAAGAGCACTGTTAATGTCAACCAGGACGTATACAAAGAAATTCACAATTTAGGAAAATTTTTGTAAAAATGCTGAAAACAAAAGATAGAAGGAAAAGCTTAAAAGCAGCTGGAGAAAAAAATCAAACTTTAACAATAATATAAGCTGACTTCTCAAAAGAAACAATGGAAGCAAGAAAATCATGAAACAACATCTTTCATATGCTTTAAATAATGACAAATCCAGAATTTTACACAGTGGAAATATCCTTAAGAAATGAAGGCAAAATAAAGATGTTTTCAGATAAACAAAACTCATGTAAATTGTTTCCAGCAGACCCATGTCAAAAGAAATATTAAAGAGGGTTCTTCGGGTTAAAAAAATGATGCCAGATGAAAAAAAAATGATGCCAGATGAAATCCCAATGGTGCAAAAAATAATGAAGAGTATCACTGGAAATGGTAAATATGTAAGTGAAACTAGATATATATTGACTATTCAAAACAGTAATAGTAATGACTTCTGAAATGTAAAATATAGAGAGAATTCAGGGGGTGAGGTGCTGACAAAGAGTTTAAAAACAATAATGTTCTTCCATTATCCAGGCAGTGGTAAAATAATGAATTTATGGTAGCAAATCAAGATTGCATATTGCCATCATTTAGGTAATCACTAACAGAATTATGAAATAGTATATAACTAACAACTAAGAAAAGGGAGAAATGGAATAATGAAAAATACTTACTAAATCTAAAAGAAGGCAAAAATGGAAGATAAAATATCAAACCAAAACATGGCTGGGTAGCAATATTAATATTAGAAAAAATAGCTATTAACACAGAAGCATTATAATATTACAGAGAGATAAATAGGGACATTTCATAATGATAAAAGGGTCATGACGCAGAAAACCATAAGAATTCTAAATGTTTATTTGCTTAATAACCAGCCTCAGAGTATATAAATTTAAAAGCCAACAACTTAAAGGAGAAATAGACAAAGTCACAATCACATTAACTAATATAACAAGCAGTCAAAAAAAATCAGTAGGCATAAAATATTCCAAGTCAATAAGACTTGGAAAACATAATTTATAAATTTGACCTAATTGATATAGATAAATCTCTACCCCTCCCAAAACTTCAGAATATGCATTTTTCAAGTGCACATGTAATTTATAAAACTTAACCCTATAGTGGATCCTAAAGTAAGTCTCACCAAATTCAAAATTGAAATCATAAAGAGCATGTTCTCTGACTAAAGTGGATTTAAAATACGAATTAATTCCCGAGTATGAGATTGTCTAACAAAAAAAATAAGGAATTAAGAATTTAAAAAGAAAACTAAAAAATCCCTTAACTAATTGATGGGAATTCAAGCAATACACTTCTAAATAACCAGGCCTCAAACTAGAAATTATAATGGATATTAGAGAGTTTTGAACTGAGTGATAATAAAAACACAACATATCAACACATGCAGGATTCAACATATGTGGATTCATTCTTAGAGGAAAATATATAGCATTAGGTGTGAATATTAGAAATGAAAAAAGATTAAAAATTACTTAAGTATCAATCTTAAGAGGCTGAAAAACAAATGAAATCCAAAGAAGCAGAGAAATAAAAACAATAAAGAGTAGACACCAACGAAATAGGAAGAAAATGCAATAGAGAAAATTAAGCCAAAATCTGAGTCTGCAAAGGCTAATAAAATTGACAGATCTTTAGCAAGGCTGATCAAGGTGGGGGAAAAGAACAAACAACCAATATAAGAAATGAAAAATATCAGTACTATTTATCAGACATTAAATAGTTAAAAGAGAATGTTATGAACAACTTTAAATTTAAAAATTTAAAGGAAGTTGATAAATTTCTTGCAAAATACAATTTAACAAATATCAGAAAAAATTAAAATATGAATGGTTCAGTATCTATTAAAGAAACTTAATCACTAATTAAAATTCATCCACAAAGAAAACTCCAAGCCTAGATTGCTTTCCTGATGAATTCCTCCACATAAGTAGCACCATTCTTACACAAACTTTCCAAGAGACCAGGAAAACATGGAGCATTTTCAATGTTTTCTGTGAAGACAACCTAATCTTAAAACAAACACCAATGAGGACATTACTAAAAAGGGAATCTGTAGACTAATTTCCCTCATGAATATAGAGCTGCACTTTCAAAGTCACCTAAGTAATGACCAAGTTGCCATTTCAGTTCAGGCCTTTTCAACATACAGTGCTGGCAATGGGATATCCAGATCTTCCACTTCAACCTCATGCTATACACAAAAATTAACTCCTGATAATGGTAGATGTAAATTAAAAGAGAAAACAATAAAGTTTTTAGGAGATAACATAAACTGTCTTCATGAACTTGAGATAAGCAAAGATCTCTAAATATACTGGTTAGGGCTTTTGTGTCCTATTTCAGAAATCTTTGTGGCTGGGCATGGTGGCTCACGCCTATAATCCCAGCATTTTGGGAGGCCGAGGAGGGCAGATCATGAGGTCAGGAGATCGAGACCATCCTGGCCAACATGGTGAAACCCTGTCTCTACTAAAAATACAAAAATTAGCCATGTGTGGTGGCGCACACCTGTAGTCCCAGCTACTCAGGAGGCTGAGGCAGGAGAATTGCTTGAACCGAACCCTGAGAAGGAGGTTGCAGAGAGCTGAGGTTGTGCCACTGCACTCCAGCCTGGCGAGAGAGCGAGACTCCCTCTCAAAAGAAAAAAAGAAAAAAAAGAAAAGAAATCTTTGCATATTTTACAGAACATGATGATATTCTATATTATGTTGGCAACTTGGTCTTTATTAAATTAAGATCTGAAAAAGATTCCATTAAAAAAGCCAGAATGCAAGCTACACAAATGAGAGAAAATATTTGTGATACATGTATTTGACAAGGGACTCCTATTCAGATTATGTAAAGAAATCCTTCAAATCAATTAGACAAAGACAATTCACAACTAACTCAAAGTTGGGAGAAGAAAAGTGGAAAAAAGAGTTGAATAAACATTTCACAGAAGAGAATATTCAAACCACCGAAACCTACACGAGACAGTGCTCAATCTCATTGGCATTAGAGAAATGCAAATCCAAATAATCAAGACATATTACTACATACACAGAAAGAAAGGCTAAAATCCTCCCTCAAACAAACAAACAAACAAAACCTTGACAATATCAAAGATTGGCAAGAATGTTAACACTGGAACTCTTATACACTGTTTTTTAATTAATTAATTTAGTTTTTTTATTTCAATTTTTTTGGAATATCAGTGGTTTTTGGTTACATGGATAAGTTCTTTAGTGGTAAATTCTCAGATTTTAGTGCACACGTCACCCAGGCAGTGTATACTGTACCCAATATGTAGTCTTTTATGCCTCACCACCCTCCCAAACATAGTTTCCCCCACCACCACCAAAGTCCCACCACCGTGAGTCCCCAAAGTCCATTACATCACTCTTAGGCCTTTGTGTCCTCATAGCTTAGCTCCCTCTTAAAAGTGAGAACATACAATATTTGATTTTCCATTCCTGAGTTACTTCATTTAGAATAATGGCCTCCGGCTCCATCCAAGTTGCTACAAAAGACATTATTTCTTTCCTTTTTATGGCTGATTAGTATTTCATGGTGTATATATAGGATATTTTCTTTATCCACTCATTGGTTGATGGGCACTTATGTTGGTTCTATATCTTTAAAATTGCAAATTGCACTGCTATAAACTTGCATGTGAATGTGTCTTTTTGATATAATGACTTCTTTTCCTTTGGGTAGATACCCAGTAGTGAGATTGTTGGATCAAATGGTAGTTCCACATTTTAGTTCTTTAAGGAATCTCCATACTGTTTTCCACAATGGCTGTACTAATTTCTGTTCCCATCAACAGTGTAAAAGTGTTCCCTTTTCACCACATCTACTCCAACGTCTATTGGTTTTTGACTTTTAAATTATGGCCACTCTTGCAGGAATAAAATAGTATCTCATTGTGGTTTTAACTTGCATTCTCTGATAATTAGTGATGTTGAGCATTTTTTCAAATGTTTGTTGGCTGTTTGTATATCTTCTTTTGAGAAATGTCTATTCATGTCCTTTGCCCATTTTTTGATGGGATTATTTGTTTTTTTTCTTGTTTGAGTTCTTTGTAGATTCTGGATACTAGTCCTTTGTCAGATGTATAGTTTGCAAATATTTTCTCCTACTCTGTGGGTTGTCTGTTTACTCTGCTGATTATTTTTTTGCCGGGCAGAAGCTTTTTAGTTTAATTAGGTACTATTTATTTATTTATGTTGCATTTGCTTTTGGGGTCTTAGTTATGAATTCTGTGAATATTCTAAAACTTCTGGCCTTTAGTGTCACCTGTTTTCAGGAGATACTGACTCCTATGGCAATTCCCAGATTTCATTCGGAGGAATTTTACCCTCAAGACATTAGTAATAGTGCAGAGCATCATTAGGAAGACACTGATTTGTTTGATTAGAGGAATAATGGTCCTTGTACCCAGTACCAACTGCATAATGTATGGGACCCACTGCAAAATGAAAAAATATTAAGAATTTCAAGACAGCAAAAGCACAGTATTAAACCAAGCATGGAGTTATGCTAAGAGCAGGGTTCTGCGCAACTGCATAGGTTGCATGTCTTTGAAGTTGGCTCTTCTTGTATTCACCTGCTATGGTTTGAATGTTTGTCCTCTCCAAAGCTCATGTTGAAATTTAATTGCCATTGTAATAGTATTAAGAGGATGGCCCTTTGAGAGTTGATTAGGCTGTGAGGGCTTTGCCCTCATGGGTGGGCTTAATACCTTTAAAAGTGGGCTTTGAAAAGTGAGCTCTGTCTTTCTTTGCTCTTCCACTCTTCTGCCACATGAGGAGCAGTGTTTTTCCCCTCTGGAGGATGCAGCACTCAAGGCAGAGGCTTGGGCCCTCAACAGACACTAAACCCACTGGCACCTTGATTTTGGACTTCCCAGCCTCCAGAACTATAAGAAATAAATTTCTGTTCTCTACAAATTATCCAGTTTTAACTATTCTGTTATAGCAGCACAAAATGTACTAAGATACCACAAAAAGGCCAAGAGTTTATGTATTTTTTTGTAATTTTTATTCATTTATTTAGTAGAGACAAGGTTTTGCTATGTTAGCAAGGCTGGTCTTGAACTCCAGGCCACAAGTGATCCACCCACCTCCACCTCCCAAAGTGCTGAGATTACAGGCGTGAGCCAACATACCTGACTGGACAAGAGTTTATGAATTCCAGTACAGAATGACTGGAAGCTCTAAGGGAAAAAGTATACTCTTATACATTAACCTGAAGAAACTGCCTCAGTGATTTCAATGCAGAAAAATGGTCTGTCTGTGTTCAAACTTATCTCCTTAACCAAGGAATCTACATCTACCTTACTAGTTGTTGAGAATGGGTGGGTTCTCCCAGACTATCATATATGTGTAGGAAGTCCAAGGAGGGTTCCTACTAGATAGACATCATACGAACTGGAGAAAACAATCTGTGGCAATACATTCTTCCTGATATCAGTTCTTTGGGCCCCTAAACAGCAGAAACAAGACTCTTGGAAGGTAGAAGTACAAGACTGAACCCTTAACCAATATATAGGTACTATGCAAATGATTTGAAGTGGGCCCTACACAAAGAGATAGCACTTCTTGTGCTACCATTAAGAATTCTAATAAATTATTGAGGGATGCTTATAAAAATGCAATATATAAAATTCATTTGAATATATGCGATCCTTGAAATAGAGTTAAGTCTATGTGGAAAAAACCTTGGAATTTGAAATAAGATTCTGAAATGTGCAAAATAGAACTCAGGATTTGAGGTGGATCTCCCACTTGAACCAACCAGAAGTCTGGAGGTGGGAAGTTCTGCTTGTGAAATGACACTGCCTGTAAGGTGATTATTTCCCAGTGGAAGTTGAGCCAGACCTTTAACTTGGCAGCTGGAGCTTGGTATACCAAATGTCCTTGTGAGTGAATATAGCAGGTACCTCATTACACCTAGGACTAAGTATTCTGCTTAAAATGTTGGTATCCTCATCGTGAAAATAAAGTACTGTTTCCTTATCCAAGCCGAGAGGAGGCATTACTGATAATCCAGGAGGCAAGAGGGTGGTTCTCTCAGTGGATGCACTATTATGTATGGTAGTCAGGATAAACTAAGTGCTGTAACAAACCTTCAAATCTCATGGGGTTAGGATAATGTAAGTTTTTACCTCACCTATGCCATAGTACAGTCAAGTGTTTGGTGGGAGAGTATGGCATATTGTATTTTTAAAGATGATCATGACAATGCCATCAATACGTTATGTTCTTTTACAATGTGACTTTACTACTCCCCCATCAAGATATACAGTTTATATTCCCATTGAATAAAGGAAGGGCCTGTCACTACTTTGATCAATAAAATATGCAGGAAATGATGTTATGCCACTCCAGGCATAGTCTTAACTGCTTCCAATTCTTGACTCTTGGAATGCACATGTATGGGGCTCTTCCTCTTGGAACCCAACCACCAGACTAAGAGAATTTCATGCTACATGGAGAAGCCAAGTGTAAGCCCTCCAGTTGACATCCCAGTTGGGTTTCCAGCACATAGCCAGCATTATCTGCTATCCATGTGAGTGGACCTTCTTGGTCACTCACCCAGTTGAGCCATCAGATGACTGCAGCCATCTGTACTATCCAACAAGTGCCCTCAATTGCAAGAGAGATCTCAAGCAAGAGCCACTAGCTGAGCCCAGTCAACTCAGAGAGTCATAAGATCTAATAAAAGACTGTTGTATGAGCCACTAACTTTTGGTGTGGTTTATTGTGCAGCATTAAATAATCAGAACAATGGCCCTTCATGTGGCAGTTTAGGAACCTAACATCTTTTTTGTGACTCAGCTACTTTGGACACATGGCAACCAAAGTTAGCATAGAAAACGGATATGAAGAATGTGGAGGATTATACAAAGAGTTGTACAGTATGGTCTAGAAGAAAGCACATTAATTCTGTCCACCTTGCACAAATTAAAACTAAGTCATACTACCCTAACCTAACTGCAGAGATGCTGGGAAATAGTCTAGGCTGTGTGCCTAGAAGGAAAAACAAACGGTTGATGAAGACATTGCATTTTCTCTACCAAAATACCCCCTTAAAAGATTTTTCTCCCCAGTAAGAAGCCATACATAACTTTGACATATACAAAATTTAACTTAAAATGGGTCAGTAAACTAAATATAATGGTTAACAAAAAGAAAACTTCTAGAAGAAAACATAGGAGAAAATCTGTTAGTCTTGGGTTAGGCAAAGATTTCTGAAACAAGATACCAAATACAAAATCTGTAAGATAAAAAATTGATAAATTACACTTGATGAAAATTAAAAACTTTTGCTCTCCAAAAGACACCATTAAGTGAATGAAAAGCAAGCCACAAGCCTGAGAAAATATTTGCAACTCATATCTGATAAAAGACTTGTATCAAGAATCCATAAATAAATCCTAAAACTCAAAAATAAGAAAACAAACAACCCAACTTTAAAAAATGAGCAAAAGATTTGAACAGATACCTCACCAAAGAAGATATGTGGATGAAAGATAAGTACATACAACTATGTTCAATTTGTCATAAATGCAAACTTAAATCACAATGAAATATCACCATATACTTATAGGGGCTGAATTTTTTCTTTTGTTTTGTTTTGTTTTTTGTTATTTTTTTGAGACAGGGTCTCACTCTGTTGTACAGGCTGGAGTGCAGTGGCGCCATCTGGCTCACTGCAACGTCTGCCTCCCAGATTCAAGCGATTCTCCCACCTCAGCCTCCCAGGCAGCTGGGATTACAGGCACGCACCAGCATGCCCAGCTAATTTTTGCAATTTTAGTAGAGAAGGGGTTTCACCATGTTGGCCAGGCTGGTTTCGAACTCCTAACCTCAAGTGATCTGCCTGCCTTGGCCTCCCAGAGTGCTTGGGATTACAGGTGTGAGCAACCACACCTGGTCAATGGCTGAAATTTTAAAATCTGACCATACCAAGTGTGAGGAAGACATGGAGCAACCTACACTCTCACATACCACTGGTAGGAATGTAAAATCATGCAATACTTTGGAATACAGTATAATGGCTTCTTAAAATGTTGAACATATATCTACTATATAACTCTACATTCCAATACCATGTACCCAAGAGAAAGGCAAGCGTACATCCAGACAAAATACTTGTATGTTAATGTTTATAGCATTATGTTTACCCAAACTATAAATAAACCAAATGACCATCAACATGTGTATGAAATGAGTAAACATATTCTGGTATTTCCATATAGTAGAATACTGCTCAGCAATAAAAGAAATAAATCAATGATATACATAACAATATGGTTAAATCCCAAAATAATTGTAATGAGTGAAAAATGCAAGTCAAAAAAGTGCACAGAATGTACAATTCTATTTATATAAAATTCTGGGGGGTCTGATTCAAGATGTCTGACTAGAAGCAGCTAGTTCATGCCTGTCTCACAGGAAAGAAACAAAGTAGCAAATAAATACTGACTCTTCAACTGCATTGTATTAATCCATTCTCACACTGCTATAAGGATACTACCTGAGACTGGGTAATTTATAAAGGAAAGAGGTTTAATTGACTCACAGTTCTGCATGGCTGGAGAAGCCTCAGGAAACTTACAATTACGGTGGAAGGTGAAGGAGAAGCAAGTACTTTTTCACAAAGTGGCAGGAAAGAGTGCGCAGGGGAAACTACCACTTTTAAACCATCAGATCTCGTGAGAACACTCTCACTGTCATGAGAACAGCATGGGGGAAACCGCCCCCATGTTCCAGTCACCTCCCACCAAGTCCCTCCCTTAACATGTAGGAATTACAATTCAAGACGAGATTTGGGTGGGGACACAGGGCCCAACTATATCATGCATCATCATCTAAGAAATCACTCTGGGATTCACTAAGGAAGGGACCAGACCCATGGAGGGCAGAAAGGACTGAAGCCAGGCAACTGCCCACACAGGACTGGCAGGAACCTGGAGGAAGCTCCCTAGCCTGGGGAAAGGATAAGTGAGTGAGGGTCTCCAGGAGATCCACACTTCTGCCATGGGCCTTTACAATCCTGGGCACAAGAGACTGTCCTTGACTACCCCAGGCCTCTAGACCAACACAGAGAGCTTCCTGGAGTCTGTGCAGAGATACTACCCCAGCTCACATGGAACCTCACAGGCATTTGATCCCTGGGCAGCCCAGTGCCAGCTACCATTACCCCACTAATAAAGGAAACAAGGTTCTTTTGCACACCCCTGGGATAGAAGCCAAAGCTGCAAAACTGAGGAGTGGCCAGACTGCATATTACATTACCCCCAATTCCACTGCTCCCTGCCAGTCGGGGCTTGCTGGCTTGGGCCACCTGCACAGCCACCCTGCCCCTGCCGGAATACTGCAGTCAGAGGTCTGCATTCCTCTGGGTGCAAAACTCCCAGATATAGCTAACAAGCCCTTTGTACGGCCATTGTCGCTGCCTCTGCCCCTGCTACCCCCAGGCAAAGAGAGGCCGAGGAGTCTGGGTACTTCTGTGTGTCTCCAGCATGAACATAACAGCTGAGATATGGAGGAACAGTGGGCACACTGCACACCCCGCAACTCTTCATCTCTGCTGCTCCCTGCCAAACGGGGCTTGCTACCTGCCAGCCCCCAGTACACACACACAGCCCCTCCCTGGACTCACTCAGCTGTCGCAGCTCTGTGCTCATCTGAGTGCATAACTCCCAGAGGTAGCTGACAGACCCTTTTCAGTCATGGCTGCCACTCCCTTCCCCTCTGCTGCCCCCAGGCTAAGAGGGAATGAGGAGCTAGGGCACTTTCATGTGCCACAGCTGAGATACAAATGAACAGCAAGTAGACTGCACTCCCCATGACTCCCCACCTCAGCTGCTTCCCATCAAATGAGGCTCACTGTCTTCCAGCCCCCAGTGCAGTCTTCTTGCCCCTGCCTGGACATCTGGCTGTAGCTCAGTTCCTCTGCAAGCCCAATTTTCTGAGGCCAGCCACAAGCTTCTGGCAGTTGCCACTACCACAGCCTCTGCCACTACCACTCTCAGGTCAACACAAGAGAAATATTGGCACCCTTGTGTGCCCCCAATAGTGAACTCCAATGTTACTTATATAGAAGGGAAGTGTGAGTGTGTCACACACCCCACAGCTGCCAGTCTCCATTGCTCCAGCTGAGGGGTCCGGCCCTCCCCAGCTGCTCTGTCTCCACCTGAACATTTCAGCTGCGGCCCAGAGCTCTCCTGAGAACACAATCCCCAGAGACCTGTGATCTTCCCTTGGGCTCCCACTGCCTGGGTGGGAGCCTGCCCTCACCTGAGAGTTTTGCAAGTGACCCGGGGACCAGTTCACCCCTCCCCATCACAGCCAGCACCTGAACTCTGGGCTAACCCAACCCTTGTCCAGCCCCACCAGAACTCATACATTCACACACACTATCCAGTGGGCCATCTAGGGGCCTGGGAACTGGGGAACTACCTAGCCCATTTCAACACAGTGGGCACCTGATCAGCTCACCAGGGCATCAGATTGGTTTGACACAATCAGCCAATACCACCACAACCAACACCCTCCTGCACGGGCCCAAAGGTGGAGCCCCTACCTCTACACAAAGCAGCAACATTACCACACTGGAAAACAAGTGAGCCATAAAGCTATCTGTGACAGGCTGAGTGAGAAGTTAATGCCCTGAAGCAACACCCATGGAGAGTTGCAGAAAGGGTTTTCCCATGGCTCTCAACCGCACTGTGGTCCAGAGATAGACTTTAGTGTGCATACAAACAGGAAGTCATGAGCCCAAAGACGGGGTTATGATAGGGAAACAGATCATATTCCTGTCCTTCTAGGATGTGGAGCCGGTGCAGCCCCCTCACCACCTGCAGAGACCTCAGCACATTTCACCAGGAGCTCCTGCCAGCCGCCCTCATCAGGGCTGGTCCCTGTGTTTGCCACTGGGGAATTTGTAGGCAAGCCAGGAGGTCCGGCTCTGCCCAGCTGTCTCCACCCCTTCCCCCACCACCCCTATTGCAGAACAGGAAGTTCAGGATATCTGGCACTCCACTGTCCAGCCTATCACCTGAAACAACACAGAACACCTCACAGTAAACAAAGATCAGTTACATACCCATCTGCTCGTGCCACAGCTGACTCTTACCCATCAGCGCCATCTACTGGCCTGTAGATGGAACTGCATAGCTCAATATAAAACCTGCCAACAGAAGTGCAGAGCGGGTATAGAAATCAAAGCCCAAAGACCCTATCCAACATACTCTACAGTCACACTCCCTAGAGAGGCTGGAGAAAGGGAAGAAAAACATTCTATCTGAATGAAAATGATTTCAAAAATTAGAAGTGGCAGCCTCTCCAGATGACAAAAAACAAGCATAAAAATTCTGGCACCATGAGAAATCTGAATGTTGCAACAGCATCAAAGGATCACACTAGCTCTCCAGCAACGCCTCCTAACCAAAATGGAAATTCAGAAATGACAGATAAAGAATGGATTCAAAGGAAGCATTAATTCATATTTTATAATTCAATTCAAAGTATGAATTGCAAGGAAGCTCAACAAGATCCAAGACAAGGTCGAAAATCAACACAAAGAAACTACAAAAGCAATCTAGGAAATGAAGGCAGAGATTTTAAAAAACATCTTTAAAAAATCAATCAGAAACTTCTGGAATTGAAAAATTCACTTGAGGAATTTCAAAATACAATTGAAAGCCTTCTCAATAGACTAGACCAGGCAAATAAAACAATTTCAGAGCTCAGAGACCAGTCTTTTGAACAAACCTAGTTAGACAAAAGTAAAGAAAAAAGAAATTAAAAATTAGCCAGGCATGGTGGTGCACACCTGTGGTCTCAGCTACTTGGGGGGCTGAGGTTGGAGGATTGCTTGAACCTGGGAGGTTGAGGCTGCAGTGACTACTGCACTACAGCCTGGATGACACTGGAGGACCTCGCTTCAAAAAAGACAGAGAAAAGAAAAGAAAAAGATTTTTAAAAATGAAAAAAGCCTTAGGAAATATGGGTTTATGTAAAGTGACCAAACCTGTGAATTATTACTATTCCTGAGAGAGAAGGAGAAAAAGTAAACAACTCAAAAAACATATTTGAGGGAATAATTCAGGAAAATTTCCCTAATCTTGCTAAAGAGGTAGACATCCAAATACAAGAAATCCAGAAAACACCTGCAAGATACTGTGCAAAACAAGTATCACCAAGGCATACAGTCACCGAACTATCCAAGGTCAACACTAAAGAAAAGAATCTTAAAGGCAGCTATAGAAAAAGGTCAAATCACCTGCAAAGGAAAACCTGTTAGACTAACAGATAGACTAGTAGACAGACTTCTCAGCAGTAACCCTGCAAGCCAGAAAAAAACTGGGGCCTATTTTTAGCCTCCTTAAAGAAAAAAAAAAATACCAACCAAGAATTTTATATCCTGACAACTTAAACTTCATAAATGAAGAAGAAATAAAATCTTTTCTAGATAAGCAATTGCTAAGAGAATTTGTCACCACTAGACTGGCCCTACAAGAAATGCTCAAAGAAGTTCTCAACATGGAAATGAAAGGATGATACTCACCATCAGAAAAGGAAACATAAGTGCAAAGCTCAAAGATCCTATAAAACAACTACACAATAGAAACTCCAAAGCAACCAGCTAACAACACTATGTCAGGAACAAAACCTCACATATCAATAATAACCTTAAATACAAATGACCTAAATGCTCCCACTTAAAAGATACACAGTGGCAAATTTTGATTAAAAAATAAGACCCAGCCATCTGCTCCCTACAAGAGACCAACCTACTGACTAAAGACACATTTAGACTCAGAAGTAAAAGGGTGGAAAAAGATACATCATGCAAATAGAAAAGAAAAGCAAGCAGGAATAGCCATTCTCATATCAGATAAAATGACTTTAAACCAACAACAGTAAAAAAGACAAAGAAGAAATATTTACTATCCTAAATATGGATGCACCCAACAATGGAGCACCAAGATTCATGAAATAAATACTACCAGACCAGTGAAAAACAGACTGATAGCAATACAATAATAATGAGGGACTTCAACACTTTCACTGACATCACTAGATAGATCACCAAGGCAGAAAGTCAACAAAGAAACCCTGGACTTAAACTGGACTACAGACCAACTGGATCTAGGAGACATCTATAGAACAGTCTACCCAAAACTACACAATATACATTTGAAGAAGGAATTAATGAAATCAACTATAACTTAATAGTAGTAGTAATAGAAATTTTAAAGTCCTCTTAAAGTTGCTGCAAAGTGTGACCCCCCCCCCCACCTTACACTCAAGTTAAAAGGGAATATTAACAGCCTGTCTTCTCTCTGTGGACAGTGGACCTTATCTATACTCCCCAACTCCACATTCCTCAAAGTTTATTACAGGCCCAGTGAGTTCCTGCATGACTGCAGGGTCACAAGACTGATAAGTTTAGGTTGCAAATCATGTCTTTCTCAACATGTAAGAAATGTTGCAACGCCGCCTTTGTTTCTTGCTTCTGTAACTCACTTCCAGCTTCACATAGTTCCTGCCTTAAGATGTTTAAAAGTAGGAAAAGCCCTTTGTTCAGGGCTCAGGCTTTCTGGATATATGTCTGGCTGGACCGGTGATCACCTTAATAGACTCTCCTGAACTTTTTTCAGTCTCTCCAGTCTTTGATTGTCCTGCAACACATTCTTTTTACCTGTGCATGGAACATTCTCTAAAACTGACCATATGCTTGGCCATAAGGCAAATCTCAATACATTTTAAAAAATCAAAATCATGGCCAGGTGCAGTGGCTCACGTCTGTAATCCCAGCACTTTGGGAGGCAGAGGCAGGTGGATCACAAGGTCAGGCATTCGAGACCAGCCTGGCCAACATAGTGAAACCTGTCTCTACTAAAAATACAAAAAATTAGCCAGGCGTGGTGGTGGGCACCTGTTATCCCAGCTACTCAGGAGGCTGAGGCAGGAGAATCACTTGAACCTGGGAGGCAGAGGTTGCAGTGAGCTGAGATCATGCCACTGCACTCCAGCAACAGTTCAAGACTCCGTCTCAAAAAAAAAAAAAAAATCAAAATCATATTAAATATCTTCTCAGACCACAGAGAAATAAAATTAGAAATTAAAACCAAGAGGAACTCTCAAAACTACACAAGTATATGGAAAATAAAAAACTTTCTCCTGAATGACTTTTAGGTAAACAGTGAAATCAAGGCAGGAACAAAAAAATTCTTTAAAATGAATGAAAATAGAGACACAAAATACCAAAACCTCTGGGATATAGCAAAGGCAGTGTCAAGAGGAAAGTTTATAACATTAAATGCCTCCATCAAAAAGAGAGGAAAATCTCAAATTAGCAACCTAATAGAAAAACATGAAAAAAATCAAACCTAAAATTAGCAGAAGAAAAGAAATAACAAAGATTGGAGCAAAACTAAATGAGATTGGGACCAAAAAAAAAGATACAATGGATCAATAAAACGAAAAAATTGGTTCTTTGAAAGGAAAAACAGAATTGACAGACTGCTAGCTAGACTAAGCAAAAGAGAGAAGATCCAAATAAGTACAATCAGAAATGGTAAGGGTGACACCACAACTGATACCAGAAAATACAAAAGATCATCCGGTACTACTATGGACACATCTATGCACATAAACTACAAAACCTAGAGGAAACTGATAAATTCCTGGAAAGATACAACCTCCTAAGATTGAACCAGGAAGAAGTAGAAACCCTGAACGATACCAATAATGAGTAATGAAATGGAATCAGTAGTTAAAAATCTCCCCTCACAAAAAAAAAAAAAAAAAAAAAAGCCCAGGACCGGATGGATTCATAGCTGAATTTTACCAGAAGTACAAAGAAGAGCCAGTTCCACTCTTACTAACACTATTCCAAAAAATTGAGAAGGAAAGATCTCTTCCTAACTCATTCTACAAATCCAGTATCATTCTGATAACAAAATCAGGCAAGGACACAACAAAAAAAGAAAACTATAGGTCAATATCCATGATGAACATAGATGCAAAAATCCTTGTCAACAAAATACTAGCAAACTGAATCCAACAGCACATTAAAAGATGATTCACCATGATCAAGTGGGCTTTATTTCAGGAATGCAAGGAGGGTTACACATAGATAAATCAATAAATGTGATCCACCACATAAACAGAACTGAGAACAAAAAAAATTATGATCATCTCAATACATGAAGAAAAAGCATCCAATAAACTCCAACATCCATTTATGATAAAAACCCTCAACAAACTGGGTGTAGGTGGAACATACGTCAAAATAATAAGAACCGTCTACAACAATCCCACAGCCAATATCATACTGATTGGGGAAAAATTTAAAGCATATCTTCTTAGAGCTGGAACAAGACAAGGATGTCCACTTTTACCACTCCTATTCAACATTTTACAAGAAGCCCTAGCCAGAGCTATCAGACAAGAGAAAGAAATAAGACACTCAAATTGGAAAAGAGAAAGTCAAATTATCTCTGTACACTGATAACATGATCATATACCTAGAAAACCCTAGAGACTTCTCTAGAGATTCCTAGTCTTGATGAGCAACTTTGGTGAAGTCTCAGGATACAAAATAAACATCAAAAATCAGTAGCATTTCTATATACAAATAATGTTCAATCTGAGAATCAAATGAAGAACTCAATCCTATTTACAATAGCCACACACAAAAATAAAATACCTAGCAATACATTTAACTAAGGAGGTGAAAGATCTCTACAAGGAGAACTAGAAAACATGGATGAAAGAAATTGTAGATGACATAAATAAATTTTTTAAAATCCCATACTTGTCCAGGCACCTTGGTTCATGTCTGCGATCCCAGCACTTTGAGAGGCTGAGGTAGGAGGATTGCTTGAGCTCAGGAGTTTGAGACCAGCCTAGGCAACATAGTGAGGCCTCCTCTCTACAAGTAATAATAATAATAGTAATAAATTAGCCAGGCATGGTGGTGTGCACCTGTGGTCCCAACTACTCAGGAGGCTAAGGTGGGAGGATTCCCTGAGCCTGGGAGGTAGAGGCTACAGTGAGATGTGATCATGCCACTGTCCTCCAGCCTGGACAACAGAGCAAGACCCTGGCTCAAAAAAAAGAAAACAAAAACAAATAACACCCATGCTCATGGATTGGAAGAATCAATATCATTAAAATGACTATACTACCAAAAGCAATCTACACATTCAATGGAATTCCTATGAAATTACCAAACTATTTTTTTAAGGAATTAGAAAAAACAATTTTAAAGCTCATATAGAACCCTTCAAAGCCCAAATAGCCAAAGCACTCTTAAGCAAAAAGAACAAATCCAGCGGCATCACATTGCCTGATTTCAAATTATACAGTAAGACTATCATAAGTAAAATAGCAATGGTACTGGTACAAAAACAGACACATAGATCAATAGAAGAGAAGTGAGAACCCAAACATTAAGCCACAACCCAGATATTAAGCCACATATCTACAATCAACTGATCTTCAATAAAGCTGACAAAAATAAACAATGGGGAAAGGACACCATATTCAACAGATGATGCTAGGAAAATTGGCTAGCCATAAGTAGAAGAATGAAACTGGACCTTTATCTTTCACCATATACAAAAATTAACTCCAGATGGATTAAAGACCTAAATGTAACACCTGAAACTATAAAAATTCTGGACAAAAACTTAGGAAAAACCCTTCCAGACATTGGCTTAGGCAAAGAATTTATAATGAAGAGCCCAAAAGCAAATACAGCAAAAACAAAAATAGACAAATGAGATTTAATCAAACTAAAAAGTTTCTGCGGAGCAAAACAAATAATCAATGGCTAAATAGAAAAATCTAAAGAATGGAAGAAAATATTTACAAATTATGCCTTTGACAAAGGATTAATATTCAGAACCTATAAGGAACTCAAACAACCCTAAGGAAAAAACAAGTAACCCCATTAAAAACTGAGCAAAGGACATGAACAGACATTTCTCAAAAGACGTCATAGAAGTGGCCAAGAAATACATGAAAAAATGCTCAACATCAACTAATCATTAGAGAAATGCAAATTAAAACCACACTGAGATACCATCTTACACTAGTCAGAATGGCTATTTTTAAAAAGTGAAAAAACAAGAGAAGGTGTGGATGTAGAGAAAAGGGAATGCTCATACATTGTTGATAGGAATGTAAATTAGTTTAACCTCTATGGAAAACAGTATGATGATATTTCAAAAAACTAAAATCAGAACCACCATTTGATCCAGCAATCCCACTACTGGGTATCTACTCAAAGAAAATAAATCATGATATAAAAAAGATACCTGCACACCTATGTTTACAGCAGCACTATTTATAATCGTAAAGTCATGAAACCAACTTAAGTGTCCACCAACAGTTGACTCGATAAGGAAAATGTGGTACATATATACCATGGAATGCTACGTAGCCATAACAAAGAATAAAGTCATGCCTTTGCAGCAACATTGATGGAGCCAGAGGCCATTATCATCAGTGAACTGACACAAAAGCACAAAATCAAATATCACATGTTCTCACTTACAAGTGGAAGCTAAACAAATGGTACACATGGACATAAAGATGGGACAAAAAAAAGAAACATAATTTTTTTCACTCCTGGTGGGGTAAGAAAAAAAAAGAAATGAAAAAAATGATGGGAACAATAGACACTCGGACTATTAAAGGAGGGAGGAGGGAGGAGGGAGGGGCGTGAGGGATGAAAATTGCCTACTGGGTACAATGTCCAATATTTGCATGATGGGTACACTAGAGGCCCACCCCCCACCCATTGTACAAGTTATACTCATGTAACAAACAAGCACATATACCCCTGAATCTAAAATAAAATTTTAGATTAAAAAAATTATAGAAAAATAAGGTAACCTACAGTGACAGAAAGCAAATCAGTGGTTGCCTGGAGACAGGTAGGGGGCAGAGGCTGTCAAGGTCAAGTAAGAGGGAAGATTACAGAGCAGCAGAAGGAAACATTTGGAAGTGATTGATGTGTTCACTATCTTGATTGCAGTGATGAATGCACATGTGTATAAATATGCCAAAATTTATCATATCGCATACTTTAATAAGTGCCATTTATGATATGTCAATTATACTTCAAAAAGCTGTTTTTAAAAATAATGTATGTAACACAGGCATAGCATGACAGCCATCATTCTCCACCTTGTGCACCTTAGATTTTTATAGTAATAGAGCTTCACCTATTCTGCTAAGCCTGGGCTGGACCTCATTATTCTTCTTAATGTGCCTCCTTCTCTGTCAGACTGTCAGAGGTGATAACCTGAAAAGGAGAAAGTTTCCTCTGATTTCGCTAGAATCACTTAAAACACTAGAATCTTCCTCAAAAGGTAAAATAAGAATGTTCCAATATTCCCTCGATAACTCATTTCCTTATTTCATTCTCACCAGGAACCAGGACAGGGGGATGGGAGGAAGAAAAGCCACCTTATGTAACATTATATTGAAATATTACAAATTCTATCTTATGGACATTTATATGTAAATAAGGTGATCAATTCAGCTAAATATTTTGCTCTTTCTTTTACTGAACACTTTAGTCTATGTCACACTTAGGACTCTTATTGCCACAACTAACAGAAACCCCAGTCTGAATTGACTGAAGCTAAAATAGGAATGTGTTGGCTCATGTAAATTCATAGTGGAAGAATATTTCTGGTTTTAGGAATGGTTTGATCCAGAGACTCTTCACAAGGCCTTGGCTCTATTTCTCTGAAACCCTCTCAGCTCTAACGCCCCTGATGTAGACTTCCTGGTTTTATGCATCTTTATATCACAAAGGAGTTCTGATGATGATGCTCTCAGAAAAAGAAAAGTGTCTGGAAAGAGACTTCAGTCACATCTTACTTGTCTTGGGTCCAAACCAGATCTGTGCTTATTCTTGTACTAACACTGTGGCCAGAAGGAGAGGCTGTGCTCATTGATTGAAGCCTATCAAGACCCAGTCCTGAATCTGACAGTAGAATTAGTATCCTCTGAGTACTTGGAGGTAGAAAGGGATCCCCAAACAACAGGGGAACTGTTGTTACTGACAGGAAGGGGAATAAATGTTGGGCAACCCAAACAGCAAAGGTTCACCTTAGCAGTATCATACTCTTTGATGTTAAATTTGAGTGCAAATATAGGATATATGTATGTATTTATACATGAAGGCAGCCCTTATATGAGTAAACATTAAATAGGCAATTGTTAATAGCATTACCTGATGTTTCTCTGAAGGCATTACAAAAAAGTTATCATATAGTTAGAAGTAGTCTTTGCTGTTTTATTTCACAAGCAATAACTCATTAACCAACTTTGCATTCATTTTTATCCAGTTCAAACCACAAACATTCCCTTTTCTTGATCCATATATAATGCTAGGAACACAGACTTATTTTAAGTGGTAGGCATGGTAACCCACAGCCATAAAATGCTAAATGCTAATTCATTAACATTGACTTCATATTTTATTAGTTTCAAGCATTTATGACAAAGAAGATAGTGATGATCAAATATAAAGTATTTGTGGCAGACTGTACACCTTACTGCACGTAAACTGTTTGGGTTCAAAATCTCAAAGCTACCTTTTATGGAGGATAATATTTTCTCCTGCATTGGTTCAAACACAGAAGATCTTCACAGACACTGTTGTATGACAGCCATCCCACTAGGGGCTTTGGTGAATTGGGATGCCTATCTTGTGAGCAACACTAACAAATAATTAACAAGGAAAACAAATATTATATCTGATCAATTCTGTTTTCCCAGAAGCAAATTATTTGGTGATCTTTGTAAAAACAAGAATCTGTCATTTTTCACTCCAGCAAACTGCTTATCCTTATGCCTAGGATTCAAAATCCCTCCCTGCTTTCAAATGTTTTGGATGAAGACCAGTAAAATTTTGACACTAAAGTGGGTTCTTCCAGAAAAACACTCCCCTGGGAACCTGACTATTTCTTTTTTACATTTATTGATATTTTAAATACACTTGGACTACCAGAATAAATTAATCTGATTTATCGGTGCCAGAATCTAGTTTTTTTTTTTCTGCTTTTATTTTTTGTGTAATTTAAGCCTGAAACCACTCATTAACTGGTCCCAACCTTGAATAATCTACTCTCACTGTCCAGAGACTATTAGGTCAAATTGGTAGTCACTAACAGGTGAGGGATGGCTTTTTCTTTTTAATCAGTATAATCAGTACTTTTCTAACAGCAAAGATCAACTGTATTTTTCCCTAGCCTCCACCCCAAAACTCAAACAAAAATGCATTGCAGTGGCTCACAATGGAAGCCATGCCATTACACTCATATCCTCAGGTTCCACATCTGGGGATTCAACCAACCTCAGATTGAACACATTAGAAAAAAAAATTCACAATATCACAATAAAAATACAGTATAACAACTATTTACACAGCATTTACATTGTATTAGGTATCATAAGTAATCTAGAGATAATTTTAAGTATTTGGCATCCAAGGTGGGGTGAGGTAGGTGACATAGAACAAATTCCTCACATACCGAAGGACGACTGTACTCAGATTGCCCTACAGGACAAAACTTCTATTTTTCAATCCCCAGTTAAAGTTACTATGGATTGAACTCAACCCTTTCACAGAATACTTTTCTCAGTAAATTTCAGCTTTAGTTGAATCCAATTAAGTTGAATTGAGTTTACTCCAAATGTAAAATTACTGAAAATACGTATGGTATGTCTTGAGAGCAAGAAATGAGTTCCAGAAAGAATCCCTGAATGTATACCACTACATAAATACATGATAGATATCACTGGATACATATAAAGACAGAGAGAGAGAAAGGGAAAAGGAAAGAGAGAAAGAGACAGGGGGAGGAATCATTATTTGTGACAGTTTTAAAACATGTTCATAAATTCTTTGGCACTTCCTCCATGGACAGGTAGGGCCCATGTACCTTCCCCTCAAATGTGGGAAGGCATGTGACTGGTAGCCCACTAGAGCACAGTGGAAGTGATGCTGTACTGCAGGCTAAGTATCAAAGGCAACACTCTTCCCAAGTGGTCCTTTTGAGACACTGGCCTTTGGTGCTCTGATCTGCCATGTAAGAAAATTCTGAGGCCATGATACTAGCGGGAAGTACAATCCCCCTGAATGGGTCCTAGGTAGGTGTTCTGGCCTACAGCTACAACTGATGTCCCAGCACACAGCAAGCATCGACTGCCAGACATGTGAAAGACAAAACCTCCAGCTGACATTTGCTCCCAGCCATCATCACTCCCAGTGTTTGTGTCATTGTCAGCTGAGGTCCCAGATATACCAAAAGGAGATAAGCCATCCCCACTGTATCCTTTCTGAATTCTTGACCCAAAGAATCCACGAGGTTGGTGAAATAGTTATTTGAAGTTGGCAAATAGGTTTGTTAAGCAGCACAGATAACATGAACTTAATGGTATAGAAATAAGCTTCTAAAGAGAAGAAATTCAAACAGATAAGTTTACATTGGGCTACAAGCAGTCACTATCTTGATCTGTCATATTTCCATTTCCATCTTATCTTTAAATTTTTTTTTTGAGATAAGGTCTTGCTCTACCACCCAGGCTGTGTGTGTGTGCATACATATTCAATGGCGGAGAGCAGGGTGCATTTCACAGTACCTACCATGCCATGCTTTAATGTAGAAGAATTACCATTCAAACCCACATCATGGCTCACTGCAGCCTCAACGTCCCAGGCTCATGTGATCCTCCCACCTCAGCCTCCTGATTAGTTGGGAGTACAGGCACACACACCACATCTGGCTAATTTTTGTATGTTTTTGTAGAAATGAGGTCTCACCATGTTGCTCAGGCTGGTCTTGAACTCATGGGCCCGAGTGATCTTCCTGCCTCAGCCTCCCAAAGTGTTGGGATTACAGACATGATCCACTGTGCCCAGCCTCCATTTTACCTTTAATACCTATTTTTTCCACATTCCTATTTATATTAGTTTTGTGTTGAAAATTAATTATGTAGAGTCAGAACTCTTTCAGGACTAATGCAATGTTTGTTTTTGTGTGATGCTAGATATTAAAAGGAGGATGTCCCTGGTGACACAATGTCAAAATTATTCTGATCCATTTGGAACATTTCCAGTGAAAATGAACAGGCGCTGCTTAAGGAAGTCAAGGACACAGGAAAAAAATATGATCAGAAAACATCCTCTAGGGACTAATTTAGGGTAAAAGCAATATATAGCAGCTCATTTCTCCTCTTTCCCTGTTAAAGCTTAATTAGC
This sequence comes from Homo sapiens, assembly GCF_000001405.40. NCBI lineage: Eukaryota > Metazoa > Chordata > Mammalia > Primates > Hominidae > Homo > Homo sapiens. The sequence continues at coordinate 38,429,296 of NC_000015.10, read as the reverse complement.
CAAAGACCACTGGGCACAATGTATAATCTGACAAAATCAGATGTATTGATTTTCAGTGAGGGAGCACATGGCAGAAGCACTGTGGCAGACCACTCAACAAGAAGGAGCAGGAAACGTCTTCTGTACAGTGTGTGTTTCACTGAAGGATTTTGAGCAGGATCCAGGAACTGAACATCGGTTCTGGATTGGAGGCTGCTTCTGAAGTAGGATTAGGAAAGTGGGGATTAACTAGGGATTAGGATTGCCACGGGGTGTCCCCTGTAATACATGGATGTAGCAGAATAGTTCCAGGGACATCATCAATAAGAAAGCAGTGGTCACTCATAGAGCAGGTCTCTATGGTATTGGAAAGAGATGCTCTCTGTTCTCTGGGATCTCCCATTGTAAGGACTTGAACTTGGAGTTATTCCATCATCGCGTGGAAAGAATTTGCCTGAGAATTAAATCAACATGGATTAAAGCAGAGCTGGGGCACACTGGAACCCCTCAATCTAGCTCTGCCTAAAAAATCCATCTCTTGAATTGCCCATCACAGAGGCTAATACGCTCCTGTTTTTTAAAGCTACTTTGTTCAAGCTACTTTTAGGAGTTACTCTTGACTAATACAAGCCTGATAACGTTTTCTGAGGTTAAGATGCTCTCACCTGAACTCCAAAGATAAGCTTGTGTGTGTGTGTGTGTGTGTGTGTGTGTGTTTGTATGTGTGTGTGTGTGTGTGTGTGCATACATATTCAATGGGGGAGAGCAGGGTGCATTTCACAGTACCTACTATGCCATGCTTTGATGTAGAAGAATTACCATTCAAACCCCCATACTCTTGACATTTATATGAGGTTATATTTCTAAGTAACTAATAAATAACATCTAATATTCAATAAATTGACTTCTGTTTGTTGAATGCATATTT